>NC_000006.12:41272121-41575151 GCF_000001405.40 Homo sapiens | reverse complement strand
CTAAAAATACAAAAAATTAGCCAGGCGTGGTGGTGGGAGCCCGCAGTGCCAGCTACTCCAGAGGCTGAGGCAGAATGATGGCGTGAACCCGGGAGGTGGAGCTTGCAGTGAGCCGAGGTGGCACCACTGCACTCCAGCCTGAGCAACAGAGCAAGACTCCATCTCAAAAAACAAAACAAAACAAAACACAAAACAAAACAAAACACGAATGATAAGAAACTAGTCAGCCTGAAGTGGGGGTGAGTGCCAGGGGTCAGAGAAGGCTTTCTTCTACCTGGGGAAGTCTCGGAAGGCTTCCCAGAGGTGGTGGCAGCACTAACTGGAGTCTCGCCATCTGAAGGGCGAGTTAACACGGTGAACGAGGAGGGTCACATCGACCACGCTGCTGCACCAGATGTGTTCACACTGCCTGCTGGCACTGCGGCCTGGAGATCACTGGACTGCCCACCTCAGAGAGACGTGGGAAATAATGGGTCCTAACTCCGGCAGATCCCCAGCCCCACTTTCTTTGAATATGCCAACCAGACTGGGGCCTCCTTGAAAGCACAGATGTTGTCAACTGTAGCTGTGAACCCCCATCTCCAACCACCAGCACACAGCAGACATGTGATACCCACTCACAAAACTCATTTTAGTCTAGGCTGAATACGGGAGGCTGGCACAGGCTGACACTAAACTTAACAGCTAACATTTGCCTTGCAGTTTTCAAAGCACTTTTTCAAACATTTAATTGAAGCTTCACAACATTGAGCTAGGTGGAGCAGGTATTGATATCCCTATTTTACAGACAAGGAAACTGAGGCCTGAAGTTCCACAGCTAGGAAGTGGCAGAGTCCAAACACCTCTGACTGCTCAGGGCTTACTCCACTGAGGGGTCTCCATGATCCCATGCACAGTCCAGCGAGGCCTTCAAATCTGCCTTCCCCCTAATCTGCATGTGTTCAGCCCTCCAGTGAGAAGGGGAAGTGAAGATGGTGGAGGTGGAGGAAGAAGACCAAGAAAGGAAACTCCAGGGGAAAACTGGGCTCAGTTTCCCTTCCCTAAGGGCAAGAGATACCCAAACACAGCCCTGGGTGAGAAAGGTGTTCAGATACCCACACCAGGAAGAAGCCATTATGGAAAACCTAGGGGAGGAGGAAGAGGGGGCTTAGGCAGAGTGGAAAACTGGGAGCCATTTGGCCTCTTGAACCTCATTTTTTTCCTCCTTCTACCCCTTGGACTGAAAACCAAATGTCCAGCTCTGTGGTTTGGGGATGATGTCCAGTTTTCCTCTAAGGGAGGTGTACTGTCCATTCATGCATGGACGTCAAGAGAGATCTGGATCCAAGTTCTGGCTCCACCGTATGCTGGGTAACCTTGGGCAAGTCACCATCTCTTTGAGCCTCCGTTTCTTCCTCTGCAAAACTGGAACAACCCCATACTTTCTTCATGGGGTTCCTGGGAACAGCATGTGGGACTGTGCACATGGAGTACTTAGCACACTGCCAGGCACCCAGTAGGTCCTGGACGAACGCTATTATGATGATTGATCTTTCACCAGCAGCTCCTGGTCACTTGCCTGGTGCCACCCAGAAGGCCTTGCTAACCAAACCCTCTTCCAGCCCAGCCCCCATTCCCCCTCAAGCTTAAGAACTCAGTCTCGCTAATGAAGCTGAACTCTCCTCCCCCCATCCCCCATTCAGAAGTCATTAGCAGGATCTCCGCAATTAGGAACAAATGGCTTATAACGGATGGCATCCAGGGAGGGCGGTTGGGATGGTGGAGAATGAAGCTGTAGCTTTGAGGGCAACAGGGAGCTGCTATGAATAGAAAAACAAGTCTCGGTGCTATGGGGTCTCTCTCTCCCCTCCAGGATAGGACCACACTCCCATTTCTGGTTCTGGGAATTCGGGGTTGGTGGAGTGGGGGGTGGGAGAGGGGTCATTCTCTCTCAGGAAGCCAGGTGCGGGGCTATTTACCAGTCCTTTCAGCAGGCTGGAGGATCCCAGATCTGTGTTGGGGTGCCAGCCTTATTCTCTGTGTGTGCAGGAGGGCAGGGACGTGATAATCAGGGAGACAAGCTTGAAAGGCTGTTGAGAATGAGAAGTCGAAGAGCTTGGGCCACAACCCCTGGAGAGCTGCAAGTGTTAGAGGGTATCTAGTCCAGTATTTTTCAAATTGCTGCTCATGGCCCAGTAGTGGGTCATAATATCAATTTAGTGGGTCAAAAAATAGGTATTTTCTAGTTCACTGATAGATGGAGAAACAGAGATCCAGAGATGGGCAATGATTTGCCCAACGGGACACAGTGGCAAAAGCAGAACCTGAATGTACCAGACCTGAAACTGGGCTCTGCACAGGGAAGAGAAACCAAGCGCTGGCTGGGCAGGATGGAGGAGGTACTAGCAAATTCTGGTTTAATTTGGATTGTGGTGAGGGGCAGCCAAAACAAACAAACTCCAAACTTCCTTTGTCTGCCTCTGGCTGGTTTTGGCAAAACTGGGATTCAATCTTATCTAAATTGTCTCCATAATTAATTTTCACTGGGAACTGGCTGGATTTAGGAAAAGAAGGGACTAGAAGGGTATTTGAGGGTGCTGGCCCACCTCGCCCCATTCTGAGCCAGAAAAGCATCCCCAGGAAAGCCTATTACCTTTACCTCCAGAACCACAGCATGACTATTAATTTAACAATTTAATGAGTGGTTATTAAGCCCCACAGGGCACTCACAGTGTCCTCAGTACTGGGGACTCAGCATCTTTAACGGGGCTCACGTTCTAATGGGCCGAGACAGACACTACACAAAGAGACATGCAAACTCTGAGCTGGTGGCGAGTGTCCCATGGAGGCTGGCTGGCTGGCTGGCTCTAGGGTGTGTGGCCAGGGAAGGCCTCTCTGAGGAGACACAACATCAGGAGGAGGCAACTCTTCCAAGGGAGAGTATCTGAGGTGGAGGGAACACATGGTGCGAGGCCCTGCCGTGGGAAAAGCTGGGTGCATTATGAATTGAAAAGCCAGTGTGGCCAAGAGAAGAGTGGCCTGAGAAGAAGTCCCAGAGGTGTGCAGGTGCCAGATTACACAGGGACAATGATTTTTTATTTCATTATACACTTGAAAAATCGCTGAAGGATTTTGAGTAGGAAGTGATACAGTCTTTCGGGGTAGATACTTACTGCTGGTAAACAATGGATGCCTAATAAGCACTCACTGGTTCAAAGTAAAGAAGGAATATCGCTTCATCTACCCCTCAAAATGCAACTCCTCAGGGACCAGAGGGTGGAAGAAAGGGGTACAAGAAGGAGGAGTTAGAGATTAGTGGTCCTGACCACTGAGGGAACTGACCTGGGGGGAGGAAAGTTCTTGACCAGCCAGGCTTTGTCCTCCAGCAAAGAGACATAAAAATGAAATTACACAGAGAGGGGGGACAAGGAAGGTGGGGAGAGGAGACCATAAAACCCCTGAAGTTATTCCGCACTTTTTTCCCTTGGGAAAAAAAAGCTTTTTGGAAAAGGCTGTAAATTTTTTTACACCAACCTCGTAAAAATGACATCGGCGCATTCTCAAATTAGAACCATTAAAATGAAAACCAGCAACGCACAGACACAGACAGGCCCACGTGGGTGGGAGACGACTCACATCCTGGGTGTACAGCCCCGATTTCAGGACGCCTTCCCTACCAAGTGCCTTGAAAATGCCTCCTCTCTATAAGGAACTAGTTTCTGGCCTCAGAGAGATGAGAATTTACAGCTGAACTCAACAGCGTGGATGAGGAACTGCGATCCTTCAAAAGGCTCCTTCATTCTCTCCATTCCCTGAACCACTGCTCTCAAACTCAGGCAGGCTTCGCACCAGCAGTGCCCGGCCTCTGCCTGCTTCTAGCAATGATGCAGCCCAGGGCTCATCCAGCTCCTGCAGCCAAAACCAGCTCTGCAGGGTGTCATGAGGGGGAGAGTCCTCAGTGCCTGGAAGGAACTCTCTGACCTCCAGCAAGGAGGTGAAATCACCAAGGTGGTGGTGGGTGACCGAGTGGCAGTGATGCAAAAGTTCCCGTGATCACTTTCCTCATTCTTGGTGGCATTTGGAGGTGGCTACCAGACATACATCCCTCCCACCAGTATCTGTGGAGTTCTCTGGAAGTGGGTCTGTGCTGGGGTTTGGGTTCTGAGCCGCTTCACTCTAGCCACCTCTGCAATGTAGGGTTGGAGTGGGGGCAGTGGTGGTGGGGGATGCAGTTCTCGTCCTGAAGATTCCTACTGGGCCTTCTCAGAATAAAGGTGCTCCCCCAGGGGAAAAGCCAGCTCTCCCACTGAGGGTTCCAGGCCAAGTTCTGCCCTGATGAGGTGACCCTAGGATGCAGCCTTCCCCACTTCAATCCTCAAGATAAATCCTTTCTCAGAAGGAACATTCATCTCCCTTCCCCAAATTCTCCTCTGTATCCCCAGTTCTAATCAGCAGGGAAAAGAATTCTGCCATGAAGGGGAGGTGAGGGAGGGAAGAAGAGGGATTTCAGAATTCCATATTAGGAGGGAAGCTGGGGGCTCTCCTGCTGGTAGAGTGGGCTGGCTCCTTTTAGTCCCAAGAAAGCAGGGGTCTGCAGATCCCTCCTCCAGGCCCCAGCCCCGCCCTCTGCCCTCCTAGGGGAATTTTCCAACATAGGAAACAGGGCGGTCTTTGGCTCTCAGGGACCTGGGAGGGGTACAACAAGGGGGATGGTTAAGGCCCTCTCCCAGCCACAGCACTCCCCAGCTCCTCCCACCTCCCACCTGTCCTTCTCTCACTGTGTCAGGCCAAGGAGGAAAGGGCAGTTTCTGAGCATTCCCCAGCAGCTGGTATGAACTGGTGTGATGTCCGTAAGCCTCCCCTCTGGAGAGTGCGGGCCCCAACTCTCCCTCCATGCCATGGCTCCTCCACGGGAGGGGCTCATTCTCCAGAAGAAAAAGGAGAATGCAGAAGGTGTGGGATCAGACAGGAAACAGTAGAATCTGGGGCACACAGCCAGCAGTCCTGAAGAGAAATGGGCCCTGGACCTGCAGACCAAAGACAACTGTTGACTGCGTGTGTGTGTGTGTGTGTGTGTGTGTGTGTGTGTGTGTCAGGGGGTGGTGGGGGGCAAATTCACCCTCTGAATCCTCCCCTTCCCCTGCTGTCATCCCTCTAAGTAGCTTGGGCAGAGGAGGCCCAGATGGGGGAGGAAAAGGAAAGAAAAATCTCTCCCATTCTTCTTCTCCCCTCCCCCAACTGCCTGACATTCCCCCCATCTCTTTGAAGGGGGGGTGAGGTAAAAGCCCATTAATGTGCAAAGCCCCCCAACCCTTTTGAATCTCCTCACAGGATGTGAACGGGATGGGATTTGGCCCAGTTGCCACGGCAACTGCAGTGGGAGTTCCCAGACGCTAGGCAACCCTCCCGTGACCCTCGCTGACCTGTCACCCCCGCAACCCATGGACAATGGGAGTGCGCACTCCAGAGGCCCAGGACGCCTTTCAGCGTGGCCTCAGCACCGCCGCCAGCGGCTCTGCCTGCCTCCACCCCACCAGCTCGGCCCTCCTGGCCCCAACTTGGCCAGCGCACCCAGACCAGCCCCCAAGACCTCCCCTCCCAAAATCTGGCACACACTTCTCCTAGGCTTCATGGCCCCTATCAGAGAGAGTCCTAAGGGTATTTGTGGGGTCCCTGAGAAAATCCCCACACTGGGAACATTTTCATACAAGTGAAATCAGATTAGAATAAAACACAAGGGCAACTTTCGAAGAAAAGAGCCATCCCATAGGGTAAAATGCAGGGAGGGGCACTGTGGTAGAAGCATTTGCCTTGGCGAGGGAGGGGACGGATGGGCCACGGGTGTGTCTATGGTCTAGGGTATTCTTTAACAGCAGCTGGGGATCACCAATGCCAGCTGGCCGGCACGGAGCCCAGTGCAAAGTAAGACTGAAGGTGTGTTTGCAGCTTGACTGACTGCTCCAGAGCCTACTGTACTTCCTGCACCTTCTCCTCAGGGTAGACAGATTCCCCATAGGGCATAAGACTGCAGACTTGGTGAAAGCCCCAAAGACAGCGTGGAGGTGATATGGCTCTGTCACTCACCAATGACCAGGCTGGGATGAAGGAGGTGGAAGCTGGGCCTTGAGGGCTGAAATGGGGCAGCCAGCCAAGGACCCTCTCCCTCTAGTCAGACCTGGCCTGGCAGCCAAGCCAGGTCACCCCCCAGCCTCTGTTTAAACAAGCTCCCAGCCTGCTCGTTGCATGGAAACAAGTGCCTGCTCTTGTTCCAAAGTGACGTGGCCACCCTCTTCAGCACTGTTTGTTTCAGCCTAAAGTCCTGTAACAGGCCTGACTTCTGACTCGCCCTGTTTATCTCTCTCCTCTCTGTCAACTCATTACTCCCAAAGGCCAGGATTGCATTTCCAGGGCTTGTTTACTGAGAGCAGAGGGACAAGGACCAACAGACAGACAAAGGCAGAGGAGCTTGGAGAGCCACAGAGAGTACGAGGAGAATGGGACCAGCGTGTGGTCCACAGACCCTCTCCTACCCCACTTCCTATCGAGTTTGCAGATGGCACTAGAGTGGCTACTTAGGGCCAGCGGGCAGCGTTGCTTTTCTATCACAGAACCCTTTCAGGTTGGAAATGAAATGCTCTAATTTACTCATCAACAGACATTTCCTTAGCATCCACTATGCTCGAGGCCTCGCTGCCTCCATTTCCCACAGCGACTGTGTGATGGAGAAGCAGCAAAGGGGCAGGTGTGCTGAGCCCTGAACTAGGAACTGGGAGAGTGAGGTCTACGCAGCCTTTATTGTGCCATCTTGACAACTCAGTGCCTACCTCTGGCTGTCTCATCTGTGAAACTGGAATAATAATATCCACCTTGCAGGGATGGTGAGATAACAACACAGCATATGTGAAGACCCCAAAGCACCAGAGACGAAAGGCATTGGTTTGTCCTCTAAGTCCTTTCAGGTTGAGGTTGAGAAGGAGCAGGAACCCAAAGGGCCAGGCTCTCTTTCCCATACTTGTTTATCCTACAAGTAGGAACATTTGTTGTTGGGGACCAGAAAATGTTACCCTTGAAGCTCCCCCAAAAGCCTCGTTCACACATTCAGGGCAGAGGAATAGCCCATGGACTATTTCATTTTAATTGGAAATCTTGTAATTTTAATTTTGCAAGGTTCTTTTCATAGTTTGGAGCCAACAAAACCTTTTTTAAGTCTCAAATATGTTCCTTGGCCCTGGGCACTCTGCCCATAGTGAGCCCAAATGGATAAAACAGCCCTCTGCCTGCCTCCAACTCCCCACCCCAGTTTATTTGTGAAACAGATATAGGATTTTCCAGGACTGTGGGATATTCCCCAAAACAAACAGGAATAACTGGAATGTGGAATATAGATGGGAAAACATGGCTCATGTGCAACGCAGAACCAAGAAACCTGATCAGTACAGACAGTTCTGTCTTTCCCCACCCTAAACATTTCCCCAGTTATCCAGAGAACTGTGTCCGTTCTTCATTTTCAGAAATTTTTTAAAAGAAACTTTCCAGTTTCAGTACTCCCCAACCCCTACATTTAAAATTCTTCATAACTCTGTCTGCACAGTCACAGAGATGGAAGAGCTGGCCATATAAAATGGGTGGCCTTGGAGATTTCTGGTGGGGTGTGTTTTGCTATTATGTTGGTAAAGGTTAGGATATTGCCCTTTAACCTTCTGTCCCCAGCAAATGGCACAGACTCTGTGGGTCTCTTCCCCAGAGAACGTGCTTAGGAAGGCTTGGGAGATGCCAGCAAACTCCTGAAGAATATCTCCCTAGGGAAGGGAGTCAGGCCCTTCCCTGCTCCAGTCTCCACTGCTGGCAAGAGAAAGTGATTTTTGAAGTCCTCTGTTCCACTCACATCCACATCAACAAATGAGCTGCATGTGTTGCACACCCAAATTGCACCTGATCCTAACAACTCTGTACTTTAGGTGCCAAGGAGGCCAGGGCTCAGGCAGGCTCATGACTTGGTCAAGGTCATGCCACTGGTTAATGGGCTGGCTGGGACTTAAACCAGGTTTCTTCCATTCCTGCTTTAGCGCTGGCTGACCAGCTCTGTGCAGGGGAGTCAGGCTTCTGATGGTGTTGCTTCCAGTCTGACTTCTGGCTCCAAGGAATATGATGGGAAAAGGCCCCTTAAGGGTTATGAAGTTGGGCTGTGGGAGAAGGAGTGCAGAGTCCCAGGGTGAACTTGGGAGAGACAGCAGGGCCATGGAGGAGCACATGAGGGTACTGTGGTACACACACGTGTGCACGCATGAGGCAGGAGTGGGCTACTGAGCAGGGAGGTACACACAGAGCCCTGCTTCTCCATGTTCCTAGCATACCCCGCCCCCTGCCCCACTCAAGGGCCGGCACCACCAGCAGTGATTCCAGGAGCAGAGTCAAATCAGAGAAAGAGAATCCCAAGGCCAGGGCTGTTGGCTGGGAAGGTTCTCCTCAACTTGTTGAGCATGACTCTCCCTTTTTCCCCAGGTGGGACCAGGACATGAGACCCCTGCTCTGTCATCACCCAACCAGATCTAGACCCATCCTAGTGCCTCTAGATCCTCAGAGAGGTTGGTCTTAAACTCCCGAACTCTGCACTTTAGGGTGGAAGAGGAAATATAAGACACAGACAGGGATTCCCAGTTTGAGCCCTAAAAATGGAGGCCTGTCTTTGCTTACCTCTCTTGGCCTTTACCCAGCTGCCTGGGCCTCTCTTCACTGCTGGAAATGGAGGCCCAAGCTGACTCGGAGGCAGATAATGTTTTGCAACAGAAATAATGTGAAGATCCCCCTGTGTGCACAGCACCCTCTTAACCCTGTTCATTTAGCCAGTTTCCTAGCCAGTGTGCAGGTGAAGAGTGGAGTGCCCACCAATCCAACATGCCAATCTCAAGCCTGCTGCCCAGTTGTGTGTCTGTCTCTTCTTATTGGCATTTCTGGGACAGTTTCAAGCTTCATGATCTCAGACCTCCGAGTCCCACTTCTATCTCTTGAAAATGCTGTGGTAGCCTAGGCTCAAGGTGGCCACCAGAATGGGTGGGTGGACAGGGAGTCCTTGGAGGCTGGACTGTCTTAAGAATGGTAAAGTGAGGCTGCCTGGCAGGGAGTGGTGCTCCAGCAGCCAGGATGAAGTGGAATGCAGCCTAGTGCCCCTCTCCCGCTCCCAGATACCCCAAGGCGCACCAGTTCCTACCTGTTGCTGCTGGAAGTGCAGCAGCTCTGCGGGACTCATCTCACCATTGCTGTCTGCACCCGTGGTCACTTCCCTGCCCGTGCCACTTGCAGTTGTCCCTGTGGCCCCGCCGCTGCTGCCATCGGCTTGCCCAGAGAGGCTGCCCACGCCATTCTGACCAGATGGAGCCGACCTGATTGTCTCCGAGGCAGATTCCACCATCATGTCGCTCTAGCGGTACCTGGAGGAGGAAGAGAGACACAGGGGAGAGGCTGAGGCTGAAGGCTGAAAGGGCAGTGACTGCTGACCCCCAAAAACATAACCATCGCCACAGGAGTAGCTGGGCATCTACTTCTCCTCAACTTCCCAGAGGCTGCTCCTGGGATGCCTGATGGAATGTGGCTCCTCCCGATGTCCCCCCAGGTGAGGGGTGGCTCCACACCCCCAACCATGTTTTCTTGACTTCTAGGAGACCTCGTGCTGGGGTGGGGAAGGGAGGAGACAAAGCCCTTGCACTGCCCCTCTGGGTGAGGATTTTTTGCCCCAGTTGAGGTTTTGCACTGTTTATAATAATGACATGAAGAAGGGCTATTTTAGGTTTTTTGTTTGTTTGTTTGTTTGTTTTTGAGACACAGTCTCGCTCTATTGCCCAGGCTAGAGTGCAGTGGTGCGATCTCGGCTCACTGCAGCCTCCGCCTCCCGAGTTTGAGCGATTCTTCTACCTCAGCCTCCTGAGTAGCTAGGATTACAGGTGCCTGCCACCACGACCAGCTAAATTTTTGTGTGTGTATTTTTAGTAGAGAAGGGGTTTCACCATGTCGGCCAGGCTGGTCTCGAACTCCTGACCTCAGGTGATCTGCCTGCCTCAGCCTCCCAAAATGCTGCGATTATAGGCATGAGCCACAGTGCCTAGCCCCCGTCTGGGTCTTAAACCTACACCAACAAAGCAAAGACAAAAGTTATTCACTAGGAACCTATCATATTATTGCCTTCCTACCCCCACCTGAAATGGACTTTGTGTTTGCTCCCATCCCAGGGCAAATGACCTTCCCCAGGCCACAGAAGGTCCAAAGCAACAATTATTCTTCCATAAAAAAGGCTGCCACTTGCCCAGCACCTACTGGGAGCCAGACACTGGGCTTCGTCATGGAGGTGTGCAGTGAAGGAAGCCCTGGTTCCACCTTCCATCTTCCATTTTAAAGCCCTCAGCCTAGCACCTGGTCAAAAGTAGACACTCAGTAAGGTTAACTCACTCTCCATAGGAACCATGATTTCTCCTCATGAGAACTGTGGGAGAGAGTTATCACGCCAATTTTACAGATGGAAAAACCGAAGGTCCAGAGAGTTAGGTTACATACCCAAGGCAAAGAGTCAAGGTCTGGATCCCCTGACCCCAGAAATGCCTCTCAAGGAGTGGCTGAAACATCCCCCTAGAAAGAGAGGGTATGTGTTTGGGATGGTCAGGACAGTAAGGAGGAGGTGGAGGCCTAAGCTTCTTCTTATAACTCATAGAGGTTCCAATAGCTTTTAAAATTTAATTTAATTAATTTATTCATTTTATCTTTTTGAGACAGAGTCTCGCTCTGTCACCCAGGCCAGAGTGCAGTGGCACAATCTCGGCTCCCTGCAACCTCCGTCTCCCGGGTTCAAGCAATTATCCTGTCTCAGCCTCCCAAGTAGCTGGTACTACAGGCACGCAACACCATTAGTAGAGATGTTAGCCAGGCTGGTCTCGAACTCCTGGCCTCAACTGATCCACTTGCCTCGGCCTCCGAAAGTGCTGGGATTATAGGCATGAACCACTGCACCTGACAAGGTTCCAATATCTTTAGTATGAAAAGCTGTTCTAAAATTCTGGGGGCTCCCCAACTACCCCCGAGTCACAGTCCCTTGAGAGGAACATGGATTTCAGTCAAACAGGTCAGACCATGGTTGGCATCCACTACTGATTTTTGATCCATCTTAAACTCCCCAACCCTCAGATTCCTTGTCTGTGGTAGGACAATGTTTCTTGGCACCTATGGGGGATTGGTTCCAGGATCCCTGTGGATACCATAATTTCCAGATGCTCAAGCCTCCCAGTTTGTCCTGCAGGACCTATGGATACAAAAGTTGGCCCTCCCTATCTGTGGGTCCTGCACACTGCAAATACTGTACAGTATTTTCCATCTGTGGTGGATTGAATCCACGGATGTGGAACCTGCGGATAAAGAGAGCCAAGTATATTTCATCCCAGCCTCCAAGTCTTTTGAGGAGAAAATAAACATGCACATGGCACCTGACAGAGCAAGCCCCCAATATTGATCAGCGCCTTCTCCACCCACCATAATTGTAAGGGTGAGGACATTGAGACCCAAAGAGGTCAAGGACTTGGCCCAGATTGCACAGAGATCATCGAGGGATAGAAGCCACATGAGCATTTAGCAAGGCCCGTGGAAGCCAGCCAGTTTCTTTCCTCCCAATTCGATCTCTTTTGGCCTAGGCACACCCTATAACCACACGGTCTCCCTGACCCGACTGACAGATGAGGGCCTTGTAGGTAACAATGAGAAACTGCGGAAAGAGACTGGACTGTGATTTCTCTAGTTCCTTCCCCAAGGCAGCAGCTCCCCAAAGCATTTCCCTCCCACTCCCAAATTCTCTCCTTTCACTCCAGAAGAACTCTTCTCCCTCACTCTACCAAGCCATTTGCTCAGCTTTCATCCTGGCTGGAAGCAGAGTCGGGAGGAGATAGAGAACAGCAAGGGGTCCACAGAAGCCACATCCCTGTTCCTGTGGCCCCTCTTCATCTGTGACTCTGGGTGTCACTGTCCCAGTAAGTCTGAGTGGCCTCCTGGGTGCCCTGTATTTGTGAATTTCTCTGTATGTTCCCAAGGGCTTGCTCTTCCCCCAACCCAGCCACTGCTCCACTCCTAAGTTCTGAGAGGAGCTGGGCTGGAGTAAGGGCAGGATGGGAGTGATGGTTCGGAAGAGATTGAGCACTCGGTCTCAGGCCTTAATGGCCATGTCAGCCTGAGGGCTAGTGGCGGTGAAATGATGGATGGGGTGGGCACCATCCTCCACTTGCCACAGCACAGGGCTCCATCACCCTCCCCTGAAACCACCCAGCCAGCAGCACCTTCCCCCACTTGGGCCTGGGCCTCAGTTACATGAGGGGGATGGGGAGACAGGAGGGAGGGGGGCCTCTCCCCCAACCCTGGCTCTGCTGGTGGTGGAAAGCAGCTGCCTGCTCTGATTCCAAGTCTAGCTTCTCTGAGATCTGAGAACTCCTGGGCCCCAAGGGACAAAGACCAGAGCCTCAGGGGTGTATGCATGCAAAGGAGAAAGGAAAGAGAATCTGGCAGTTACTTCCCTGGGGTTAGGGAGAGTGGCCCCCTTCCAACACTCAAGGAGTATCATAAAGTTGCAGATCAGACAGTAAGTTTGGAAAAAGAGAAAGAAGGAAGGAGGAGGATGCAGACAGAGGTGCTCCTTTCTTTTCTTTTTATGGGGGGGGCATACAGAGTAACACCCAGTGAACAACATAATTGCTGCAATGTGGTGTATAATAATAGCTATTCAGGGGCCGATCATTCATATTAAACAGGGTGAAGCAAGCCTCTCATTTGCATGCTTGAGATTATATGCATTTGAAAAGTCATTTCCGCAGGGTGTGTGAATGGCATTAATTCCCATGTGGCATGCTCTGCCCCCTCCAGGGTCTTTACCCCACTGACACACACCCATACACCTCCTTCCATGCTCCCGCCCACCTAACAACATACCCCCCAAACCTGCATGACAGGCACTCCGAAGTGCTTTCTGAATTCTCACCTCTGCCCTGGGATACCTGCCCGCCAAGGATGAGCACACCAGCAGCCTCATGTCTCCTGCCCACCTCTCCACAGGGCGCCGCGACAGCACCGGTGTGCTCCCTGCACTGTGGGTGAGCAGGCTCTGGGTGCCTGGGACCCAGTCAGCTAAAGACAGGATGGGGAAGGGTGCTGGCGGGAGGCCTTGATTATCAGTCCCCTGTAACTACAAGGGTGTGGGGTATGGAGGAGAAGTCAGTGTCCACAGGAGCCTGAACCCTGGCTAGGGGAGCAGGCAGGGGCCTGGGCTCAGCCACACACCATTGTGAATCCTCTGCCTTCCCTTTTCTCTGAGCCTCTACTTCCCTGTCTCTATACAAATAGGTGGTCCTGAAGGTCTCTTCTCACTCTCAGTCTGGCATGTGGACATGAAACCACAGTACTTAAGTGAATACTGGTAGGCACTGATGGTCGGTCTGCTGGAGTCACAGCCGGGTCCCTTTCACAGTGGACTCCACCCAGTGTAGATCTGAGCTGCTTCCTCTGGTAATGAGGGGCAAGCTCCAAGAGGTCCTCCTTTCTTCTCTACACACCCCTATCTTCCCAATCCATGCTCCTCCCCCAGCCACCAAGGTCCTCAGCAAGGAGCAGCTGAACACCTGCGGAACAGGAAGGCAGAGGCTCTGAGAATTAGACCATCTGGTTTCTAGGCTCAGCTGTGTGACCTTGGGCAAGTCACTGGGGTGCTCTTTCTGCCTCCATACAATAAGGTAGGGATTGGCCAGGGGTCTAAGGTTCGCTAATACTGGGCTCTTATCCCCCACCCCAGACTTTCCATATGCCTCTCCTACCACATGTTGGGGGCAAATGGGAGATAGCACCGGAGGCCGAGTTATTTTGGCAGGTCCAGGATTTGTCTGAGGCTCAGGTCCTGCACTTAGGCAGGACCTAGTGGCCCAACCCTCAGCATTCCCCGTGGGGGAGCCAGGGCACCTCGGAGCCTATGTCAGGCCTAGAGGCTCCTGCAGATGCCGTCGGAAGGAAGCTGGGTCAAAGCCGCGGCTGCCTCTTCCGCTCTGAGGCAGTCTGCGGGCCGCTGGGGGCTCCCACTTCCCCGGAGGCTCCTGGCTCTTCAAAGAACCTGGGCGGGCGAGTGCGCAACGAGGGACGCCCTTGGAACTCGCCGGAGACCGCCCCATCCCCTCCCTGGCCGGAAGTGACGAGTTCCACCTACCTTGGGGCCAAAGGGGGGACCCACGGGCTGGGGTGCTTTTGTGGAAGGAGAAAAGAGAAGGGGAACCCCACATGCGGAGAAACCTTTTGTGCCTTTTCACGGGCCCATATGGCGTAGCGAGTATTAATTACCGTCGCTTTTTAATTAACAATCGCTTAATCTGAGCCGTAACATTTGCCATGACACCCTGCGCCTCGCCGCGAACCCGCACCGCCCGCCCTGCCAACTCATCAATTAATTTTTATTGACGTTTTCTTCCCCCAAACAGGCACAATACCAGGGTTTTCCAATTAACACCTCTGCGATCTCTAATTAGTGCAATTAACAGACTGATGGATGCCCGGAGTTTACCCGCGGGGGAGGGAGAGAGGGGCGGGGCAGCCCCCAGCGCGCTCCTGGGCGCGCGTCCTGCCGGGAGCACACGTGCACGCGCAGCTGGAGTGGAGATGAGGCCCCAGTTCTTAAGGGAGACACGGGTGGGGAACGACCACAGGTAGCCCGTACCCAGAGCAATGGTGGCGGTTGGAATTTAAATAAGATATCGTTTCCAGTTCTCCAGAAACCTATAATATAGTCTGGGAGACAGCAGGACGTGGCCCAGCTGACAGCCTGACCCTGTAAGTTGGTGTCTAGCCCCAGCGCTAACACCAATTTACTACTGAATGACTTGTTTTTTTCAGAGTGGTGGTGGTGCGGGGGAGAGTCTCACTTTGTTGCCCAGGCTGGTTTCCAACTCCTGGGCTCAAGTGATCCTCCCTCCTCAGTCTCCCAAAGTGCTGGGATTACTGGCCTGAGACACTGCACCTGGCCTACTAGAGTGACTTGGAGCAAGTTGATTCTCCTCTTTTCTTCTCTGTATAATGGGGAGAACTGGACTAGATGTAGCCATCTCTTTTATAATTTATAATTCCAACAAAGATTAGGAAGCAGATTGCAATAAGAGGTAAGATTTCTTAAAATACAATAGCACGGAGTAGAAGATGAGAATGACGGACCACAACGTTAAATCAGGGGGTTGCAGACCTGAGTGCATCAAAGTTACCTTGGAGAGTTTGTTAAAACACAGATTACTGGGCCCCAACAGAAGTTGCTAACCCAACAGGTCTGGAGTGGGCCTGGGAATCTGTATTTCTAAGAAGTTCCTAGGTGATGCTGATGGTGGTTGTCCCAGGCAATGGGGCTCCAATGATGAACACTAACTTTAGTTATGAGTTTCCTGCTGGGCAAAACTAGATGATATATCTGCAAAAGCCATTCAATCATTCAACATGTATTTAGGGCCCCATTAAGCTAAGCACTGGGGATCTACCTGAAGGAAAGTGAAATGTGGACGCTACTGAACAAGGCAGTGCAGCAGTGTCCTTAGATGCTCTGAGAGCTGCAGGTAAAGGACTCAGCAAGGGCGACTGGTAATAATGGAGGTCCTAGCCCCTTCTCTTTTTTTTCTAGATAAACCTGGCACTTGTTTTTCCTCAAAACAAGTTTCCTAAAAACCAGTGGGGCTTTAGCCATGAACAAAGTCATGCTTCTCTCTCCTCCAGTGGTTGGCCAGGAGCATGTTTCACCAGCAATGACCCTTCATCCATTCATTGGTGCGACCAATGTTTAAGTACCTACAGTGTGCCAGGCTCTGTGTATGCAGACTCCAGCAGAGCAGGACACAGGCTTGCTCTTGTGAAGCTTATGTTCCCATGAAGAGTGTACAAATGTTAACTAAATACACAAGTAAATGGAGAAGCCCAAGTCAGATACATTCTATCAAGTGTGAGTACAGGAAATAAATGGGGATCTAAGGTAAGTGGAGAGGGGCAGGGAAAGCCTCCTTTTGCCAGGAAAGGGCATTTATGCTTAGATATGAAGGCTGAGTAGGTACTGGCCAGGCAAAGTATACAATGAATGCAGGGCAAAGAACATACGCAAAGGCCTTTATTTTACAAAAGAAGGGTCGTCGGTTTCAGACTTTTCCAGAATGAAAAACCTTTGAAATACATACATTTCTAGATTATATAAAAAGATACACATGTGGATACCAGAGCACAAG
This sequence comes from Homo sapiens, assembly GCF_000001405.40. Lineage (NCBI taxonomy): Eukaryota > Metazoa > Chordata > Mammalia > Primates > Hominidae > Homo > Homo sapiens. The sequence goes on along the minus strand of NC_000006.12, from coordinate 41,558,919 downwards.
GATGTCTTCTAGTTCCTTCTTTCTCTATTTGTTTGTTTCTAGCTATCCTGCTATATCTTACTTGTGTCAAGAGATATAAAACAGAGGGCTTTTCAGAGCAACGAGCCCTGGCCCTACAAGTAACTGCAGGATGCTTCCCAATCCAAAGTCCCAGGGACCAGCCTCCCCCATTCAGCCCTGGCCCCAGAGGCCCACTGGCTTCTGGCTTCAGGCTCCAGGTAAGGGGAGGGCTTCAGGGCAGTGGCCACTTTGGGCCTCTGGCTTACTTAGCCAGCCACTCATTTGCCAGATGAACTGCTAACCCTTCCTGGCCTCTTACTACCTTTGTGACATTGAGGAATGAGGTCACCAGTCTGAGCCCTGGTTTCCTTATCTGTAATGTGGGGCCAATGCCAGTACACCTTCCTTCCAGGGTTGCAGTGGTATCAAATAAGACACACTGCATGAGGAAGATGTTTAGAGAAGGGTAGTGACTATAATTACAGGAGTCCAGAAAGTCTTGCTACAACCCACCTGAGTGGGCTATGGTTTAAAAATTGATCCCACCCCCCTCTCCCAGCCCTTGGTTCAGCACTTGAAGAAAGTGAGTCAAGACCCATGGGTTAAAATGTGGCTATAGCTCCAGAATAGGTCCTGAAGCCAGAGGTGGGTGATGTGAGTCACGCACTGCTTGGCTCCCTGATCGTGCCAGCAGTTTCTCTCCCCAAACACATGGGGCTCTGTGAGTTCGAGAGTAGGCTTAATCCCTCTCCAAGCCCCTGCCCTCCTTGGGCACTCCTCATTGTGTGGGTCAGAGGCTGGCACGCTGGACTTCCCTCTGTACCCCCATCTCTGCCTGAGTTCCTGGCCTGGGAGTCTCCCTCAATGACTGTGACATCCTAGAAGCTGCCTACCCCAACTCTAGGGACCATTCAAGGCTTCTTAGCACAACACTTGGGTGCTCGGAGGAGATCAGTACAAGTGGCAGGGCAAAGACATTCCTATCTGAAAGGCTCCACCAAAGCCTTCGATTTGTAAGGTGAATCTGCCGTCCTGTGCTGTCTGTTCCAGGTCCTCTCCCAAGTTCCAAATAACTTTATTTCTGAATCCTAAAAGTAAGAGACATCCTGGTAGAAAATTTTGAAAAAAAGAAAAAAAAATAGAGTACTCATAATCCTACCCTACAGAGATCTAGCCCTTTGGGATATATAGCCTTTCTGGTCAATCCATTCTCACTCTCTTTTGGCATATAAACATTTAAAAAGTGAAATTTGGGTCATAATCTATACATGGTTTCAATTTTCGTCTTTTTCCACTCACCACTTACTATCATAAGCATTTCCACATGCTGTCAAATATTTTAAGCAACAGTTTCTAATGGTCACACAGTTGCTTGAATGGGCCGCATGTTCCAGAATGTATTGAGCCAATCCCCTAGAGTTGGACATCTAGGCTGTTAGCTATGTTTTACTATGACTCTGCAGTAAATGGGAACAGGATACTCTATGGGAACAGGATACTCTACATTTTTGACTAGTTGCATAGGATACATGTTTAGAAGGTGGAACTGCATATTTTTAAGGTTCTTGATATATTCATTCCCAAACTGATGCCCATAAAATTCATACCAATTTTGCCCAGTTCTTCTTTAGCAAGCAGTCACATCTCATAAGACTCTCGGGCCCTAACCTCTTTAGTGATTTCCCTCAATTCTCCTCAGCTCCTTCTCCAGGAGATTCTCAGAGCCTGAATAAGGCATTTGCAACTCAACACTACAGGCCCTGTCGAATCTGGGTGAGTTCCCTAAGGTCAGAGTGGGGTAGGGAGCCTTCACCTGCAGCTGATACTGAGCACAGTGGGCACTGGGGTTGGGGCAAATGGAGGTGAGCAAAACGTAATCCTTGCTTTTGCCGGGCTTGAAATGGAGAGAGGAGAAAGACTAATGGGCAGGTAAGTTTTCCTTCTGAACATCGGAATCATCTGGGGAGCTTTAAAAAACCAACCAACCCATACCTATGGCACACCCTAAGTCAATTAAATCGCACTCTTCAGGGAACTGGACCCAGGCGTGGATATTTTAAAAAGCTTTCCAAGCATTCTAAATTCCCAGTGCAGCCAGGATTGAGAACTTCTGTCTTACACAACACACACAGCTTTACAAATGTTATGTTAGACACTGGGGACCATGGAGCCTGGAGGGAGTAAGGGGTGCTCTGGGAAGGCTTTCTGTAGGAGGTGGCTTCTGAGCTGAGCCATGACGCAGCAAGGCCTCGGCACACAATTTGTGAATATATTTTATTGTTAAAAACCATTCGCTTGCCGGGCGCGGTGGCTCACACCTGTAATCCCAGCACTCTGGGAGGCCAAGGCGGGCAGATCACAAGGTCAGGAGATCGAGACCATCCTGGCTAACATGGTGAAACCCTATCTCTACTAAAAATACAAAAAATTAGCTGGGCGTGTTGGCGGGCGCCTGTAAGTCCCAGCTACTCAGGAGACTGAGGCAGGAGAATGGTGTGAACCTGGGAGGTGGAGCTTGCAGTGAGCCAAGATGACGCCACTGCACTCCAGCCTGGGCAACAGAGCGAGACTCCATTTCAAAAAAAAAAAAAAAACATTCACAGAGTCCCCAAGAGTGCTTTCCTATAGCCCCTCCCTCCTCTCTCCCCCATGCAATTTTGCGCTCATTTTGACAGAGGATGGAACCACACTTCAAAGATGCCAAAGACTTGACAAGGTTACCTGACTGCTAAGTGACTGAGCCAAACTGAAACCAGGTGGCTCTCCTGACTCCTAAACCAGTGCTCCTCCCCGCGTCCTAACTCCCCGAGTCACTCTGGAATCCAAGCCTTCCCTTACCCCTACCACCACCCTCCACCTTACCTTTTACTGGCTCCATCCCTGAAACGCTCCCACAGGCCCTGGCAAGGTGGCCTCCCTCAATACCCCTTCCTACTACACAGACCAAAAAAAAGAATTAACAATACAGGGGGAAAAAAAGAAAGAGAACCAAAGATCCCACTCCATCTCATTAAGAAAGTAAACATAAGAGCCATCTAAGTGTCTAATTAAGCTTCTAATTAGTCCCTGCTTGTTACTAATGCAAATTAGATTACTCCGCTTAACTACAGCATGTCCACAACACCCTTGTTAATTGCGGCCTTTTGAAATTAAATTACTCCCTAATTAGCATATCAAAGCCATTGATTCGGAGCTGGGAAAGATGAGGGCAAGAGGAGCCGAATGCCAAGTTTGGTTAATCAGAGACGGCTAATTAAATAGTGACGTCTTATGTGGGGGGCCTGCTGGTTAAGGGGTAGGGGCAATTCGCCCAGGGCCTGAATGGCCATCTGGAGCCTGGTTCTGGTGGTGCCTTTGGCACCAGGGTTTCCTTTGGGCACAGGAGGGGCTCTAGAGGGCCTGGGACAAACCACTGAGTATGGCCATTTCTGGGCCCCTGGCTGTTCTGCCCAGCCTGCCCCGACATGCCTTGGCCCCTCCCTTCATTTCCTCAGATGTAGGGGGCAAGTGATGACTTTATCATAGAGGGGCTCACCCTGGCAGGGATGCGCTGATTTCATCTTGAAACAGGCCCCCGGAGACACAAGGCCTTATGGTACAAAGACCTAACCTCTGTGGTAGAAAGAAGGCAAAAAGAATCACCCACAACCATCAGTTCTTTTTTTTTTTGAGACAGGGTCTCACTCTGTGTCGCTCAGACTGGAGTGCAGTAGCGCGATCTCGGCTCACTCACTGCAACCTTTCCTCCTTGGCTTAAGTGATCCTCTGGTCTCAGCCTCCCGAGTAGCTGGGACTACAGTCACATGCCACCACACCCTAATTTTTGTATTTTTTGTAGAGAGGGGGTTTCACCATATTGCCCAGGCTGGTCTCAAACTGAGCTCAACTGATCCTCCCACTTTGGCCTCCCAAGTGCTGGGATTACAGGCATGAGCCACTGCGCCCATCCCACCATCAGTTATTAAGTAGCTGTGTGGGAATTAGATTTGGGTCAGGGTGTCCTTATAGGTCCTCTCTCTGAGATCTTCTTGTACAGACCCTGCAGTCTTTTTTTTTTTTGGAGGCAGAGTCTCATTCTGTCGCCCAGGCTAGAGTGCAGTGGCACAATCTCGGCTCACTGCAACCTCCGCCTCCCGGGTTCAAGCAATTCTCCTGCCTCAGCCTCCTGAGTAGCTGGGACTACAGGTGCCTGCCACCACGCCCGGCTAACTTTTGTATTTTTAGTAGAGATGGGGTTTCGCCATGTTGGCCAGGATGGTCTTGAACCACTGACCTCAGGTGATTCACCTGCCTTGGCCTCCCAAAGTGCTGGGACTACAGGCATGAGCCACTGTGCCTGGCTAGACCCTGCAGAGTCCTTCAGACACTGTCCCACACTAGATTCTCCTTGAGGAATACTGGGGACAGGTGAATCTCCATGTCAAAGCTGCTAACCAAAATGCCTTCAGGGGCTAGGCTGGTCACTTAGGAGGCCAGGTGAGGAGGGCACGAGGAGGCAGCTGCCACTCAATCCCAGTCCATCCTTTCCACACAGAAATGCAGGCTCAGTGTTGACAGGGCTTGGGTTTTTCAAAAGGAGCAGAAGTGGGGATATTTATGTGAAATTTACCATTGTAATGAACTGTGTGTGGGTCAACAAAACTCAGCAGGGATGAAGTTAGTCCACTTGTGACCTCAGCCCTTATGGCCAGCATTTCAGAAAGGCAAGTTCCAGTTAACTGTGACTCGGGGCAAGTCAGGTAACCTCTCTGGGCCTGGGTACTTCACCTATCAAATGAGAGTGATAATTACCACTGCCTGGAGAATCTTTCAGGGTTGTTGTGGGGATAAGAACAAGGAGGTATGTGAAACGGCAAAGCACAGTTCCTCAGTCAGGGCCTGGTGACTACCTAGCTCTACCTGCCACAACAACCTCCCAGGTTTCCTAATAGGGATGTCCTATTAGAACTTCCTTCCCCCATCTTCCATGCAGGGGGCAGAGCAAGGGCTTCCAAGTGTCCTTGAAAATGCTGAGGGCTTGTTCCTGCAGATATCTGACCTGACTGTTGGGAGGCTTGGAGGTACCACACACCTATGCCCTCTGCCCTGTGTTTTAATGGATCAGTTCTGGCAGGGGCAGCAGCTTCTGAATGACAAAATCCTGAGGGTTAAAAGGTCCCTAGCTTGGTCCTTCTCTACCTCCTCTGTCCCCAACTAGGGTGCAGTCTGTTCCCAGCTCTTCCTCCCTCCCCTAGTCCTCCTAAGTTTCTCACCAGAAGCCCCTGGAGCACACAGGATCACGGCCAAATTCCCAAAGGGTGAGATTCTGTTTACTTAAGGAGAGATCAGACAGGGTCCAGGGGAGGGGAAGTCCTCCTGCCCCCACCTCTGAAAGGGCAAATCCCAGCCAGTACCCAGTCCATGGGTATCCATCCAAGCCAAACTGGGCAAAGGGGCACAGAGCAGTGGTTTTATTTTAGAAAATAAGTGCAATTAAAAGAAAGGCAGAAAAAAAGGAATGGGGGAGGAGAAGGCTGCCCTGGTGTGAGGGGGAGGGGGGATGGCGGCACACAAGGGCCAAGCTGAAGCTCGCCTCACCTCGCGGAGCTCTCTCTCCCAACGAGATTCAATTAATTGATAACATGAGGCATCAAATTAATTTCTGGAGAATGTGAGATTCTGATGAAGGGAAATCTCGTCGATGGGGATCGGGTGGGAGGGGGCAGGCAGCACCCCTTTTAATCAGGCTCCACTGCCTAATTGGGAAGGAGGAGACTTGCATGGGTCATAGTGTCCTCTGCCCCGAGCTCCACAGCACCCCTTTCAAGAAGGACCCATGGAAGTAGGCTCCCGATGCCCTTGGAACAAAGAGGGTGTACGTTGAGACCTTCAGGTCTCTTCTTGCCTGGCTCCCAACCCACAGCTTCAGGATGGTGAGCCCGAGGATGTGGGGCTGCAGGTGTCCTCTTCACCCACTGTACAGTTAGGAAAACTGAGGCCCAGAGAGAAGACGGGTCATGCCTAAGGCCGAAGAGTGAGTTAGGAAGTTGGCAGCAGTGGGCTTACCGGGGACCCTCATCATGTACCCGTGTGGGTACAGACTGTTTAGGCCTAGACCCACAAAATCATCTCTGAGCACAATCGGTGGGCAGCTTTCTCTGTGGCTAAACACTGCCATGCTGCCTGAGCCGTCCCCTCTTCCAGTGTTTCCGGATCCCCAGCTGCCGGCCCGAGCTAGCCCAGCTGCAGTTCTTTTCTCTGCGTCTGGTGAGTGCCGAAAACCCCTTGTGTTATATCCCTGTGCTCAGGTCTCAGACATGCAGGAGCTTCCAGCAACTGGAACTGATGCGCTCAGTTAAAAAGGTAAAAACTCACTGAGGGAACAATCCAAAGCGAGCGCTCAGCTGGGGAGGGGAAACAGGTAGCTCTGGCTCTCTGGGAAAGAAAGCTCAGAGGCTTCCTGAAGGAGGGATTCTCTCAGTGGACCAACTCTACACCCTCAGCATGGCCTGACCATCCAGCTTCTCCAGCTCCCATCCAGAGACGCAGCCTCAAAAAGCCTGGCGCTTTGCTCCCTGAGTGCTTACAGCCGCAGCCTCTCGCTGGGTCTCCCACAAATCCTGATGTTTCATATCTCCCCAAAACTCTCCCTAGTGTACCCCTTCCTTCCAGGATGCGGATGTGCATCTGCAGGGGAACCCCAAAGGAAAGGAGGAAGTACACCGCCACCCTCTTTTGAAGCAACTTCTTTAGGCCTGGGTCTCCATAGAAATGTTCTCCTAGAAACGTAAAGCCAGCCGGGAATGGAATCCAAGGAAGCCCCGCTGAGGAGATGAGAACGGAAGCTACCCCAACCTCCCACCCCCTGGTTTCATTTCACACGGGGAGGCCCTCCTAAGGGCTCTCTGGGTGGCACACATGTCCTGTCTCAGCTGGGGGTTTCAGGACCCACGCTGGCTCAGGTGGCCAGTGCCCACAGATCTGTGCTCCGGCCCTTGTTCTATTTCTGATTTTCCAAGTTGCATGTGAGCCACCCCTTCTCCGGGTCCCTCCTGCTGCCCTTCACCAGCCTGGCCTCCAGCACACAGTAGGCGCTCCACAGTGTGTTCGTAGGATGGATACAACTACTGAGTCCCTGGCTCCATTCCCTAAGCCACCCTACCTTCAAGTCGCCATCATTTTGCCACCCCTTTGCTGCTACTTGAGTAACTTCTGCTCCCACCAGTCCTGCCTACCTTGAACAAATGCCGGATGGTCTCTATTCTACATACTGTTAGTCTGAGGAAAACCCACTATGTCGCCCCATTTTCCATTTACATGGTAGCCTGGGTCACAGACCATCAGAACTGCAGCAGGAAAGGAAACACCATTTACCTCTATCTTGCACTATCAACTGGCTCCACCCACCATCAGGCCTGGCTGTGGAGGCTCCAGTTGGCCAGAGCATGGGGCCCAGGGAGGTGGGCAGAGCAGCTGGGATTCAGGGAACAGGCGGCTGTATGGCTACCATCCAGACAGGAGAGAAGGAAGGTGCAGGGCTGTGCCAGAGGGACAGCCGGGAAAAGACCCTGATCTCAAGAGGGATCCTGGGACCAGGATCAAGGCAAGGAGGGCATTCGCCAGGCCCAGGCATGTCCAGCCCGGGCGACACACCACAGCAACAGTGACTCCACGGTCCAACACCTGCGGCCCTGTCCAGATGTGTACCTTTTGTGCCAGGAGCTCTTGTTTTCTAGATCAGGCAGGTGTGCCCTGCGTCCAGGCTCTGCAAGGGCCCAGGAGCAACATCTCACAAGACCACAGCATCCAAAGTGGCAGAATTCAGAGGAAAGAGGGTTCCCGCTGTGATCCCGGCTTGGTGGAACTGGCAGTGGACTGAAGGTGTGTATTTCCACAGAGAATCCTGGGAGGCAACGCTGAAGGGAGCCAATAACTTCAGGCTCAAGGGGAGTTTCCTTTTGCTTCTTTGAGATGATCCATTCAGTGATAGGTCCCAAACTGGTCTGAGACTTGCTGCCAAAATCTTCCATAAGGACGTGTAGGCTAGGGTTTCCAAACCCTAGAAATCTCCCTTTCTGGAGAGAGGGGTTATCAGTCATTTTTCCTCCTCTGCATTCTGGGGAATTCTCTCTCCCATTTATGTGTGTCTCACAAGAACCTTAGGAGTGCCTGGGGAATGCTCCAGGGTTGTGTGCAGGTGGAAACACCAGATTCTGCACCTACAGTCCCCCTCTCCACTTAAAGGGAAAAGAGAAAGTATTCACACTAGAAGGCAGGCGGCCTAGGCCAAGCTTATGGAGGAAGGAGGGAGGAATGGCAGCTCCTCCCATCCCTTCCTTTCTCCCTTCACCACAGCACACGCTCAAGCCCTACTGGTTATACTGGGAGTCGAGGGCCCCATATTTTAGTTCCAGCTGTGCTACCATGTAGCTGTGTAACCTTGGACAAGTTGCCTCTTCTCTCTGGACTTCGTTTTCCCAACCCATAAAATGAAGATTAATACTTCAGTATTTCCATATTCAACCAACATGTGGCCTGGCAGTGCTAGCAAATTAATAATAAACGCCATCCCTTGATCAGTACTACCATGCACCCGGCACCGTGCAAGGTACTTGACATCTGCTCTCTCATCTAACTCCCAAACAGAATCTCTAAGGTGGGTATTATGACCTACTTTACAATGTAAGAAAATTGAGGTTCGAAGAGCTTAATTAAGTTCTCCAGAGTCCCATCTCTAATGCCAAGTTCCAAAGCCTTTTCCACTCTGACACATGTTCTGCCCTGGGGAGGCCTCAGTTCCTTGCTCTGGGTTCCAGAGTTCTGGAACCAAATCTGAGGAGGTCATTCCAGCCAACGGAGCCTGAGAGTCCTGTCAAAAATAGTACCTGCCCTGCCTTGGTCTAGGGAAGCTGGAGCGTGGTAAGATCTGTGAGAAGGGAAACTGTGAGGAGTTTCTTGGATGGAAGAAATTATTATTTCACACAGTTTAGGCTATTCAAAAAATAAAGACATTGTGCCTGCTTAGGATGGGACTGGGGGGCTTGCACTGTGGCTGGAGAGACAGGAAACCGCCAAGGCAGTGGGGTAGGAAGGGTTAAGATGCAGGGAAGGCTTCCTGGGGAGACAACCCTTCCCTCCCCTTGCACCTCACAACTCTCCTCTGAAACAGACACCCTGTTCCCATTCTTCTCCCCTCCACCCTCCCCCCCACCATGTGATATCTGTCTCTCCTACCCCAACAATCTGAGGTCCAGACAGCAGACCCCAGCCTTCACTGCTTGGGTACCCCAGTACTCAGCCTGGGACCTGCCCAGGCAGAGTAGGGGCTCAGCAAACATTTGGGGGAATTACTGGATCAAAAGCAAGCCTTCCTCTCCCAGTCCCTCTGCTTCCCTCCCACCAAGGAAGAGGTATGTTTGGGGTAGGGGCCCAGCAGGATATGCACATTCCTGGCAAGAAGGGACCTACCTGCCTACAGCCAGAACGGAAGTTTTCGGCTCTAAAGGCAGAGGAAGGGGGCTGGGGGCGTCTAGGTGTGAGGAAGATCCCTACACAGAAAGGGACAGGAGCAGGTCCCTTTGCAAGTGGGACCCTTTGCAAATGCTCTGGCCCTGGCGTTCTCCAGCACTGGGGTCAGGTCTTTCTCTCTCCAGGGCTCAGGGGTTCCCCAACTCCGTAACTCCTGGGAAACCTGTCCAGGACAGGGAGAAGGACAGAAAACTCCACCCAGGCGCCCAGCCCTTGGTGCCAGGAGAGAAGGCTCCCATGGTCTCCCAAACTTAGTAGCAAGGCTGGAGCCAGGATAAAGTGGGTCCTGAGGGTCCCGTCCCGCAGGAGAGATTCAGCGCTCACCCTGGCCCTGGGTGTGGAGGCTGAGAGGGGGCAACCACAAAACCACCTCTTCCCCTTGCCACCTTGCCCCACTGACTAGAGTGTGAGTGACTCCCCCAACTCACAGTTTTTTGAGTTTCAGATCGAAAGGGCACCATGGGAGCCAACAAGCTGTCCAGGTACCAAGAGCAGAGCCCCAGTATCCTCCCTCCAGCCACCAGGTAACAGAGCCCCAAAACCCCGAGGCAAAAGTTTCTCAAGTTGAAAAAAAAAAAAAAAAAAAAAGGCCTTCAGACTTCCCCACAGCGGTTTTCCGCGGGGGCGGGCAGAGGTTTTCTGAGGCCGTGGCTCCCCTTCAGGCGGCTGGGTCCACTGGGCCTGGCCTTCGGCCCCTGCACCTACCGGCTGGTTCGCAGCAGGGGGAGGGGGTGGGGGAGAGCTCAAAATGCCCGGTGCCCGCAGGGCATGGCGGTCAGGGGGCCCTTCAGCCCTGGTTTTCTGTGGAAAGTGAGCTTCTGGGTTCGACAGTGGGACCGGCACAGACCTTCCCGCAGCTACAGGCCATACGACAACCCCGCTGCTCTTTCTTTCTGCGGGCACTCGGGCCAGTCCTAACAATTGCCCCTCAAGCTGTGTGTGCTGCCCTAACCCTCAATCCCGAACCCGAAACAGTGCGTGCTGGGACGAATCTAGGCAGGTCTCCGAAACCGGGGTGAAGATGCTGAAGTTCAGGTAAAAACCCGCATTGGCCAAAATGCTCCCGGGCTTTCTCGGGAGTCACCCGAATGGCAACTTCAGGCTCGGGTTTGGTTCTCCGGACTCCCCACCCCTATTCCCGGCTCCAGGCGCCGCGGTCAACCTGCGGGGAGACTAGACGTTGGGGTGCCAGACACGCGGTGATCTCCAGACGCCCGAAACGCCAGGCGCCGAGTGAGCGAGGAAACCAGCCGGGAGGGGGCTGGCCAGGGAAGCCGGGGAGCAAAGGAAAGAGCGGGGCGCGCTCTGGGCTCAGGGTTCCCATACCCTTTCCCCCCAACCTAGGATCGGGGTGGGACGCAGGTGTGTTCACGAGATCGCCCCAGTTGGGGGACACAGGGAATCCGCCGCCGTCTGGGCCTGTCTCAAAATCCGCATTCCGCGAAATTACCCGGTCCTTTATGGGGGCGGCCGGGACCCCAGGTCGCATTCTAGCGCCACTGGCTGTGCTCTGACGCAGCCCAAGGAAGTTTGTTTGGCGTGGATGAGGAGCCCGAGGCTGAAGCGCCGCCGGTCAGAGAGGTGCTGGGGTTGTCCAGGGGAGATACCAGACTCCTCAGTTGGGGCGGGGGGGGGTCCTGCTCGGTCACTCCGGGCTCCTTCCCTGGTGGCCTCCGGGCCCCCGTGGCCGCCCTCTCTTCCCCCCTTAAGTGGTGAAGCGGGAGCTCTCTCCACAGCGGGTGAGTAGAGGTGTCAGCCAGATCGTTTCCCCACCCTCCACCTCCGGCGCACAAATCACAGGGGCCATTTCCAGACGCTCTCAAGTCCCCAAGAAGTTTTCCGCTCTATCCCCGAGCTGACCGAGCGATGGAAAAGGGGCTGACTGGCCCTGGCACTTCCGAGGTGCGACCTCAGCAAGACAAGTCCCCTCTTCACCAGAGACGACACGGCGGGTAGGACCGCGATCCCCCGCTCTCTTGCCCCCATTTTCATCTGTCTCCGGCGCGTCCTGGGGAGTCCGGTACCGACTAGAGTTGGGGGGAGCCACTTCCCTTCCCAGCTCTGGAAAGTCTGGGCCGGGAAGTATTCTTTGTCTGACTCGGGGCGGGGAGGGGGTCGCGCCCCCGTACACCCCATTCCCAGAGGCCCGGCGGGGAGGGGGCGGGGCCCAGATTCTTGGGGAAGGGCGGGCCTCGGTGGCCTCTCCGGCCGCCCCCCTCCCCGCCCCGGCCTCCGGCTGCCCCCACTCCCGCCGCGCCACAGCCCCCACCTGTTCCCGAGGCAGCTCCGGCCCGCTGGGGCCCGGGCCAGGGGCGGAATGTCGCGGCTGCGCGGGGTCAGTGCGCCACGGCCGGCCCTGGCTGGAACAAAGTGCGCCGGCCCGGGCCCGGCTCCTCCTGGCGCCCGGCGCCCAGCGCGTCTCGGGCGGGCAGTTTGCAAACACAAAGTGAGCCAGCGAGCGGGCGAGAGAGTGCGCGAGCGAGGGAGTTGGTCTGGTCGCCCGCCCAGCCCCCACCCACGTCCCTGGGCCCGACCCGCCACCTACCTGTCCCGCCCGGCCGCTCCGTGCGGGCTCCGGCCCGTCAGCCCGCGCGGGGCATGGGGCTCGCTCCGGTCGCAGCCCGGGCCCGCCGCCGCCCGCCGGGGCTGCCCTTCCGCGCCGCCCCGCGTCGCGCAGCTCCCGGGCGTCCTCCCAGCGCGCCGGGCCGACCGCCGCGCGCCTCAACCCCGCCGGGGCATGGCACTTTGTGGGCTGCTTGGCTCGCTCCGGCTCCGCTCTTCCTTCCCGGTCCTTCCGCGACGCTCGTCAGCTCGCTCCGGCTCCCGGGCTCCCGGACCCCGGCGTCCCCGCCCCCGGCCCAGCCCTGGTTCCGGCCCGGGCTCCTCCCCGCCGCGCCGCCGCCGCCTGCGCCGCGCCCTCCTCGCGGGCTGGGGGCTCCGTCCCGGCCGCCGGCCGCCGGCCGCACTGTCCGGTCCGCAGGGACGGCGGGCTCCGGACTCCGAGGGGCTGCGACTGAGCCTGGGCTGCGAGTGGCTGCGAGCGGGCGGCGCGCGGGCGGGGCGGGAGGGGGCGGGGGAGGAGGAGGGTGGAGAGGGAAGGAGGGAGCGCGCGGAGAGCGAGGGAGGAGGGAGCGAGAGAGCAAGCGGCGGAGGGAGGGGAGACCAACTTCTAGTGCTACCATAATTCGCCTAAAGCAGGTGCAGCAACTTTCACCCCGCCTGGCAGCCCGCTGAGAGCGAGAGAAAACCACGTGCACCAAACTTTAGGGGAGGAAAAATGGGAACGTGGGGAGAAGACGTGAGGCGGCAGATCTGAAAAAGATGGTAGGTGGAGGGACCCCAGGGATTCACCCTGGCCTCGGACTAATCCTATGGGGCGCTTGCAAACCCCGGCCATCCCCTGGAGTCTGAAGGTACGGCCAAGTCCTGATCCCACACGGTTCACTGGTTCCCGGCGGGCTGCGCTCGGCGCGGGGAGTGGCCGGGGGCCCAGAGACGGAGCCAGTGTCAGGCCCGGGCCCTGTCTGGCCTCCCTCCTGCTCCCCACTGCGTGGGGGCTGGGGGTGGGCTTCCTGAGCCGAGGGTAGAAGGTGGGGAGGCCCCTTCAGGGCTTTGTGAACGGTCACCCCCTGGCGCGCACTGCCTCCCTCTGCGGAAAGGGAATTTCCCGTAAAGTGCTCTGCGAACCAGTGAAGAAGGGGCCCAAGGCCAGAGCCATGCGGGCAAAGTGAAGTGCAAAGTTGAGGCAATTATCCGGACAAATTAGATTGTAAACAAAACCCCGCGTCTCTGAACATCGCTTTTGCCCAGGGGGACTGGAGGGATTGTGGTGGTGGCGGCGATGGTGTGTTTGGGTTGGGAGGGGGAGGTCTGGGTGAGGAAATGCCCACGGCCCAAGGGGGAGGGCTGTGTTGTTAGCAGACGCACCACTCAGAGTCCCGTGGAAATCTCAATACCCGTCCCCCTCCCCGCCCCACACACGCCGGAAACATCTCCCATCTGTCTGCATGTGTTGGGGGTGGGGAGAAGTGAAGGAGGCCTCAGGGGTCCTCATGAAGTACCCCAACCCAGCTCAGTGATGCCGGGTCCCCATGACCAAGGGAGGATCCTGTTGTGGGATCAGGACAAGAAGACAGTGGCTCTTGAAGCCTCTCCTGGCCCTAAATCCTCAGGCAGGTGGACAAGAGGCTGGCATAGTATGTGAGCCCCTGTGGAGTGGGAGCTGGAAGCCTGAGGTGTGGGGTCGGAGCTGCAAGGATTGATGCTTAGTTGCCTGGGGGGAGGGGATTTCTTGGCCGTTCCAGTGGTCCTTGAAAGAAAAGGGGACCTCAGAGAGGAGGCACCCTCTTGGGTTGTTTTTCATCACTTCTGTCCCTTTTCTGCAATGTTAGTGACACCTGCACAGGTCCACATTTTATGTATTTGCCTTTTTGGGCAGGTGGGACAGGCATACTTAGGTCCTGCTGGAGCGTTTTAGATTTCTAGGTGTGAAATTGTGCAGGGAAGACTCTAAGTGCCATTTATGTGGATATCTCAGTGTCCTTTCCAGTGTGGCAACTGAGATAACCATAGCCATAAGAATAAAATAACAGCTAACATCTGAGTCGTACCACCCACCAGCCATTTAATCTTCACAGTAACCCCAGGAGGGAGATATTTGTATTATCTCCATTTTATAGAAGAGGAAACTGAGGCACAAAGAGATCAAGTAACTTGCCCAGGCTTACACAGCTGCTGGTCAGTGATGAGCCAGATTCCAACTAGAGCCACTTCAGTGAGGACAAGAAAGAAGCTCATGGTGGTCTCTGAAGCGACACTGCCTGCTTGTGGGTTAGCTGAGGGGAAGGATATTCTGGGAGAAAGAAAGCCCTTGGTAGTACTATCTGATTTACCTTCTGTTGAGGCCCAGCTCTGGTGGAAATCATGGTGTGTGGACAGCCCTAGGCCAAGCCTGGAGTGGCAAGTCCTTGTGTCAGACCAGCTGGGCCAGTGACTATGTCCTCAGTTCTCCTTCCTATCCTTCTTGCAGCAAAGGCTGAGGGTGGGGTGAGAACTAGGGGCTTTGGAGACAAAAGAGAGAATTTCTGTAGGGGGGTATTGAATGAGGTGACCTCCGAGGGGCTTCTCCAGCCCTTTTCTGGCTGGTTCACTGAATGTTTTTCCCATCCCCTTCCTGCAGCAGCCCTTGTACCTTACACATGGGCTCACTTGCCCAGAGGGATTGCCCTGGGAAATGCTTCACTTTCAGTTCAGTTTACCCCTCATCTCCAGGCCAGTTCAGTTCCCAGCTCCCTGTGAGCTACAGTGGGGGCTCAAGGCATCAAAAGACCCTGTCTTGTCTTCACCTAAAGGGCATTTTAGCGAGGAAGACAAAGCCTCCCCAAAGAAAGATACAGAACAAATGCCCCGAAATCAAAGAAGCCAGTCCAAAGCCCTTCTTCCTGGTGCAAGAGCTTCGTTAAGAAGGTTGAAAAGAGTAGCCCTTGGCTCCAAAGTGGGAGTGACCGGGAGCAGGCAGGAGGGTCCTCTTTCTGTCCTTGTTCCTTCACAGGACTCAGGGCAGGTGCAGGTGCTTTGGCGGTGGCCGGAACCAAGGCTCATGGCTTGGCCCCTCCAGGGGGGCCATAGTTAAGAGCACAGGGGCTAGAGTCAGGCAGCCTTGGGTTGAACTTCAGCGTCTGTCACTTAACCAGTGTGTGACCCAGGCAAGTTACATGATGTTTGAGTCTCAGTTAACTCACTCATCACCTCACTCATCAATTGGGAGGTTGGGAGGCCTCCTTGGGTGTTTGGGAGGGAGGATGGGCAAAACTTCTAGCCTGGTAATGTGTTCCTCACATGCTTTCCATAATTACTTATTTTCCCCTTGATGAGCTCCAGGGTCCTCACTTAAAATGACGAATGCTGACCTCACAAAACTGCAAATCATGAGTTGCCACTTATTAAATGCTTGCCAGGCAGTCGAATAACGTGCTGTTCAGCTTATCACCCCAGCAATGGTGACTCTTCTGCAGGTGAAGCTAAGAGAGGTCAAATGACTTGCTCAGTTCACATAGCTAGGAAGTAGTGTGGCGAGGACTTGCTCCCAGGTCTCCTGCTTTGAAGCAGACGCCCTTTCCCAAGGTCAGCCGCCACCCTATTGTGGAGGTGAAGTGGGCTGATGGATGAGCTTGTTCCTAGCAGCAGGCCTGATACTCAGGAGTAGGTTGGGGTGGTAGTGGTGTGTACATCTAGAAACATTTGCTTCATTCCCATGGTCCCAACAAACCTAAGCCCAGACAGTTTATGTTTCTATTATTATTATTATTATTGAGACAGAGTCTCACTCTGTTGTCCAGGCTGGAGTGCAATGGCACAATCTCAGCTCACTGCAACCTCCGCCTTCTGAGTTGAAGCAATTCTCCTGCCTCAGCCTCCCGAGTAGCTGGGACTACAGGCTCATGCCACCATGCCCTGCTAATTTTTGTATTTTTAGTAGAGATGGGGTTTTGCCATATTGGCCAGGCTGGTCTCGAACTCCTGACCTCAAGTGATCTGCCCGCCTTGGCCTCCCAAAGTACTGGGATTACAGGCATGAGCCACTACACCTGGCCAAAAACTATTTTTTAGTTATTGAGGAATAAAACTTCATCAGCATAGGCCAGGTGTGGTGGCTCACGCCTGTAATCCCAGCACTTTGGGAGGCCGAGGCAGGTGGGTGGATTACCTGAGGTTGGGAGTTTGAGACCAGCCTGACCAACATGGAGAAACCCCATCTCTACTAAAAATACAAAATTAGCCAGGTGTGGTGGCACATGCCTGTAATCCCAGCTACTCAGGAGGCTGAGGCAGGAGAATCGCTTGAACATGGGAGGTGGAGCTTGCAGTGAGCTGAGATCGTGCCATTGCACTCTAGCCTGGGCAACAAGAGCGAAACTCTGTCTCAAAAAACAAAAAACAAAAATAAAACCCACTTTATCAGCATAATACAGTAACTCCACTCCACTCCACTCCTAAGTATATGCCAATAAAAATGCATATGTACATATGTTCACCAAAAGGCATACACCAGAATGCTAGGCCATCTACTCGCATGTGCTCACTATTCACAACAGCTGTCAACAATGGAATAGGTGACTAAACCACGGTCTTCTCATCCGTGGGCTAGTCCTTGGCAATGAGAATGAGCAAACCATTGCCACGAGCAACAACATGGAGGAATCTCACAAATCCAACGTTGAGCATAAAAGCCAGACACGAAAGAAAACACCGTTTGATTCCATTGATAGGAAATTCAAAACCCAATCCAATGAATTGATGGCATTAAAACTCAGGAGCATGGCTGTTTTAGGTGGGGGTGTGACGGAGGGGCACAAGGGGATTTCTGGGGGTCTTTTTGAATTTGGGAGTTGGTTACATGCATGTGTTCACTTTGTAAACATTAATTGAGCTATACATTTTATGCTTAAAAGTGAAACATGTAAAAATCATTGCTAATATAGGCCTTTCTGTGACTCTCCTTCTTTCCCATTCTCCATCCTTCCCTTGTGGTTTTCTGAAGTTGGCCTTCCCAAGTAAGTTTTCTACTCTTACTCCTTTGGTATTGCTTGGGTATCTCAAAATTTTCTTTTGTTTTAGTTATTTATTTTTATTCACTTTTGGGGCATAGTAAAGTATGAAGCAATTAAAATTTTAAATGAAAGGTAGCCTGCTCCTTGTTTTTACTTGTGTTTTGCTGAACTTCATGCTGCCGAGATGAATGTCTACATGTTTGTTGCATGTGTTGTGTGTGTCTCTAGGTCACTTACTTAAGAGGCTGCTGGAGAGGATTCTACCATATCAGTGTGTCCCATCTTGTTTTGTTACCCAGCCTCCCACTGATGGGGCAGTTCGATTGTAGTGGATATTTGGGTATTATGGTCTCCTTGCTGCAGTAGGCTTCCTTCTGTGACCTCCCTCCCCACTGTGCCTCTCCTTCCCCCTGTGGTTCTTCTGCTCCATAATCTTTTCCCTTTCCCATCTCCCCACTGTTCCTCCATTCCCTGCTTCCCAATCTTTCTGACTGGGAAAGACCTAGGATCTGTGCCGATTGGAGGTGAGGGAGGGATAGGAGAGGGACAGCCTTTTCCTTTTCCACAAAGGCTCCTCTTCCCCAAGATCAATGATGATTTAAAGAAAGAAATATTTCATTAGGGGTTGACATCTTAATGAACCGTGCCAGGAACCTTCAAGGCACTCTCTAGGCTTCCTCGGTTTTAAGCGGGGCTCCTACCTCTGGGGGAGGCTTATCAGTTTACCATATTGCCCCAAGTAGATGACCATGGTAGTGTGGGTAGCTGTGCCAGGGGCTGTGGAGGAGAGGGCCCCCAGGACTGGGGCGAGGCTGGCTTGTCCTTCTAGGTGCCAGGCTGACCGGGTGCCTGGGCCCTTGGAGGTATTTGGAGTTCCTTCTGGGACGTTTAGGGAGTCAGAGACTCAGGCCTTGTCCAAAAGGTGGTGGGCATGGGACTTTGGGCTGATTGGTGGAAAATCAGTCATTAAAGATCAGGAAATAAGCGATAGCTTGACAAGCAGTGAGCAATTTCCCACTAGTTGGAACACAGCATCTTTAGGTCAAATGAGATCCCTACATGGAGGGATTTCTGTGCAGGAAGAGAGCAGGACACACAGAGAGGGGCCAAGAGAGCAGACCCAGTGCCTTATCCCTCCCCCATGCACCCCACCCATGGGGGTGGGGATGGGGTGGAGGATGCATGAGGGTAGCAGAAGCCCCAGGAGTGGGCACAGAGAAAAGAATTCCTTTTTCCTTCATTTAGTTCTTCCTCATCTTTTTTTTTTTTTTTTTTTTTGGACACGGAGCTTCCGCGTTGTTGCCCAGGCTGGCGTGCAGAGGTGCAATCACAGCTCACTGTGATCAACCTCCTGGGCTCAACTGATCCTCCCACTTCAGCCTTCCGATTAACTGTGACCACAGGTGTGAGCTACCATGCCCGGGTAGAGAAGGGGTCTCTGTGTTGCGCAGGTTCGTCTCAAACTCCTGGACTCAAATAATTCTCCTGCCTCAGCCTCCCAAAGTGCTGGGATTGCAGGTGCAAGCCACCTCGTCCGGCCCTTCCTTATCTTTTAAGAGCTATCCCACATTTTCCATCCACTTGAAGACTTTTGGATTTAAGTCTCAATTCTGTCACTTTTCTAGCCCCAAATCCTGAAGCAAGGGGCTTAACCTTAGTTTACTCAACTGCAAGATGGGAAGAAAAATGAGACTCTGGCAGAGAGGTCGTGAGGACAAGTATGGCTCATGTAGGATTCTTCTCAGTTTAGGCATTGGATAGACTATAGCTACTGTTATTCTTTCTTGATTAACCCAGCCCACTTCTGCCTCTTTCCAGGTGCTCTTTAGCACTCCTATGTCATTGATGTTATAATGTGTTGTTAGCTAACTTATTTAATAAGCTCCCAGTAACTTTTAACAAACCCTATTGTTTGTTAACTGTTTAGCCATTTTATGCCTCATTTCTCCAACTAGATAATAAACTCCTTAATTTAGGGACCCACAATTTCAGTCATTTGGGGATTTCTCATTGCATCCAGCTTAATTTCTTTTGCAAGGTAGCTGCACAGTACATGCATATTGATTTGATTATGATTTGATACTTTAGAGCAAAGTTTAAAAAACAAAAAATAGCCTAACGCTTTAGGGCAAGTTGGTGTCCTGCAGGTATCAGCTGCATGTTGTAGGACATATGTAATAACTGTGTCTTCAGTGATCGCAAGGAAAGAGCTAGCTAGGGTCAAGGGGGAAACCTGGGTAGAAAATGGGACAAGGAAGACTCTCATTCCCTCAGAGCCATCCCCTTCTCTCAGAGGGCTGTGCTCCCCATTCTTCTCATCTCTACTCTGGCTCCCTTTCTGCTTGTTGACTTAGGATGTCTTCAGAACTCTGTGCTTAGCAGAGGATGTATTCCTTCCCCATGGAACCTGGAAGACCTGGGGCTTGGAGTCTCAGCTGCTGGCACTGGAGGGTGAGGTGGGATATGAAGGAGGGAAGTTAAAGCCCAGGTAGACTCACATTGAAAATAGCTGCCACCTGTTGAGCATCAACTGTTCACCAGGCACTTTTAATATGTATCTCTGATTCCCACAACAGTCCTATTTTGTTTTTGAGAGAAAGCAGTGCTCCAAATGTCAGAGGCAATGAATGTAGAGTAGAAATAAGTGAAGATAAGAGTGTCTTTATACATCCCTTATTGTGTGTGGCATCTGGCTGGGTCCATGGAGTGGGGCTCACACACTTCCTCATCCTTGTAATTCTATGCCAGGCCTGGGCCCCAGGCCCCAGCTCCTTCCTGGTTCTCCTGCACCCCCTCTTCTTTCTGGTCTTCACCATGTGCCCTAGGGTCTTCTCTCCTCCAGTCCCCTCTGCTCTTGAGCCATGGCTCTCCAGCCCCCAGGACCTCTCTCAAGGTTGTTAGGCAGCAGGAAGTCCCTGGAGCCAGGCAGCTGAAGGCAAACTGAAGCTGGGTCTTGCTTAAAGAAGAACCACCCATGCATCAGACACTGTGCTAAGCACGCTCCACACATGACCTCATTTCACCTCCCAACAGTCCTCTAAGATGATGCAACAGATACTTGTTGGTGCCCTGTCTGGTGCACTGTGACTTTTCACCCCTAAGGCTTCCAATCACTAGTGCCTGACTTTCCTAGCCTAAGGGTTTCCTTTGGGAATTAGAGCCCACTTTTCCACTGTGTGGGAGACCAGAAGTGCCAGGGAACTAACACTTCCTGGGGGAGCCCTCCACCCATAACTGATGGGAACTGGTATATAAATACCCCTACTCCCTTACTCCCCTTGTGGGATAACTCCGAGTCATGTGTGCCATGCATACTCCCAGGGTTTCCTCTGTGGGACTGAGCCCATCCTGTAGCTGGCTTGGTAACATATACTTTGTTGCCTCCTTTCCTTGTCTTACTTCCCCACTTTTCTACTGGTATTTCCTTCACCTCCTAAATCAACCATTCGCAATGGAATAGTGTCTCAGGGGCTGCTTATGTGGGAACCCAGCCTAAATCAGGTTGATAGTATTATTATCTTCATTCTATAAATGACAAGACTAAAGCTCAGAAAGGTTGAAATTCATACACGGTTCCACAATTATGTAAGTACAGCACCTGTCTTCATACCCTGGCTTGTTACACACCAGAGTGATCACCTCATTGCTCTAGTATACGGCTTCTTGAGGGCCCTTTCCCTCTCAAGAAGACTGGTTCAAGGCGATTCCCCTTGGCCTCCTGCCTTGAGAGGTAGGAGGTGGGGAGCAGGGTGGGTCAGGGGTACACTGGGAGTATTTCCAGCCCACCTAGCCCCCCGTCTCCCTGTGGGACACTGGCAAGCAGTCATAGCCAGTCTCTGGATTGCAGGCAGACAGAGAAGCAGAGAACACCTACGGGGCTGGAGATATGATGAATAGAAAGAAGTGAAAGCCACCTGGAGTGCTGGAAAAGAAGAGTACTGAATCAGGGGTACAAGGCGAGGGCGGGCTCGGGGCTGAGGAATCTTTCTGAGCATTTGCAGTACACAGCAGCTCCTGCAAAAACAGAAGGAATGAGATGAGAGACAGGAAAGTATTTATTTTTTTCTGTCTTATTTTAGAGTCAGGATCTCACTTTGACACCCAGGCTAGAGTGCAGTGACATGACCATAGCTCGCTGCAGCCTTGAATTCCTGGGCTCAAGAGATCCTCCTGCCTTAGCCTCTGAGTAGCTGGGACTACAAAAGGATTTCTTGATGTTAGAGTTTGCTCAGCCAGGGAATGTGGAAAGTCCCCTGCTGAGAACCTTCGGACCAGACAAGAAATTGGCCTCTTTTATGAGAGTGGAGGTGGGCCCCTTGGGACAGGAAAGACCTGATCCCTCCAGAGACAAAAGTTACCTGGTGAGAACACCTTCATGTTTTCTATTTGTTTGGTTTTCATGACATGTTTGTCTTAGTTTAGGTTCTCCCTGAAGCAGACTCTGACAGTGATTCAAGCATAAGTGGTTTATTTGGGAGGTGGTCCCAGAAATACCAGTGGGGGAGCAGGGCAGGGAGAATGAAGGGAAGGCAGCCAATAAAGGGAGTGTTATCCCACTGTCAGCAAGAGGAGTGCAGTCCCACTGAGGACTTGAGCGTGCGTAACACACACCGCACACAAGCCAGCCCACGGACGCAGGCCTTAGGGTACTCATCCACCAACTTCCCCTTCATCGTGGGCTGCGTCCTCCTTCTAGGCGCATTCACTCTCCAGCACTTCCGGCCTGCTCTGGGCTGGAGCCAAGGGTGTTTCCACGGCCAGGAAAAAAGCCTCAGGCAAACAGCAGGTGTTGGCAGTAAGCAGGCTTCTACCTTTAGAGGCGAACACTGAGAGAGATGGGCAGGGCGCCAGTGCCTGCCACACTCTGCCGGTCTGTTCTCCTGCTTAACTTTTCCTTTTCATGAGTCTTTGTGGGCTCATCTCATCTCCCTCTGTCCTGTCTGAAGCACTGGGCGTTGCCCCACTCTGTCCTCGTCATCTGTGCTCTCGGACAAGCCCATCTACTCTCATGGTTTTACCTTCCACTTTTGAGATGGTGGCTCCCACTACTATCCTGTGTGGGACCTGGATCCCATGTGCGTGTTTGTGGGCCTCCAGGGATGGCACACTCAACATGTCCCCAGCCCAAGCCATCTTCTGTATCCATAACATGCTCCACCTCTGCATTTTCTCCCCATTGGTGGCACCATAATCTACCCAGTCACTCTAGAAACTAGAATCATCCCTTGGTTCTCCTTATCCCTTCCTCTTCACATCCAGTCACCAAGTCCTGTGGCTTCCAAGGCATTTCTCAGAGTCATTCCCTCCTCTTTACCTCCACTTCTCCTACTATTGGTCAGGGCAGGACCTTCATCATCCCCCATCTGGAGTATTCCAATAGCTTCCTACCTGGCCTCCCCACTTCCAGCCTTGTCCTCTTCCGGAGCCTCCTTTCAGTGCATCCTCCACAGTGGTGAAAAAGTTCTATCTAACATGCCAGCCCAGGCTGGGTGTGGTAGCTCATGCCTGTAATCTCAGCACTTTGGGAGGCTGAGGCAGATGGATTGCTTGAGGCCAGGAGTTCAAGACCAGCCTGGACGACATGGCAAAACCCCATCTTTAATAAAAATTAAATAAATACAATTCCAGCCTGAACTTGTCATGCCCTGCTTAAGATGCATTCAAAATTCAAGCACCTTGGTTGGGTGCACAGGGTACAAGGTATCCTTTCTTGAACCTCTGGTTCTATCCCTGGCCACTCCCAGCTCTGCCACCTGGGACTTGTGGCATGTGCTATGCTCTTCCATGTAGCTAGGCTTCCTCTCAGACTGTGTCCTCTGTTTGGAATATCTTTTCTCCCATATGCTTTCACTGCTGACTAAGACCCAGCTCAGATGGCACCTCTTCTTGGAAGTCTTCCCTGAATGCCCCAGGCTGGATTAGACACTCTTCTTTTGTGTTCTTGTATCAGTGCAAACATCAGAAAATCCACTTCAAATGGGCTTAAATAACAATGAAAATTGACTGACTCTTGTAACTGAAAGTCAAGGGAGCAGGACTCGCTGCAGATGATGTGTGATCCAGGGGCTTAAAATGATGCCCTTGGGTGCTCCCATTGCTTAACTCTGCCTTTTCCTGGGTGGGCTTTATTCTTAGAGTCCTTGGAGGGAGTCCCATCAGCTTCAGACTCACATCCAGCCCACTTCAGTCCAGTGAATTGTTCAAGCCAACACTTAGCTTATTTGGACTTGACTAGGGATTGACTTGCCCTTCTCCAAACCCATCAAAATGGCCAAGGGCTTACAGTGTTCTACTTCAGGGGTTGGTGGATTATGGCCAAATCCTGCTTACCACTTGTTTCTGGAAATAAAGTTGTATTGGAGCACAGTCATACTCATTTGCTTACGTATCATCTGTGGCTGTTTTTGTGTGACCGGGGCAGAGTTGGGCAGTGGAGGCAAAGACCAGCAAATTTTGCTGTATTTTAACCTCTACAGGCTATGAGGCAAAATTGAGAATATGATGCAGGGATTTACATAACAAGAGAGAAAACAAATTTCCACAAAACTTTTATTGATGAAATTAGAATGACAATAATAATTGAGAACTTTTGTTTGTACTACAGGTTTACTAATAAGAAGAATGAAATTTGGGGAAAGGGGATAACATTTTGCTTGGTTGGGGTTCAAAGTTAACGCTCCCTATTATCAAAGTGACCACCAATGTTCATCTGTGAAAACCACTTAGCTAACAGACCATACAAAACCAGGCAGGATTTTGTCTGTGAGCCACAGTTTGCAGACTCCTGAATTAAATCAAAGCATTACAGAGCTAAGGGAAGAGACAGTGGGAAGCTGATGCTGGAGATGATACTGACCCCATAGGTCTGTGGGAGGCATCTTATAAGGCATTTCTTTATAAGGCAAGTTCATGTCCATTGAGCTCCTTAATCTTGACAACAATTCCATGAGGGTAGGCAGGGTAAGGATGGTTGTACACTCTTCAGAGAGGAGACTGAGGCTCAGAGAGAAGTGGCTTGTCTGAAGTTTCATAGCAAAGCCTCTCTGGGACACCTTTGAGGATGCTAAGACATGGGCCTTGGAACATGTGCTTTGTTGAGTAATTGAACAATTATGGTGTCTCCTGGTTGGAAGACAGGCTGAGCCTGCAGAGGGACAGGCTGGTCTGAACATGGTCTGGAAGGCTAAGTTTCCAGCTGGCTCTGTGACATCCAGTGGTCTCCAGGAATGGGGCTGGTCAGCATGGTGCCTAGGAACCCAGTGTGGCTTCAAGGTTCTCTGAGCATAGGCCTGTCTCCCTATGCAGGACTGGGGATACCAGCATAGCAGCTAGAAAGAAATCAGGGCTGGGCGTGGTGGCTCACATCTGTAATCCCAGCACTTTGGGAGGCCAAGGCAGGAGGATTGGTTGAGACCAGCCTGGGCAACATAACCAGACCCCTTCTCTTTTTCTTTTTTTTTTTTGAGATGGAGTCTCTCTGTGTTGCCCAGGCTGGAGTGCAATGGCGCGATCATGGCTCACTGCAACCTCTACCTCCTAGGCTCAAGCGATTCTCCTTCCTCAGCCTTCCAAGTAGCTGGGATTACAGGCACCCACCATCATGCCCGGCTAATTTTTGTATTTTTGTAGAGACAGGTGTTTTGTAGAGATAGATGTTTCATATTGGCCAGGCTGGTCTTGAACTCCTTACCGCAGGTGATCTGCCCGCTTCGGCTTCCCAGAGTGCTGGGATTACAGGTGTGAGCCACCATGTCTGGCCATGAGACCCCTTCTCTACAAAAAATACAGTAATTAGCCAGGCATGATGGCGTGCGCTTATAGTCCCAGATACTCAGGAGGCTGAGGTAGGAAAATCTCTTGAGCTCAGGAGGCGGAGGTTGTCATGAACCAAGATCTCACCACTGCATTTCAGCGTGGGCAACAGAGCAAGACTCTGTCTCAAAAAACAAACAAAAAAATAGAAATCAGACTTCAGGCAATAATGCCCAGCCCCACAAACAAAGATTTTGACCCTCTACCTCACTGCCTGCAGCCTTCAATGCCTGGCCTCATCTGGGTTCCTGAGGAGCAAGCCTGCATCCTGTGTCCTGTGGGCAGGCTGTGGGCAGCCCTCCTCCAGGCTTACCTTGCCTCAGGTAGGGCTGCCCAAGGTCAGGGAGGGTGGGTGGAGGCAATCAGATGTGAAGGACAGATGCTGAGTTCCTTTCCAGGATGATGATTTGTGGGTACTGAGCATGTGTGTTCTGGTACATACAAATACACAGACACTTCACACATTCCCTGTCTCACACACGTTTTCACACTCCCATAGTCACCTCCATCTTCACTACCACCATCTCATACTCACATACATGCACAGTCTCGTGGTTTCTCACTTTTTTTTCTTTTTTTTTTTGAGATGGAGTCTGGCTCTGTCACCCAGGCTGGAGTGCAGTGGCACGATCTCAGCTCACTGCAACCTCTGCCTCCCTGGTTCTGGTGATTCTCCTGCCTCAGCCTCCCAAGTAGCTGGGATTACAACCATGCACCACCACACCCAGCTAATTTTTGTACTTTTTTAGTAGAGACAGGGTTTCACCATGTTGGCCAGGCTAGTCTCGAACTCCTGACCTCAGGTGATCTGCCCGCCTTGGCCTCCCAAAGTGCTAGGATTACAGGTGTTAGCCACCGCGTCCAGCTGGCTTCTCACATTTTTTCATGCACTCTCAAGCTTGCACAACATATTCATATGCACAACATGTTCATACATACCTCTATTAGTTTCCTGGGACTGCCACAACAAAGTATCACACACTGGGTAGCTTAAAACAACAGGAATTTATTGTATCAGTTTTGGAGGCCAGAAGTCCAAAAGCAAGGTTCCTTCTGAGACTTGTGGGGAAGGGCCTTTCCTTGCCTTTGCTGGCTTCTGGTAGCCCCAGGTATTCTTCGGTTTGGAGGTGCATCACTCCAGCCTCTGCCTCCATCTGTCTCTGTGTCTTCACATGGACATCTTATAAGGACACTAGTCATAATGCATGAGGGCCACTCTATTCCAGTAGGGACTCATCCTAACTGATTACATCTGCAATGATACTGGTTCCAAATAAAATCATATTCGGAGGTTCTGGGGTTAGGACTTCAATATATCTTTTTTGGGGAGGAGCACAATTCAACCCAAAATACCACCTACAGCCATAAAATCTCACATACATAGGCCATACTGCCATAGTGACACAGATATAAAACACACAATCCCATAGTCACAAAAATCACACACTCCCATATACACTTTCAGGATCAGACACTCCCATGGTCCCCCCACATGCACGCATACACACACATGGCGAGGTCATCACATACACACTCCTTTAGTTTCCCAGTCTTACAGCCCTACACACCCCCTCCAGTCACACCCCTTCGCACACCCTCCTGCCCCCGCCTCACTCCCAGAGGCCACCCTGTGGAGGTCATGCTCAGAGACCCGGCACATTTGCAGCCTCGCACTTGGCTCATACATCTCACATCCTCTCCCACCCACACAGTCTCTCCCCTCTGACTCCTCCGCCCAGCTCACCAGTTCCCGCACCAACCCTCATGGCAAGGAGGCAACAGACTGGCTCTGTTCCACTCCAGCGGGGGCACCAGGTGGCTCCCCCCTTGTCCTCTGGAATCTGATGCCCCCACAAGCCTGCCTTTTCAGGCTCCCACGCTTCCCTCTCAGGGACAGACAGACAGAAACATCCACACACTCTCATGCTCACACACGCGCCCCTCCGGCAGCCCCACGGCAGCAGTCTGTTCCTCATTATGGGCCAATGCGCCTGTTTACTCACCCAGCTGGAGATGGTTAGAGAGTGATAAATAATGAAAGAGAAAACAGGCTTTTCCCCTCTGTGGCTTCTATTTATGTAATATGTGTCACTGTGCATTCACAGACTTTGTTTCGGAGCTGGTTGCAGGAAATAGTTTATTTTTTCCGGACGGTGGCTTAAGGGGTGGGGAGGTGGGGGGCAGGGTTTGGGTTTCTGATCTCACGCCCATAGGAGTTTCGGAATCTGGCTCCCAGAGTCCTCTTCCCCTGGTGCCTCCTCTCCTCGCCTCCCCTGACATCCCCGGGGTGGGCATCATGGCTAGAGGCTGCCTCAGAACCAGGTTCTCCCACTCCACCTATTTGGAATGGGCTGGGGTGGTTGGGGGCCCCTCCCAGCTGCCTCTGAAACCTCCCAGACAGATGGGCTTGTTTTAAGAGCCAGACAGCTTGAGGCTGGACTCCCAGAAAGGAGGCAGTTGGACAGGGTCTTCCTAGGTAGCCTGCACCTGTTGTTGGGGGAGGATGCAAAAGGATTAATTCTATAAAATAAGAAAAAAAAAGATCCATACCTCATGTTCACTTAGCACTTTCATCCCCGTGGTCTCTCTGAGGCCTCACAACTTTTAATGGCTGCTTCCCAGGTGAGAGAACTGGAGGAGGGCTTGCCATGGTCTGTGCAACTGGCTGATGAGGAGCCAGAACTTCACACTCAGGCCTCTGAGTCCAGAAGAGCCTCACACACCCCACTGCCTCCTCCTCCCAAGGATGCCTCCCTTGGTAAAGTTCTGGTTGCCCTCACTCATTCTAAGGTGATGGGAGTAGTTATAAGGGTGTGGGGGTTGGAATTTGGGGAATGGTGAGTCATCAGAGGTCTGAGAAGTGTCCCCTTCTCCACCCTTTCCTAAACATTAAGGTGAGCCTCCTTTGGGTGACAAGCCAGGGAAGGAAGAAGCAGCAGAAGGCTGCCCTGCTCCCCAACCCCCAGTGCAGGGAGGCTCTTGGGAAGCTGGAAGGGCACCTGCCCCCACCTGAGCCTGTCTTTTTGAGTGCCAGGGCAGGGAGACAATGTCTTTGTTTGACATGGAGCCCTGGTTGTATCCCAGGCCACCTGCTGGGGGGACCCAGAGGTTCTGACCTTTGAGGAATATAGCATCCACTATGGAAAATGGGCCCAGAAGCCCCCAACTCCTGCAGACTGTGGGGGATGAATATATACAGGTGCCATGGGATTAAGGTGCAGGGCAGAATCCTGCCCAGTGACCTCGGGGTTCTTGCAGGGAGCATCCCACAGGAATCTCCTGGCTGCGGGGTGAAGCAGCCACCTTCCCAAGACAAGGACTTTAAACACGGTCTGACAAACAAGAGCACATATGGGCCAAGGGCAAAAGAGAAAAAGTGCTAAGGAGGCGGTTTTCTAATTTAGTGGGTGTCAGATTCACAGGGGAGCTTATTAAATGCGGATCCCCAGGCTCCTTTCCTGGCGTTGATTCAGCAGGTCGGGGGGGTGGGGGGCAGGAATCAGCATGGTTAGCAAGTTCCTGAGAGTTCTTGGACTGGTGGTTTCCCAAAGACTGGGAGACAACAGTGCCCTATGTGGGCCCTGGAGGCAACCCCCCTGCCCAACGCATAAAGATGAGATGCAAGCATCATGGTTAGGTCAGGAGGGAATTTGACTTCCCCCAAAGAGTGAGAATGATTTGGTTGGAGAATGATAAAATTTATTTGGTCCAAAGGAAGGGAGGGAGGAAGAGAGGAAGGAAAATATAATTTACCAATACCTATATGTGCCAAGCTGTTACATGATGCTTTTCGTTTTGCTTTGTGCTTTTGTTTTTCAGAGACAGGGTCTTGCTATGTGGCCCAGGCTGGAGTGCAGTGGCACAATCAAATCATAGCGCACTGCAGCCTCGAATTCCTGGGCTCAAGCGATTCTCCTGCCTCAGCCTTCCGAGTAGCTGGGACTACAGGTGCATGCCACCATGCCTGGCTGTTACACGACATTTTTACCTGGCTGCTTTGACTTTTTGACATTCATATCCATTTTTGGAACCTAAAACGCTGTCAACATTCTATTTCTTATTACCAAGTAATGCTCATACAGACATACCCGCCACAGCCCGAGTCAAAACTTTGTGTCAGCTGGGATGTTGTGCACACCTTGGAGCATCTACCACATGCCAGGCATTGTGCTTTGCATGTACTGCTTTGTTTTTCACTGCACCGCAACACCGACAGGCAATACTATTCCCATTTTACTGATGAGGACAGCAAGGGTCAGAGAGGTTTAGTCACTTGCCTAAGGCCACCCGGCTACATCAACCCTGGCAACAGGAAGAGCTGGTGCTTTTGTTTTTTTACTGATCCAGGGAGAGGCCCTATTAGGGAGGTAGAGGGACTGAATCCAGATCCTGCTTTATAGCCCCCTCTCCAGGACTCCCTCCCTCCCACTCTGGAATGGAGAGGTGGATGGAGAGGCACCCTCTCTGCCACTCACTCAACCCCTCTGCCTTTGGGACCCTATGGACTCTCATACAGCCCACCCAGCTTGCACCCTGAGCTCTCTCCCAAGAAGCTGAGCACCTGGGGTCTCAGGCACTCCCTTCCAATTCAGTCCCTGGAGCACTTATGGCTCTGAGGGAGTCCCCGGAGGGGGGCTGAAAGAGGTGGGGGAGCTTAAGGAGCACCTTTCCTGGGCTTCCAGGAGCCTCTTACATCCCTATCCCCTTGGCAGAATGGGTGTATCACAACTGGAGGGTGGGGGTGTATGGGGACGGCAGAGCTGGCCAGACCTATGGTCCCAGATGTTTGTTCAGGCTGTGGGCTGAGCCTGATTTCAGATGTGTGGCAGCTTCATGGGAGTCCTGCCCAGACTCCCACATGGACACTCACTTGCTTACTTGCACACACGCGTGCCCTCATGCGACTCCCCTCCACACAGAGTTCCACTTGTGAAAACCCAGACAAAGCTCCAGACTAATGTCCCTGTGGACAGTGACATGAATGGTAAAAATCATCCTCAACCCCAGGTGCTCTGCACACGCTGACTCTAAACTTCACATCGATCCTGCAAGGATGCTTTCCCTGATGACCTCCCCCTACCCACCACACACCTTATAGATGAGAAAAATGGGCTTCAGAAAAGCCAAGTGACCGGTCTGAGGCCACACAGCGACCCCACGGCAGAGTGGGGACTGGGGTCTGTCTGTTGGGGAGCTCACCCGCATCCCTCTCACCAGGCTGCTTTTCCCGTCTGGCTCCCAGGACCCAGCAGGTGTTCAGCACGTCCACTGATGAATGTGTATGTCTGTGTTTTCTTTCACACACAGTGCAGGCTCCAGCTGCCCCTCTCTCCAAACCCACTCTGAGCTGTGATCTCCCTGCAGGCTCAGAAACTTGCAGACCACTTGGCTTCCTCTACAGCCAGAACTAGCGCCAGCCTGAATTCTCTGGGCTCCAGCCTCAGTTTCCCCTGAGTTTCTTAGGCCTGCACACCTGAGCAAGTCCCTCCCTGCTTTGAGCAGACCCACAGCACTGGTTGGGCTCCTGCTCCAGGCCTGACCCCCACTGTGGAAGCCTCTGGGGTCCAGCCACCTCCATTCTCCTCTCTTCTTCCCAAACGTCAGGCCTGGCACTGCCCCCGCTCAGCCCCCGCTCCCTACGGCCCCCTGGGAGCCCAGGCTTTGCTTGAGGGCAGCAAGTGAAGCCGGCTGTAACAGAGAAACCTCAGGCTCCTCTTTAGAAGTCCCCGGAGGAGGCAGATCTGAGGAAAGGCTGCCAAGAAGGCGCCTGCAGCAATGTCAGCTTGAGAACAACCCGGCTGACAGGATGCTGAGCGGGGATTAAGGTCGGGATCAGGGAAGCCAGGGAAATGAAGGCAAGTTCCCTGCTCCCCTCGCTGCCACCGCTGCCGCTGCGGCTGGGTTTGTCTTCTTGTTTGTTCTGGCTCTGGGAAACTGGGCGGGGAGGGAAGTGGGCAGGGATGAGGTGGGGAGGTGGAGGGAAGGACAGGGGGGAGGTGGAGAAGGGCTGGTATGGGGGTGGAGGGAGGTGGAGGGAAGAGAAAGTCAGGCCTCCTCTGGGTCTTGGGGCTCAGCCAGGGATGGGGCAGAGGCACAGATGGCCCTTACCTGGGACCCTTCCCCTATACCTGTCCCTATAGCTGGTCTGCCAGCCAGTGGAGCAGCCAGTCGCCCCCCGACCCCCACCCCGGAACCCTCCCTCATGTCCTGAGTGTGGGTGGCAGGACCAGTGAGAACACAATTGACCTTGCCCTGAGAGGCTCCCAGCTCAATGAAGCAGATGCAGTCTACCTCCAGAGAGGAGGTGAGCCTGTTTCCACCTGTCTACACATGCAAGATCCCCTGTTCTGGGGAAAGACCATTACCCCAACCTGCCTCATCATTGACATGTCACAAGAGTCCAGCCAAATGGGCTACTGATTTCCAGGTCATCCAGTGCACCACAATTCTAGTGAAACCTCATATCCTTGCATTGCCATTGGTGTGGTAGTGAAGAACGTGGCTTCTGGTTTCAGACTGCAAGGGGTCACCTTTTGGCTCTGCCACTGATTTGCTATGTCACATTGGGCAAGCTGGCTAACTTTCTATGCCTCAGTGGGATAAAATCATAGCACCTCCTCATAAACTTGTCAGGAAGATAGAGGGAGTGGACACGTGCGAAGTGCTTGGCATAGGGCCTGCCATGGAGGACAGAAGACATACGCCATAGGGTAGCTTTATTTATTATTGAGGCAGAGTACAGGAATAAGTGTGGCAATTTGAAGTGACTTGGCTGAAAGCTTCCTGGGGGAAGGGGTGTGGAAATCTGATTTTGGAAGCTGAGACTGGGCAGGGGTAGAGAAGTGAATTAGGGGTATGGAACAGAGCTCCCATTTGCCAGGTGAGTGAGTTAAGGATGTATCTGGTGAGAGGCAGAGAGGATGCATTTTCTAGAAGCCCTCATCCCAGCCAGGCTTTCTCCAAAGTTCCCACTTTAACTAGGGGTAACTCTTCCAGCCCTGCCAAGGGCAAGCCAGGGGTGCCAAGACCATGAAAAGATGCAGTTTTTCATGGTGACCTTCCCAGAATGGAGTCTATTCTAGAAACCCTAGCCATTCAGGGAGACTCCACTTGTACCTGGGTTTTCTGGACCTGGCAAGGGAAGAAACAGGCACAGAGAGTACAAACCTGGAGGCAGATCATCCCTGGGGTTGGGTTCCAGCTCTGTGACTGATCATCTATGTGCCTTGGAGCCAGTCAATTAGCCTCTCTGGACCTTAGCTGCAGGGTCTGTGAAATGAGATAGTAATATGTACCTTAGAGTTGTAATGATGAGCAGTTACTCCATAACTATCCACTGTTGATATTCAGCTTAGCAAAGAGTTGCTGAGGTCCAGCCAGCTACTGGGGCCCCAGTGAATGAGAGACCCTTTCCTAGCCCTTGATAGCTGGTGGCCTGCATGTGAGTCCAAATATGATGCTGAAGGCAGTGGTGCTACCTTAAAGGTCCACCTGGGAACCAAAGAGAAGGAGTTCCTGGCATCCACATCCCAGGCTGCAGGGCCTGCTCCCCTGGCCCACCCTGCAGCCCTGCTTGGGTGTCCCTATCTCTGGACACCCTGGCCAGCAGGCTGGGGATGGGGAGAGTGTTGTAGGGGGAGGGGAATGAGAACCTAGGATGGGGTTCTGGTAATTGGGGAAAAGCTTTGCTGGGTCTGATTTGTGGGGGAAAGCCTTAGGCAAGGAGGCCCAGTCCCTGCAGAAGTGTGTGAGGAGCACCTTATTGGGGATTTTATCTCTAGGGGCCTGGTTCTAGAATTTTAAAAACACCTTTTCTTTTCTTTTTGTTCTGTTAATAGAAGTTATGTATATTTATTGTTTAAAAAAATGGAAAATACAGGCCAGGCATGGTGGCTCATGCCTGTAATCCCAGCACTTTGGGAGGCTGAGGCGCGTGGATCATGAGGTCAGGAGTTCAAAACTAGCCTGGCCAAGATGGTGAAACCCCGTCTTTGCTAAAGCTATAAAAATTAGCCAGGCGTGGTGGCAGGTGCCTGTAATCCCAGCTACTCGGGAGGCTGAGCAGGAGAATCGCTTGAACCTGGGTGGCAGAGGTTGCAGTGAGCCAAGATCCAGCCACTGCACTCCAGCCTAGGTGACAGAGTGAGACTCCATCTCAAAAAAAAAAAAAAAAAAAAAAAAGGAAAATACAGAAAAGCATAAAAAAGGAAATAAAGATCAGCCATAATCTTCCCACCCAGAGATAACCATGGTACGACTTTAGTGTATCTCCTAGTTTTTTTTAAGCTGACTCTCAAACACACATTTACACACACTCACATGGACACACACATTCACACACACATATTCACAAATATACACTCACACGCACTCACACATTTACATACACATATATGTAACTTTTTGTTACATGTTTAATGTACACATGTCTTTAAAAGTTCAGAAACAAGATCATGGAATCATGAATACATCACCATTTTGTCAACTAATATTTTTATTAAATAAAATATTGATAACTTTTTCCCCAGGTCATGACATATTCTTCTCCAACATAATTTAAAATGACTGTATAGTGCTCTGTCTTTGGGCATAAGGCATATCATTTTATCAGTCATCACCTGTTGGTCATCCATCCATTTCTAGATTTTTGCCATTATAAATAATACTGAGGTGAACATCCTTGCAGAGAAATCTTCGAGGGGGTCGCTAACTTTCCAATTGTCTATTCATGTCTGTCTACTCCCGGCTTCGATTTTGAGGCTTTCTAGGCAGGATCTGTGTCTGGTTTGTTGTGACCCCAAAGTCTAGCTTGGCTGCTGGTTCACTGTAGGCATCCAATAATGGTTGAATTGAGTTGCTTTTCTAGAGCATGTGCCCTCGGCTGAGGAATTGGGAAGGTGGATAGATGAGGAAAGAGCCCACCTTTCCTGCTAGAACACTCAGGGGTCCCCAGTGCCTCTATGCTGGACCTGCTAACTTCTCCTAGGAAAACACCTTCCCAAGCACAGAGCCACTGGCCATCCCAGAGGCTCACTGAATGGCCCTCCTGTATCTCTTATCTTCCTTGCCTGGACCCTCCCCCCTCATCCCCTTCCCCCCTCCGCCCCCGATCTCTGACTCTTGAGTTCTTTTGTTGTGTTTTCAAGCTGAAGGCCCAGCAGACAGAGCCCTCTCACCTGCCCGTGTCTGCTGGACAATGTTGCGGCAGCTCCCAGCTCCCCATACAGTGGCCTCCTCCGTGGCCCCCACTTTTGACAGCACAGCCTGCTTGGCTCCTGAGAAGTGCCCACGTGGCACACCTCACCCCTGCCCCTGCTCTGCCTGCCACCTCTCATGGCACCAAAGGAGCCTTTGTCCCTTCCTCATGGGGGCTCTCAGCAGATGCTGACGTTCTGACTGAAACAGATTTGTAGAATCATGGATTTTGAAGTGGGGACCCAGGTCCCAGTGTTTCAGTGGGTCTTTAAAAAAGAGAGAAAGGGAGAGAGAGATGGAGAGAGAGAGAGAGAAAGTGAGCAACAGCACGAGAGGTAAGAGGCAAAAGCTGAGAGGTAAAACTTACTAACTTAATTTCCCCTCACCAGCATCCACACTCCCAACCTCCTGGAATTTCTTCTCTTCTTTTCAATTTTTAATCTCTTCTTTTCCTCTCTTTTCTCTCCCTCTTCCCCCTTTTCACTCCTTTCCTTCTCCTCTTTCTCTGTCTCTCTCTCAGTTCTGACATGAACACCCCCCCCACCCTCCTGTCCCCCTCCCCTCCTCTCCTCCTCTCCCCTCCTCTCCCCTTCTTTTTTAAGTTTTTTTTTTTTTCTTTTAACTTTCAAGGTCATTCCGGACTCCTGACGCCGCCAGTCCCGCGGTGAGACGTGAGCGCCATTGGCGTCCGTGGCCTCTGTTTCCGTGGCAACCTAGTAACCATTAATTTTCAATTAAAGGAGACAAAAAGCTCGATGACAGCTCCAGGTCTGCTGAAGATGTCAAGAATCTGTATTAATATACAGCAAGAGAGCATAATTGTGTGTCCATCTTCCAGAGCAGCGAAAAATGGAGGGATAATTACCAGCTCGAAAGCCACTCTGTAATTTAGTTCTTACTGTCACCACAGCCCTACACATTAGCATAAATTAAAAGCAGAGTTTATTGTTATCAAAGTGCATTGATATCGCCAGACCTGCTTTCTTCCTTTTAACTGTTTGTTGTGGGTGAGTGACTCCCCAACTCTTGCCAGGGTCTCCCCAGGGTGGGGAGAGTGGAAGTGTGGCTGCTAGACCTGAAAGGTCTAGCTGCCAGCCTCCTTCAGGGCAGGTGGGGACAAGGGTCAGCGTGTTGCCCCTCTGATAGGGTCTGGGGATGATGCAGGGGATGGAGGAGGCTTGGATATTTATTCACCTTTCACATGTAAGTGCTTTGTTTTGCCAACGAGTGCTCCAGCTCTTTGCAGAGGGGGCTGCTGCCCCATCGCGGGTCCCCCTTTAGTGCCTAGTACAGTGCAGGGCAGGTGATGAGTGCTCTAAGGCAATGTGTTAAACAAAGGAATGAGTGCATGTGTAGGGGTGTTCTCCCGGGGTGAATGTCAGTGGAGAGACATTGCATTCCCTGTTCAGGGCGTGGCCAGCTCAGGTGGAGATGCTCCTGTCTGTGGCCCAGTTCCTGCTTGGCCACCCAGGACCCCAGCTCCCCAGAGGGGTCCCTCTGGACCCCACGCCCCTAATCTTGCCGCTTGGCCACCCACCTCCATGGCCTGGGTGCTGCCACGGCCACCGCCTTCATACTCACCTCCGAGTGGTTGGAGAACCTCGAAGTGTCTCGCTGCCAGAGTACCAGTGACAGCCACAGAAATCATGAGTTTCCGTGAATGGGGGATGCGGAGTTTTCTTGTATTCTATCCAGAGAGAGCTGTCCTTCAGAGGGGAATTTAGTGTAATTACCCTTAAGGGAGCGATCCTTACACAGTCAGTCACAACACTGACCTCCTGGCTGAGATTTGACAGCAAAATTGCAGGCTGTGTACTCAACAGAAGGGGCATCCTCCTTTTTTGGGTGTTGAGGGGGGAGGCGGGAAGGAAGGAGGAGGAGGGAAAGGAGACTCAGAGGCTTTGAAAAGAAAAGTGCTGGCTTACAGCTGCCAGGCAAGCGGGTTCTCCTTGGCAAGGCGTCTACAGGGCAAGGAGAAGGTGTCCAGAGATCCCCTGGAACTTCACCTGGCTCATGAAGAGGGGCCAAGGTAGGCACTCCAGCCCTTCAGATCTTTGAGCTCTGGTTTGTGATCTTAGCTAAAGTTAATCTTATTGTAAGAAGGATTTGGAGGGTACTAGGCACTATTTGATGAACTTCTCAGGCATGTTTTCCCAAACATATCTGTCCTCGGTCCCTCCCCGGTGCTAGAAGTTCCACTGTTCCTTTTACCTTTAAGTTGACAGATCCAAGACCCTGTAAACCTGCATCTGGGTTACCTGGAAGGACTAATGTGTTAATCTGTGACCACTCCAAATTTAGCATGGATGCATCTCTCAGATGTGCTGGCCCATCACATGACTGAAGCCAAAGGACACAGGGGTCAGGCAAATTTCCGTGAAGGATTGGAAAAAATCTGTTGTATGGGTAGATCTTGATGGACTGTGAAGCCTGGCAAGGAATGGAGGTAAATCCCCAAATCTCAAAGCTGGAAGGGATCCCAGAAGCCAACGGGTCCAAACTTCGCAGAGAAGGAGTCCCCACCTCTCTGTTCTACCTCTACCCAAAACTCAGGGCTGGGCGCGGTGACTCACGCCTGTAATCCCAGCACTTTGGGAGGCCAAGGCAGGCAGATCACCTGAGGTTAGGAGTTTGAGACCAGCCTGGCCAACATGGCAAAACCCCGTCTCTACTAAAAATACAAAAATTAGCCAGGCATGGTGGCACGCGCCTGTAATCCCAGCTACTTGAGAGGCTGAGACAGAAGAATCACTTGAACCTGGGAGGTGGAGGTTGCAGTGAGCCAAGATAGTGCCATTGCACTCCAGCCTGGGTGACAAGAGTGAAATTCTGTCTCAAAACAAAAAACAAACAAAAAACAAAACAAAACAAAAAACAACTCAGCCACCTCTGCCCACACAATTCCTAATAGCACGAGCTAGCTGTCTCTATAGAGGTCCATCCTGCTGTTAAATAGCCCGGACCATTGCCAAATTCCTCCTGAGTGCAAATGAAAATCTGTGTCCGTGAAACTTCTTCCTTCCTTTTGGAGCCCCTTTGGAACAAATCTAGGCTTTCTCTGGCGGGACAGCCCTTCAGCTACGTGGGGACCATGCTCAGCTATTAGTCGTCTTCTCCTCCAAGTCTGGGACCCAGTAGACTCATCACCATCTGGCTCATCCTTTCAGGAAAGTGCCCAAAAGGAGTCTGAAAGGGCACAGGACAGCCCAAAATGCAAATCCAATGTTTATTGAGCATCTGCTATGTTCCAGGCAGAAACACCCACCATATCTCTTTTCTTTTTTTTCTTTTTTTGGAGACGGAGTCTCGCTCTGTCACCCAGGCTGGAGTGCAGTGGCACGATCTCAGCTCACTGCAGCCTCCACCTCCCAGGTTCAAACAATTCTCCTGCCTCAGCCTCCCAAATAGCTGGGACTACAGGCTCATGCCGCCATGCTCAGCTAATTTTTTGTATTTTAGTAGAGATGGGATTTCACTGTGTTGCCCAGGCTGGTCTCAAACTCCTGAGCTTAGGCAACCCGCCCGCCTCGGCCTCCCAAAGTGCTGGGATTACAGGTGTGCACCACTGCGCCTGGCCCCATATCTCTTTTCATCCTCTCAACCAATTCAATGAAGGGAGGATATATTATTCCCATTTTACCGTAGAGAAAAGAAGGACGCAAGAAGCTTCAAATCACTTGCCCCAAATCACCTGCCAGCAAGGGGCAGAGCCAGAACTGGGAGCCCAGACTCCTGACCCAGGCCAAAGACTTTCCTTGAGAATCCAGCTGCGTTGGTCCCTACACCCCTTGGCCACCACTGGGTTTGGGGAATGAGCTCTGCCATCATTCTCCTGTCTCTCTACCTCCATGATGCTTTTCTGCAGGGCCTTTCTCTCCACTTGGCAGGGAGAAGGAATTCCAGGGAAAACCCAGCTTAAGTCCTGCATCCTCCCTGAAGGCTTCCCTGCCCATCCCAGGCCTCAGTAACTGCTTCAGTATAATGACAACATTGGACGTTATTTACTGACCACAGGACTATGCTTCAGCACCTACCCTAAGGTATTTTATTCAATCCTCCAGGCTTTTGCCCTGGCTGAGGGTTCTGCCTGAGCTTCTCTCCCCTCAGATACCTGCATCTCCTTGAAGGACCACCTTCTCTGGGAGGTCCAACCTAACCATCCTTTCCCAGGTCTTTGTACCCGCTTTATTTCTTTCTATAGCTCATGTCACCTTCCGAAGAGTATTTAATTTACTGATTATTGTGCTCATTGCCTATCTTCCTCCTCTTTAAGTTCCAAAAGGACAGAGGCTGTATTTTGTTTACTGTTGCATCCCAAGCACCTAGAACAGTGCCTGACATACGGTAGGTGTACAAGCGATATCTGTCAAATGACAGGAGGAAAACTCAAAACCCTTTGAGGCAGGTGTGTTGTTTTCACAGCAGAGAGGAACTAGGGCTCTAGTTCTGGGTTAGGTGGCTTGTCCAAGGTCACAGAGCTGGCCATACCCAGCTGTGTATTGGGCTGCTGAGTATGAGGCTGTTTGGGGTGGGCCTTGAGCCTGAGCCTGTTCTGAGCTTTGTGTGTGTGTGTGTGTGTGTGTGTGTGTGTGTTTGGTGGCTTCCTAGGGGATTTCTGCCTGCATTCCAACCAGCAGGTCCTTCCAGGCACCCCTCCCCTCCTTTACAGGGCTTCTTCCCTTCCTGCAGCTCCTTTCAGCCCCTGCTTTCTTGCCCCAAGCCTGGAGAGGCCTGTGAGTGCAGTCCAGCTAACTTCCCTCCCCTGAGCTCATGGGTCCCTGCCTGGGCTGAAGTCCACACCGGGAGCCCAAGGTGCCCCTGGAAGGCCCCCACCCTGGCCTCCGAGTGGTTCCTCTCCCCAGAGATGTAAATCCGGGCCCCAGAGTGGCCACACAGAACATACATCTTAAACAAACACTTCTCCTTGCTGTTTATCTCCCTGGCCTTTAAACAAACTCTTTCAAAGGTTTCTGCTGATAGGAGAGATTTACTGAAAACCATTCCTTGCTTAAAAGCCCTGGGTTTATGCTGCTGGGGTGGGGGCAGTGGGGCCTTCAGGCCTGGGGTTTCTCTGCCTCCGGACCACATGTTTATCCTCCAGGCCTTGATAGAGGAGCAACACAGACTAATCTTTATGGAAAAGAAAATAATAAAAGCAGGAAAGGGGAGGGGTGGAGGCTGGGGTGCGTTTGGTTCTTGTCACTGACTCCAAGAGGTTGTGGCAGGTCCGGGTGTGGCAGTGCCCACCACACTGTAGCCCTGCCTGTTGGGGGTGGGGTGAGCTGAGCATCTGGGAGGGGTGGGGCTCCCTTGAACTTTGGACAGAAGGCCTTTGGGCAGGTGAGCCTCTTCTCCGGCTTCCAGAGGCCAGAGTGGGCCTCTCCCTGCTGGATGGGGGTTGGAGGGAGGGCAGCAGTCACATGATCATGTCTATTCCTGCATCAACCAACAGTCAGAAGGCACCTAGCCTGTGCCAGGACCTGGGGGTGGAGAGAGGAATAGTTGTTAACAATTACTTTAGCATTTCTGTGGGCCTGGTACTGTTCTAAATCGCTTACATGAATCAACTCATTTAATGGCCCCAGTAGATTCTATAATTATCCCAATTTTGCATATGGGGAAACCAAGTCACAGAAAGATTACTGGCTGTACTCCAGAGGTTTTGGTTTAACTGGGATGCAGGCTGGGCATTGGATTCCAGGATGCATCCCAAGTGGAAAAAGATTGACATTCCCATTTCCCACCCACTCCCCACTTGTCCTTCCAATAATACAGTATCTCTTCCATTTCAAGGCGTCTCACAATTCATTGACAGTGGTATTTTTTTCTTAGTGGATCGTAAAATAATGGTGCATCTTACAGTCTTAGGTTCAACAAAATATAGTAATAGAAAACTAACCTCTACCAACTGTGGGGACTGAGCTGGATGATTTGCATCCATTATCTCATTTAATCCACCTCCCAAAGCTGCAACATAGGTCACAGGAGCACCTCTGATGAGAAAACTGAGGCACCAAGAATTCAATAACCTGCCCAAGATCACCCAGCTGGTGGGAGGTGGAGGCAGGATTTGAACCCACAGTTAAATGGCCTAATATTTATCCCCAACCCTTATAGAGCACCTTATATGATTCAAACTGTCTTCCGACCTGTTTTGTCCATTGAGGAAGACGCTGAAATCCAGAAAGTTTAAGTGACCTGCTCTAAGTTACACATCTGACTTCTCAACCTATAACTGTGGGAGAACCATGGGAAGTGGGTTTCGTTGTTATTATTGTTGTTTGCTTGTCTTAAGCCTACCTGGGCTTTTATAGCTAGAAGCCACTCCTAAGAGAACATGACCAGGAAAGTGGGCCAGGGCCAGGGCAGGGGCCCCTGAGAGTATGGGCCATCCTGGGGTCTTGGGTGCTGAAGGTTGGAGCCAAGGCCTGTCGTGGGACCTCCCAAGGGCAGAGGACTTGAGCAGGGGCAGATGTCATTGCAAAGACTCCACTGACTTCCGTCTCTGTTTTGTTTGTGAAGCGAAGTTGCTGCAGTGGCAGGTGGGGAGGCAGCAGAAGGCCAGGTAGGAATTTCCAGTCCTTCCCTGGGCCCATAGCTCAGGCCGGAAGCCACTCCCTTCCTCCATGTTTACATGCAGCGGGCCACACCCCTTCAGATGGCACAGACTGACACCCCCTTCCGGTCCCCCTGCTCCAGGCCAAATACTTTTTCACTCACGTTAAAGCACCTTTCAGCACCTGGGCCCTGAGCTGGGGAGCATTTCCAGGGAGGAAAGAAGGGAGAGGGTATGAGGAGGAGGCTGGGGGTGGGTTGAGGGAAGGTGAGGAGCTGGGGGTAGTGGAGACTAGGATGAAGTTATGTGAGTGATTGTCTTGCACCCATCATCTTTCTTTTTGTATTATTCTTTCCTTATATAGTGACATCCAGTTTCCAAAACCTTTCCTTCCTCCTAGCAACTCTTACCCTAAGATACTTAATTCACACCAAGGTAAACACGACTAATAACAGCTTCCAAAGTGATCCTTTCAAGGGCATTTTGGCAGTGGCCTCTTTATTTGTTCATTCATTCTTTGATTTCCTCAACAATTTCCTTTGGCATTCCTGGAGACCCTCCATCCTATCTCGAAGGCTTAGCTGGGACACCTCTAAGCTGTTTGGTGGGCTGCTGTCCAAACTCTGGGCTTTGTGGGTAGTGGCATCCACACCCTCTGACAGCATGTAGGTATATTGGCAGCAACCCAAGCTGTCTTTTTTGCACCTTCAATGGAAGGAAAGGCAATTTCTCCTCATGAAAAAAGTTTGGGAGACTTTACCTAAATGTAAAGGGAGGTGCTTTAATGATATATCTCCAGGAATCAAACCCATCAGTCCATCTGAGTTTGGTCATGGGCTGAGCTCCCCAGGGCAGCTGGGCAGGAGCCCTTCCAGGACATCAGAACTTGGGGTAGAATTTCCACCCCACTGGCCCTCAGGGCTCTGCATAGATTTCTCTCTCTGTCCTTCTTGGTAGGGAAGTGGCTGATCATGAGGAAGACCCTGAGCTCAGAGCTGGAAGATATCCAGGGACCCATCCACCCAGTAGTTTGCAGAGGACAAAATGACTCAAAAGTATACCGAAATCCAAAATATAAAACAGCTAAGAGTTAAAGCTCCAGTTGAAGGCAAAGGTCTAGACCCTGCCTCCTCTGCTCTCCCACTTGGCCCATAAGTGGTCCAAAGCTTCTCTGTGGACCTCCAAAGCTCAGGAGAACACGAATAGAATCCACTGAGCCAGTCTAGTGATCCATTTTATAGACAAAGAAACTGAGTCAGAGCATGATGGGATGGATGTGAGTCCTTAGGGGCCTCCACCCTTCCATGATCACTTCTGGCTCATGTTCATTCCCTGGACTCATAATGTACCCTTCTTTCTAACTTGACCTGCACAATTCTACGGACTCTTCAGGCTCAGCTCAAATGTCACCCTCCACCATGGAGCGTTCCTCAATTCTCTCCTCCAGTTCTGGCCCTACTCCCACCCAGTTCGGTGTTCCTGGAGCTCACTGCTTTTGCATCTCTCTTAAGTTCAACCTCTCATTTCTGCCCATTTGAAGCAGCTCTTTTCTCCCTTGTCAGGCTGTTGGTCTCCTTGAGGTCAGGAGGTTTTTAAAAAATCCCAAGCCTCCAGCCCATGAGTAGGTGTGCAATCACAGTGAGGCTGCTGACATGTTTTCTTGGGTGATGGTGAGATGCTTTGCCCACTGGGGTCAGGGTCTCCCTACTGGACGGCCCTAGTTCTCATCAATTTGGTGGGGAGGGCATAGAGTTTGATTAAACAGTTACTTGGATACCTGAAGTAGGGCAGGGAAGGGGATACAGAACCTTCAGAGCCTGGGGAGGAGGGACCCTTCTGCTCTAAATTGTCCACTCGCTCCATCCTCAAGAAGATGGAGAGCAGAAACAGGGGCAGGGGAAGAGAGCTGGGCCCCGCACACTTCCCACCATCACTGATTTCCCTCTTCTCTGGCATTTTAAGAGCTCAGACTCAAACCCTTCAAGGGCTTTTGAAACAATTAGATTTGAAAGTGCCCAGTGCTTGGTCTAATTGCTTAAAAGCCACTTCAGGCTTCAACTGACCCAGAGTAAAGCCTGGGGGGTGGGTAGAGGGGAGGGGAGACCCGAGACACTCTGTCGCCCTGTTTCCCAGGCCTTCCTGGACAACCAAGGCCTAGGTGAGTGGTGATGCCAAATAAGGGCCTTCAACTTTTCCCGGGGGGGCAGAGCCACCATACTCTTCCTGCCCCTTTCCCAGCCCTTGCCCCCAGGGAACCGCTCACATCTAACCTTTCTCTAAGATACCTTCTCACGCAAATTCCAGCATTCCTAGGGGTGATTGGAGCACTTATGTCCAGAACCAATTTTCAGTGTCAAAAAGTGGACTGAGCCAGTGTAAAGAGGCCGAGAAGTATCAGGAGACAAGCCTTGGTGTGTCCAACTCAAGATGATGCTTTGCTTCTGGGATATTCTGAGATTGGGGATTTTGCAATCTCTAAGTCAGTTCCATCTCTCCATGCTTTCGTGATTACTCTTCTCCCAAGTTCTTTTTTTTTTTTTTTTGAGACAGAGTCTTGCTCTGTCACCCAGGCTGGAGTGCAGTGGCGCGATCT
Organism: Homo sapiens; assembly: GCF_000001405.40. Classification (NCBI taxonomy): domain Eukaryota; kingdom Metazoa; phylum Chordata; class Mammalia; order Primates; family Hominidae; genus Homo; species Homo sapiens. The sequence continues at coordinate 41,515,706 of NC_000006.12, read as the reverse complement.
CGGCTCACTGCAAGCTCCGCCTCCCAGGTTCACACCATTCTCCTGCCTCAGCCTCCCGAGTAGCTGGGACTACAGGCACCCGCCACCAGGCCCAGCTAATTTTTTTGTATTTTTAGTAGAGACGGGGTTTCACCATGTTAGCCAGGATGGTCTCGATCTCCTGACCTTGTGATCTGCCCGTCTTGGCCTCCCAAAGTGCTGGGATTACAGGTGTGAGCCACCGCACCCGGCTCCCAAGTTCTTTAAAAAATATATCTATATCTATATATATATATATATATATATATATATAAAATATATTATATATATATATATTATATATATATATTTTATTTTGTTTGAGACGGGGTCTCGCTCTGTCATCCAGGCTGGAGAGCAGTGGCATGATTATGGCACACTGCAACCTTGACCTCCCAGGTTCAATTGATCCTCCTGCCTGAGCCTCCCCAGTAGCTGGGACTACAGGAGTGTGCCATCACATCCAGCTAATTTTTAAATTTTTCATAGAGATGGGGTCTCACTGTATTGCTCAGGCTGGTCTCAAACTCCTAGCCTCAAGTGATTCTCCTGTGTTGGCTTCCCAAAGTGCTGGGATTATAGGCATGAGCCACCGTGCCCAGCTTTAAATACAGTTGCAGCGTAAAATTCTTCTCTTTGGCTTAAGACCTTGCAATGGCTCCATGTTAGATAGGAGCCATTTCAATGTTAAGTTACAGAGAAGCTCCCCCAGCCTTCCAGCCCCTCTGTAATTTGCTCCCACCTCACCTTTCCAGCTCCATCTGCCCTGCGTGCCCTTGGCTCCAGCCCACTGTGGTGCCTTTTCACAGGCCATGCTCTTGGCCTCCATTCCTTCACCATCTGAATGAAGTCATCTGTTTATGTGCCCAGCAACAGGCCAAGCAGAGGGGATACTGAGATAAATGAGCCACGGTCCCTGCTCTTGGGGGGACACATTCTAGCTGGGACATGAAAACATAAACAGATGATTCCTTTGCCAAATTCTTCTTGAGCACCTCTATGTGCCAGACCTGAGGACACTGAGGTGGACAAAACAGATAAAGTCCCCACTCTTGTGGAGCTTAGATGGTTGAAGGAGAAACAGACAGAAACACATAAGCAAAGAGATATGCAGTCTGTCATGGGGAGATGAATGTGTGAAGTAAAACAAAGTAGGGGGGAAGAGAAGGACCTTGGAGGTGAGGATATTTGAGCAGAAATCTGAGTAAAGGGAAGGAACTGCTTGTGCAATGGTCCTGAGGCAGCAGTGCCTTTGGGTTTAACGAGGAGCAAGGAAAGAGACCAGTGTGTCTGGGGAAGAGTGAGTGAGGGAAGGAAGAAGGGAGAAGAGTAGAGGGAGCAGGGGGCAAATCATGAATGATACTATAGCCCCGCCAGGCCTTCGGATCCTATAGTGAGATGAGAGCCACTGGGGATATTGAGCAGGGGGTGAGGTCAGTAAACACATGTCTTTTTTTTTTTGAGAAGGAGTTTTGCTCTTGTTGCCCAGGCTGGAGTGCAATGGCGCAATCTTGGCTCACTGCAACCTCCGCCTCCCGGGTTCAAGCGATTCTCCTTCCTCAGCCTCCTGAGTAGCTGGGATTACAGACACGTGCCACCACACCCGGCTAATTTTGTATCTTTAGTAGAGACGGGGTTTCGCCATGTTGGTCAGGCTCATCTGGAACTCCTGACCTCAGGTGATCTGCCCGCCTCGGCCTCCCAAAGTGCTGGGATTACAAGCGTGAGCCACTGCGCCCAGCCCAAACACATGTCTTAAAAGGCTCACTTTGGCTGCTGGTGGAGGACAGCCTAGAGGAAGGGGCAAGAGTGGAAGCAGGGAGAGTAGTTAGGGAGCCACTGCAATAGTTCAAGCAAGAGATGGCAATGGTCAGGGTATTAAGAAGTGGTTAAATTAGTGATAGTTATAATAGAGTGTAGATACTAGTATGAGAGCACAAGCCGGGGACTCCCTGCCAGACCTGGAGGCGGGAGTGGGCTGTTGACAAGAAAGGATTGCTGCAGGTTTGACCATGAAGCCAAATCTTCAAGAAGAAGGAATTCGTAGAGACAGGAGGTGAGAAAGTGGGGCAGAGGAGCAGCACACACTGCAGTGTGTACTTCATGTCTTGCAGGGACCTGGGGGCAGTGTAGATAGGCCAGAGCATCATTTAGGGGCAGGGAGTAGGGCAGGCTGAGGCTGGAGGGCTTGAGAGGGGCTGGACACCAACGTCAATGGCCAAGTTGAATTTGGGTCTTCTGTGTGCAGCAGGGAGCCACGGAAGAGTGTTAAGCATGGCTGCATCATGATCCAGTTTGTGTTCAACAAAGATCACTGGCTGTGGAGGGGTGGGCAAAGGACTGGGGCCTGGAGGACCAGTTAGGAAGCTGTTGTGGTGACCTGGTGATAGATGAGAGTGGCCTGGACTACAGGGGCTGTGATGGGGCTTGGAGAACTGTTTAGAAAGGAAAGTTGCCAGGATGTTCAGATGTTGGCTGATCAGGCAAAGAGATTAGAAAGCAGAAGGAAGAAAGAGTGACCCACCTCCAGCTCCAGTGCCTGTAGACAAGGGGCCCTAAACTTAGGGCCCTCCTTTGGCCCTCCTCACAGGGTAGGAGTCTGTTCAGAAGGAGGGAGCCACCCCCACTCCTGAACCATGCTCCAGATGCCCAGGGCCCTAGAAATCCCTGCCCTAAGGGCCTGTACCCTGCATCCAAGACCTCTGCAGGCCACCTCCCCAGGTTCAACCTCCAGAGGGTAGCCTGTGTCTTGGCTGTGAGTTGAGTGTGGGGCATGCAGTCAGCAGCTGTGTGTGCGGATTGGAGTATCTACACACATGCTCGAAGCCCTAGTTTAAGGTGAAGGTGGGGATGGGAAGGGAAGAGGCAGGCTGAGGGCAGGGCTGGGGGAGAGCAGAGGGAGTTTCTCCCCACTCCGTGTCCCTGTGTAGAACTCCAAGAAACCTGAGAACTCTAAATTCAAATCCAGCCTTCCAGATCTTTAGAAGGTGTATGAATAGAACATATTTTATTAAACAGTTTGTTAACTTGATTTTTAACTTTTAAATATTTAGACATATGGAATGTGGGTCTCCATTTGTACTTTTGCTTGGTCTAAGAGGGGTGAGTGGAAAACTCCCAAGGGCCAGGATTATGTCTTATTTGTCTTGTTCACCCTCCCCCATCCCCCCAACCTTGGACCCCTGGACCTTGGTAATTTCCATCGAACTGGAAAAAGAATGAGATCCCAGCCTGATAGTGAGACATACAGATTTGACAAGACCCCAGTAGGCAAAAGAAAGGTTGGTCAGGCAACTGACTGCAGAGGGCTTTGGAGGTGTGGCCAGTGGCTGGCGAGGAAGCTGACCCAGTGTCCAGGGGGTTAAGAGCAGGCAGACCACCTGGGTTCAAAGCCCAGTTCTGCTCTTTAGGACTGTGTGGCCCCAGCAGGTTGCTAGCTCCTGGTGCATCAGCCGCCTTCTTCTAAGACAGGGTAACGATAATAATCCCTAATGGCCCCAACCGTCTAGTTTACCGGGGGAAGATGTAGTGTTTGGCATGTAGTGAGTTCTATGAAAGTTTGTTATCATGTGAAATGACCCCTTGGAAGGAACTCTTAAGCCCAGCTAAGGGGCAGCTCCTGGCAAATCAGAGAAGGAGACGTTGGTTTTGGTGCCAGACTTTTCTCCTCCCACTTTCAAGATTCCCCATAGCAGATGGGGGCTCAGTGACTAGGCTGTTCCCCCTCCTCTACCAGGGCTGTCTGTGGCCTGGGGTAACTCCCTCTATTCTCTGTGTCTTCAAGCTCCACCAGCTCCATCCTCTTGTTCCCTGGGGACTTTGCCAAGCAACGCACTTGCTAATCCTGGAGGACCTCATTCACAGGAAGATAGTGGGCCCAGTGCTGTGTTGAGTGTCCCAACTGGTTATCTCATTCAATCCTTTTTTTTTTCCGTCAGGGAAGTTGAGACAAATTGTTCACTTCTTTTAATAATCCTCTGAGCACTGTTCCAGATATTCTTATCCCTATTTCCCAGAGGAGACCAGAGCAGAGAGAGGTTAAGTATTTCAGTATTTCTCAGCCGCAGAGCTTGGACTAGAATCCAAGACTGTGTGGCTCCAGAGCCCACTCTTGACTTCGATAAGTCCTGCCTTAGTCAGAACTAGTGGGATACTCCTGCTTAGGAAAGAGGTGGGACTTTCTGGAGCCAAGGCCGTGTCCCACAGGAGGCACTCTGATGGGACGGTAGACACTGAGGCAGGCTGATGGTGGGTTGATGTTCTGGTTTGTTGGGGAGAGGAAGTTCTTTTGGTTTCCTTCAGATTATTGCTAAGGGCCTTCCAGGCAACCAACCAACCAACCAACCAACCAACCCATCAACCCTTTCTTTTCAAGGGACATGACTATGGGTGGGTCTGAAAAGACAGGTGCTTTGTGTGTTGAAAATCCTGAGGCAGAGAGCTCTGTTTGGCAGTGAGTGTTCCAGACAGAGGAGATTCTATAGAGACAAGGAACTCCCCCTTCCACACTCCAGCCCTGTCTCAACCCTACAGCCTGTCCCTACCTGGGTGCTGTGGAGGCAAGTTGATAACATGGACCCTCCGAAAGCTGCCAGCCTTGGGGATCAAATGCCTGTGAAATAACACGCAGGCATCACATGTTTGTTGAGTGGAGACAGAGATGCCACGTCCTGGTCCTTGCTCTCTAGAGCTTCCAGTCTCCTAGCAGGATGGGCATATACACTGGGGAAACTATCCCATGGAAAGAGCATCGGGGAGCCTGGCCCTGTGGCCCTGACGAGAACTCTGTGTGACTTGGACAAGTCACTCACCCTCTCTGATCTTGGTTTCTCACCTGTGAAATGAGAAAGTTAGAATTGATCACTGGGTTAAACCTTGTTTTTCCTCTTAAAATTAGCTGTAATGAAATCCAACACAGAACTCTGCTATAAAAAGTAGAGCCACTCTGCTTGTGAGAGGCGGGAGCCAACCTTCTCTGGTTTCTTCCTCTTCCTTCAGGATGATCCCCAAGGGCGGCTCTCAGTGTCTTTCACTGAAGGCATGACCCTCATGGAGCAGCTCAGGAATGGCCTCACGAGGCAGTCCCCGAGGGCTTGAAGGCTAGAAGGATTTTGATGAGTGAAGGTGTGGGGAGGGCACACCGGGCAGGAGGTGCTGTTTGAGAAAAGATGCAGACAGGGAAGAGCCAGCCTGGCTGGGGGTGGGAAGTGCTGGAGGAGAGGGAGTGCAAAGAACCCAAGAAAGAGCCCTAAGGGGATGCCCATGGGAACTTCACCAAGGGGAAAAATGATATCTTCAACTGGGAACTCAAGTCCAGGCCCCCTTCCTACAGAGATGGGTGGGGTGTATACTCTGCTGTGAGGGGAGGGAAAGAACCAGCATCAAGGAAACGATACAGTGTCCACTTTGGAGGTTGCTTTAATGGTGAAATTAGTGAAGCTAGCTAAAGCCTCAGGACAGAAGGAATGCTACATAGGCATTTGTTAAATACGGTCATACCAGAGTGGACCCTGAGGTTGCCAAAGGTCTGCATCCCTCCTGGCCTTGGGCCCAGTGCTGGTGGTGATAGCTTAGAATTTCAGCAGCTTCTATGCTCAACAGTTACAGTGATTATGAGATGTGTGTGTACGTGTGTGTTGGGGGCATGTGGCTGCAGGTGTCTTTCAGCCACCTTCTAACATGCATGCTAGTGCACACACACACACACACACACACCCTCTCTTAGTCTTTTCTCTGGAGCTGGTGCACTCCTCACCACCCCCACCCCTTCATCCTCCATATCCCCACCCCATCCCCTTTGCTTCAAGTCCATACCTTGCTCAGCCTTCTTCCTCCCCTCTCTCTGAGTCCCTGGTCCTCCCACCCACCATAAATCTGTAACTCGGGAGTGTGTGTGTAGCGGGGAGGGGGTGGAAAAGCAGCAAACCAAACCAACCCCAGCTAATGAAAACGGCGATAAATCTCTGTCTATCAGGTTTGTTGTGAGCACAAACATTGCCAAACAAGGGCCCAGATGGCCTGCAGGCCCTCCTCCCTACGGTCTGCAGAGCTTTAAATGGAAATGGTTGCTTTATACATCTATTTACTACTTGGAAATGGGGAATGACTGAGACCAGGGGTGCCTGGCCAGGAAATGGGGTGCAGACCAGGTGTGAGTTCTCTGCCCTCCCTGCCTGAGCAGGACTGCTGTCTAGTCCCCAGCCTTCACCATTCCTGTTCCTGGTGAGCTCTCTCTGACATAGGTCATTGGGCTGGAGTGGGGAAGAGGCTACCTTGCTGGCTGACATTCTGGTCTCCACAGCCTGGCCTCAACCTGCTCCAACACACACTCCTGGCTAGCTGGACCCAACTCCTCACTGTTGTTTTTAAAGTTCTTCATGTTTTGCCTAGAAGCTTTCCCTGTTTTCCATACGGCCTGCCCTGGATGGGTAGAAGTGGAAGCCTACCTGGTCTTTCAAGGCCAAGCCAAACCCCACCTCCTCCAGGAAGTCTCCCCATCCCTAGTCCTCTCTGGGCTCCATTCCTGTAGCATCAGCCACGGACAGCCTAGGCAGTCTTTACAAGACAACTGCTTTGGAGGTGGACAGGTCTGGGCACACAGCCAGGCTTTACCACTTAGCTAAGGGACCTTGACAGGTTAATCTCTCAGCCTCAGTTTCTTACTCTATGTAATAGGTATAATTATGATGCCTACTTCTCACCTGCCAAATAAAAATAAATAAATGAAGCAAGTGTCGAACGTGCTTAGCAAAGTGAGGAGCACAGTCTTAGAGCTTTGGACGTGTCAGCCTTTATTATTGGTGCCATCCAGTCATGACTGGGAATGATTCTTCTCTGTGCCTCATCTTTTCACAGAGATGTGCGCGTGTGTGTGTGTGTGTGTGTGTATGTGTATGTGTGCACGCGTGTCTCTGCATGTCCTAGTTTGGTTTCTCCTGAAATCAGACCCTGAGACAAGAACTTGGGTGCAGGTAGTTTACTGAGGAGGTGATCCCTGGAGGCTGGAGGGAGGGAAAGGGGAAGTGAGATAGGGATGGGTTAGGAGAAAAGCCAGTGAAGAGTGGTTAATGATCGAGTTTCATTGTGGGCAATGGGGGCCCACTGAGGAACTGTGAGAACACACCATGGAATTGTCCCACGGAGTTCCAAGGCAGCCAGGTTGCTTATCCACCCATTCTTATCTCTTATTAATAACTTGAGGGTTGCCCCTGCAGTGCTAAATCCCAGCTGTCCTGTGGGCTGAGTAAAGCTCTCTTGGTCCCTGCACTGGAGAAACTCTGCAGGTGAGAAGCAGAAAGGCTGCTTAGGGTGGACAATTCCTGGGCTTGCTGACACCTTCCCATCACGGTGGCAGATGAGTGGAGAAGTGGGCTAGAGGACACGGGGTGAGGCACAAACAGCATCCTCTGCTGAATCATCACCTTTCAAGCCCTGACAGCCTTCAGCATGGCATTTTGCACACAGTAGGCATGCTGTAAGTATCTGTGGACCAAAAGGAGGTTTGACATTAGAGCTGGGAAAACCTGGACTCTCCCCATTGCTCAGTTTTTAATTCATTGTGTGATGCTAAGCAACACATAGGATGACTCTGGGCCACATCGTCTATAAAATTAAGACCTTTCTACCTTCTCTGCTTATGCCATAGATGGGTTGGAACAAGCTAGAATGATGTTTGGGGAGTGCTCAGAACAGGTAAGAAGTGGCTGTGATGATGATGATGGTGATGATGGTGATGATGATGATGATGATGATGATGATGTGTGTAGGGGATGATCCAAGCAGGATCTAGGCATGATCCAAGCTTGAGGTACCTAGTTATGTTATTCACTCTGTGGTCAAAACACAAAGGTGTGTTCCCCTGGCCCTGGTGGGATGACTCCTGCCTCTTCCTATTCCAAGACAACCCCAAAGGTAAAAGATGGAAAAAGAAAAGGCCATGGGGTTAAGATCTGCTGACTCCTCAGTGAAAAGGATCCCACGTTTCCCTGCCTACCAGGGATAGCCTGTGGTTCCTTTTACCTGGGTCAGTAGTGGGTTTTTTCGGATGTCTGATGAGTGTAGAAACCATTTTGTACAGCAATCCCAAACTTGGCGGTGGGAGGAATGGGGGTGGGGGGGGTCTTGGAATCCCTAGGGAGCCCATGAATAACCCTTAAGAGTCCCTAAGTCCCTAAAAATTATAAGTAAAAAATGGCCAGGCATGGTGGCTCACACCTGTAATCCCAGACTTTGGGAGGCCGAGGTGGGGCGATCACCTGAGGTCAGGAGTTTGAGACCAGCCTGGCCAACATGGTGAAACTCTGTTTCTACTAAAAATACAAAAATTAGCCTGGTGTGGTGGTGGGCACCTGTAATCCCAGCTACTCGGGAGGCTAAGGCACAAGAATGGCTTGAACCCGGGAGGCGGAGGGTGCAGTGAGCCAAGATGGCGCCACTGCACTCTCGTCTGGGAGATAGAGCAAGACACCATCTCAATATATATATATATATATATATATATATATATATATATATATATATATATATATATATTTATATGTAAAAATGGAGTGCTTGAGGATACGTGTACACATAAGCCACTCTAAATTGGTGACCTAAAGCTTCCAGCAAATTCTCAAAGGAGTTTGTGACCCAAGAAAAGTAGATTTGCTCTATCCCAAATCTCCCATCTCAAAGAGGAGGACACTGAAGTCCAGAGAGGGTAAGCGACCTGCTGGGTCACACAGTAGAGGCTGGATAGAAACCAAGGTCTCTAACCCTGTGTGGCTTTGTGGGTCTGCTAGGCAGACCTAAACAGTTAGGTCTGCCTGGCTGCACAACCAGAAAAGCAGGCTGGTTCACCAGGACACTGTGCTGAGAGTCCATGGCACATTACAAAGTCTCTACTTGCTCCTGGGGGGAAACATCTCAAAGGCATGATATAGTCACTATTTTCTGGGGATGAGGTTGAGCACTGAGCTGTATTTCCATGGAAAACAGAACAAGGAAAAACTAGACCAAATGCGGAAAGAAATGGAGCCCTCTGTTACCGAGAAAGAGGGCTGGGGCAGGGAGCGCTCTTAAAACTCAAGTGAAGCTTGGGCACACTGGCAGGCCTTAGTTTCCAGAGGCAGAGATGGAAATGATAATCATACTTACCCCTCTAAGTTGTGAAGATTAAAGAAGATGATGCAAGTGAAAATGGCTTATAAATAGGAAAGCAGTACACAAATGCTAGTAATGATCTTTACAGCAGCGGCCTGGTAAATACTTGTTTTGCTGCTGGGAATAAATTGTATATCACCTAGATGTCATTACCCAATTCCGGACAACTATACCATTGTCCTTCAAGCCGTTGCAGCCTACTGTTGGAGCGAGAGCCCTGGTTTTGAAGTCAAGCCTGAATCTGCACCTCAGCTCCACCACCTGTGCACGTGTGTGACTTTGGATAAATCATGTAACTCTCTCAGCCTCGAATTGTCCATCTGCAAAACAGGGACACATGCCTACCTCATAAGGTCATAATGATTTGATGAGTTGGTAAAAATGAAAATATCTATAATGGTGACTGGCACACAATAGTTACTCAATAAACATTAGCAATTTTTTTCCTGTTCCTCAACAGTTTCTAACTTTGGATAGTTTGTTTGCTGCGTAGTTTCTGTCTCTCTTCTCCACTAAAATGTAAGCTCTGCAGCACAAGGACGTGCCTGTCTTGTTTACCGCTGTGTTTCCCAGGCTGGGCACACAGTGTGCTACAGATATTTGTGAAATGAATGAGTGGAAGTGCAAAAGCACGTTTTTAAAGGATGGGAAGGAACTCTGACAATGTGAGAATGCTCACATTGGATCAGCCCCAAGGGGGACCCGGAGCTGTGCCAAGAACCCTATTAGGGGTCAAGAGAGTTGGCCTCTGGTCCTAGCTCTGCCGCTCAACTGCTGAGCCACCTCCGGGCAATTTGTTGGCCTTCTCTGGCCCTCTTTGTGTTTCCTCCAGAGCGTGGGAGCCCTAAGACTCCAGGGCTTCCCTCTTAGAGGCTGACCTCCAAGGAGCTCTGGCCAGCTGGGAAGTGTGGGATTTCGGGATAATTCAGGGACTAAATGAAGAGAAAGGAGAAGTGGGAGAGGATAAAGACCGGGAAGGAAGAAAAGTCAACGCGTGGCTGCGGCGCTGGGCAGCTACGGGTGGGGGTAGATTGGGGGAAGGCCGCGCTGGGCCAAAGCACGGAGCTGCTGTGCGCTCCCCCAAGCATGTCTCCGCCGCGGCTGATGCGCCCGAGCCTCCGCCTGCCCCTCCCTTCCTTGAGCGCCTCGCCAGTTCCCGCCGTCACTGACTTTCTGACTTCTTAACTTGTCAGCAAATCCCAGAGTTAAAAATGCACACGCACCCCGGCCAGCCGCCAGCAGGGCCGTCTGGCCGAGGCTCCAGATGTGGGGCCACCGCGCGGGCCGCCCGCCCCGCCGCGCAGACTAAACAATCGGCCTTGGCCGTGAGCGCAGCGCAATTCCAGATGCCGCGTCCCTCGCGCCGCGCGCTAATTGGGCCGCGGGCGCGAGGCTCTGTCAGCGCCAGTAAGGCCCTGCCCAGGGCGGCCTTGGCCGGGCGCCCGCCCGCTGGGCTACCTAAGGCGGGGGCAGGGTGGAGAGATGGAGGGGAATAGTGGGGCGGGGGGGGGTACGAAGGAGGGAGAGAGAGGAGGGAGGAGAGGAGGAGGAAGACGAGGAGGAGGACAGAAGAAGACACAGTGAGACAGGCCACGAGACAGCGTCAGCTTGAGACAGAGAAACACGAAGAGGGGCAGACAGAAAGGGACAGAGACATTCTCAGAGAGATAGCTTCAGAGACAAAGAGAAAGCCAGAAGCACTGAGCCATATTCAGATTCAGAAGGAGACAGAGAAGGTAGAGAGGGAGAGAGACCACAGAGATTTGGAGTAACAGAGGCAGGGCAGACTGACACGAGAACAGAATCAGGAGAGACCAAGACAACGAGAAGGAAACCAACGTGGACGCGGCCGGGAAGAACGCAGGCGGTGGGAGCACAGGAGACGCTCATGTTTACCACCGGGTCGCAGCTGCCTGATGGGTGTCTAACCCCTTTTGTTTTATAGTACCTCCTCCCTTTACATTCTCACTTTTTATCATTCTTCCTAGACCCGGGCGAAGCCGGGAACTGAGCCCACCCGCGCGGTGATCCATTCCTAGTCTGGCTGGGGGACTGCGTAGAGAAGGAACCTGAGCCGTCGAGATTTCACTCCTAAGCCTGGGCTTGGGGACAGGGGTTCGCCCTGGACACTGCGGGAGGGTGCGGGATGGGGCTCCGTGGGGATTTGCCTAGAGGCAGGGGATGCCCCAAATGACCCCTGTAGGGCCCGCCCCCAGGCAGCCACCTCGGCAGCACCCTCCTTTCCTATGCGCCCTGGGGCCTCTTCAGCTCTAGAGACAGGAGGATGACTCAACACAGGTTAGTCAAGACCCAGGGCAGGGAAGCCCACCGGGGACCACCCGGGGGAGCCCCCCAGCCTCGCGTTCTGCCCCCGCTGGGAGGCCCGGGCGCCCCGGGGGTGAGGGCGGAGGGCAGTGCGGCGGCCCGGCGGCTCTTGGCGGCCCCTCTCTGACAATCTTTCCTTTGTTTGTTTTCTTAAATCTGGGAGGCCCGAATTCCTGCCGGATTCCGTAGGTTTCACTCAGGAAGGAGGCGCCCCCACCCCCACCCCCTCTCACGTCGGACTCGGCTGCAGGGGGAATGGCAGGTTCTTCCCGGAGGCCAGCGGCGCGCAGCCCCACGGCCCGGGCAGGGCGAGCGGGTGCCCGGCGCGGCGGAGAGTCCCGGGCGCCCTTCCCGCGCGCGCCACCGCGCAGCCCCGCCGGAGGGCCGCGGGCAGCCTCGGCAGAGAAAATTACAAGAAAAAAAAAATCAAACCAGGAGCGCTTTAAAACACACAAAGAGTAGCCCTCCCTCCACCCAGCTTCATTCCACACCCCATCCACCTCTCACACTCCCCCACCCCTTTTTTATTTTGGTCTCCAAACTTGAGCCTCATTAATTTCCAAAAAAAATTTCCCCCAATAAAAGGCAAACATGGAAAGAAAAACAAACTATTAGAAAATAGAGGAGGGAGGAAATGTTATTTAAAAGGTTAGCAGACCGCATCATTTTCCAATGATATTATATACTCCCAGCAGTATCCAAAATATATATGGGCCCTGGGCCAAGAATGTAAAAAAACTTTTTTTTGAAAAAACCCTTACTTAGACACAACATCTGGACCGGAGAGCGAACAAACCCCCCATTTATCACACTTAATCCTCCAATGAAGCAATCGACAGTTGACTTCTGTTTTGCTAATTTAGTTGCTTTCAAGCGCCGGCCCAGTCCAGACCGGGAATTAAGTGTCACTTGCGGAGGGCCTGCCCTGCCCCCGGCCGTCTTCGCTCCCTCCCGCGCCCAGGCTCTCGGATAGGGAAAAAAGGCCATTAATGAAGAAAGAAACTTTTTACGAATTCCCTTTACCCCCGCCCACTCGGGTCAGTGAAAACCTCGACTGTGACCTAGCTCTGTCCCCCGCCCAGTACCCGACACCCACTTCCTTGGCAGCCACGCCCCCACCCGCCAGCTGCCTCCCCCCAAGACTCGGTGGAGCAAGGCCTCAGCAGGCACAAACTCTTGCAGCTCCAGGAGGTCACCCAGCTCACCGCCTTCTCCGCGGGTTGGCTAGGTGTTGTCATCCTCGTACCTGGCACTGCCTGGTGGCCTGGCAGCTTGACCCTTAGGCCTGGAGAAGGCAGGGGAGGGTCGTGGTGCTTGGCGGTAGGGAGCTTCCATTACCCTCGCCCCGGAAGTGGATGAGAGGCAGCAGCTCCTGAGGTGGAGGCCCTTGGCCAGCAGTGTCCAGAGACAATGGGATCTTGTGAGATTGCAAGCGGGAGAGAGAATAAATCAGGGAAAGTGTATCATTTGAGGATTAGTCAATAAATCCCTGGGACCCTGGCCCAGTGGGGCTGGTGCCAGAGGCAGGGCTGGCCCCAAGTGCAGACTTCCTTCCTCAGCAACCTTCCCTTCCCTTCCCAGAGGCCTCCTGGGTCTCTCTCTCCTCACCTCTCTCTGTCCATCTCCATGGCTCCTCTCCTAAACTTTGGAGCCCAAGGCATAGCCTTTTGTCCTTCCTCTCCCCCTTGCTGGAAAAAGTTCTACAACGGAGCAGAGAAGGTTTGAAGGTGTCCTCAGGCACCTGCAAACAGAAGAGGCTGGAGAATGTGTCCCAACTCCAGCCTGCCCGCTCCTGTTCACTCTGATCCAGCCCACCCCCCAGTCCGCAGCTTTGAGCCCTGGCAGAGTCCACAGGAACAGCCTGCACTCCTAAAAGAGGCCCCCAGTACCCTGAACCCCAGTCCTCTGCAGGCTCTCATGGTGGTCTGGCTGGGCCTCAAACTTCTTGGGATGGGGCCCTGAGTTCTGGCCGCAATCCAAATGCAGTCTCAAACCTCCTGAGTCCATCCTCTAGGCCCATGGAAGCCTCGTATCTGGAGCACCCTCCATACTCACTCCAAAGGGCACTTATGAGGGCATTTAGTATATTCCAGGCAGTGTGCTAGACTCAGGACATTTGGAGACTAATGAAACTCTCTTCCTGCCCCTCCCTTGGACCTAAGCCTCTACTGGGTTTTATTTTCTGTTCATATGGGGATACCATATTACCCAGCTATACTCCTTCCATAACCAGTTATTGAGCACCTGCCATATGCCAGACACTGTTCTAGGCACTGGGGGTTCAGAGCTGAGCAAAGGCCATTTCTGCCCTCCAACTTGCCAGGGAGACAGACATGCTGACAATTAATTCCAAGACTAGGCCAAAAATAAGGGGCCATGGGAGGCATTTATAAAAGCCTCAGAGGAGGGACTGACTCACCTTGGCTGGGATAGAAGGAGGGGTGTTGGCCGAGTGCAGTGGCTCATACCTGTAATCCCAACACTCTGGGAGGCCGAGGTGGGCAGATCACGAGGTCAGAAGTTCAAGACCAGCCTGGCCAAGATGGTGAAACCCCCATCTCTACTAAAAATACAAAAATTAGCCAGGTGTGGTGGCGGGTGCCTGTAATCCCAGCTACTCGGGAGGCTGAGGCAGAGAATTGCTTGAACCCAGGAGGAGGAGGTTGCAGTGAGCTGAGATTGCGCCACTGCACTCCAGCCTGGGTGACAGAGTGAGACTCTGTCTCAAAAAAAAAAAAAAAAAAGAGGGGGGCTGTGATGGATCACAGTGTGGTGGGGGTAACCTCATCACTGTAGCTCTTAAAGCCCATCCTGGGGGACCGTACAGCCTAATGGTTAAGAGCAAATGGTGTGGTTTAACTTCCTGCTCTGCCACATCAGTTGTAGGACCTAGGGCCTCTTAGTCTCTCTGAGCCTCAGTGTCAACATCTGAAAAAATGGGACTAACAGTAGGAACTGCCTTGTGAGTCTCTGACACAGTAACATGGGGCAAGCAGCTGGCATACAGCAACCTCTGACTGAATGTCCACTTAATTAGCCTTCTTTCAAAGTATTCGAATAAACTAGCTTGTAGCCTCCTTGCCACCCTCTTCTTGTCCTCCTCCTCAACTTGAGGGCCTGGCACAGTGCTAGGCACATAGAGTAAGTGGTGGAATAAATCAATGGGTACAATAGAAAGCCCATCAAACCTTGGCTCAAGTGCTGCTAGGTAGACAAGCAGTGGGCCTGAATGTTCCATTTCTTTGTTCTGATACCTGGCCATAGGCTGGGTGGGCCACGATGGCTGTTCTTCTTGCTCCCACATTTCCAGAAGTCAGGCAGAGTATGACCCTCTGAAGCCCCCTTTTCTCTGCTCAGTAGAAAGTCAAGAAATGTCTTCTAGCCTGGAGCCATCATTCTGTGACTCTGGTTTGGGCTGAGTCTTGACTTGCTGTGTAACCCCGGGCAAGACATGTCCCTCTCTGGGCCTTGGACTCCTTATAGGTGAAATGAGTAGGTTGGACTGGATGCTTTCCATGCTCCTCTGCAGCCTTTGTGTTTGATGTCTGCTTCTTCTTTCAGCTGGGGGAACCTCATCGTCCTTGCCAGAGCCTGCTTACCTGGAGGTGTGGTTTTGTGCTCTCCCATTTCCCATCTGCTTCTTGGCTTTTCTTTTCTTTTCTTTTCTTTTCTTTTCTTTTTTTTTTTTTTTTTTTGAGATGGAGTCTCACTCTCACCCAGGCTGGAGTGCAGTTGAGCGATCTCAGCTCACTGCAACCTCCGCTTCCTGAGTTCAAGTGATTCTCCTGTGTCAGCCTCCCGAGTAGCTGGGATTACAGGCACATGCCACCACGCCCAGCTAATTTTTTGTATTTTTAGTAGAAATGAGGTTTCACCATGTTGGCCAGGCTGGTCTTGAACTGCTGACCTCCAGTGATCCGCCCACCTTGGCCTCCCAAAGTGCTGGGATTACAGGCTTGAGCCACCGTGCCTGGCCTTGCCTCTTGGCTTTTCACTGTGGTGTCCCTGTCTTTTTCCCTTCTTGCTCCCCTCAGCTATCTTCCTCTCTTTCTCTCTCTTATTCTGTCCCAGCGTGTGAATAGTATGTGGATGAACTGATGATGCTTAACTTTCTCCTGGGCAGCTTTCCCCTCCCACCTCTACCCGGCTTCTTGACCCCCAAACACAATCTGGGCCTGAGGAGCAGACCTCTCCATCTGTCCTCTTGCCTGGGCTTCTGTCCCTGAAGACCTTGGTGGTGCCCTGACCCTTGACTTCTGACTTCTGAGAGAATGGGAGAATGGCATCCCAGCTGGACCAAGACAGTGCCTAATATGGGTCTTCTGTCCCTAGAGATGGACAGGCTTTATATTCCCTCGCCGCCCTCCCCCCAAAGTCCCAGGCTCAGGGAAGGGGACAGGAAACTTTTTCTAAGTCTAGCTGACACTCAGCCCTGGAACCCACCTCCTTCACAATGCCATCGCCCACCTCTGAAGCTGGGAGAACCCCTTGACAGATGGGCCTGAGGTTATGATCGTCACTAAGGAACCACTTACTGTCAGGAACCATTTCCAGAGAACTACTGTGTGCCAGGTACTGTGCTATGAGCCAAGAGGAGGGGTCTGTGTTGGGGTAGAAGGGACTGGGGGTGGGACAAAAGCTGGGGGGAATCCCCAAGAAGGGCATCACTGCCAAGCCTAGGGCTCGTGGGCAGAGGGTTTGGCAATGCCTGTGCGTGGGCCCAGTTGGAGTGGCACCTGAGATGGAGCCAGGCCTTGGAGGCAGGTAAACAGGACGCTGTGTGCTGGGTGTGGTGAAGGGAAGGGGGATACAGGGGCACAATGGACCATTGTGTGCTCTGGAGTTGCCTTCACTTCTGGACTCTCTACAACCCTCCCACTAGGCTGTACAAATATTGAGACATATGGAAGATGTGGTCATAGATACCAAGACAAATGGAAGATGATAGTCATCTGCTTTTGGACTCTTCTGCTCTTGCCTAGACCACAGTGGACCAAGGGGTTGTGGTGTGTGCTGCGTGGCCCCGCAGGAGGGCAAAAGGAGGGAGCATTTGGCTGCTGGGATGTGGTTGACAGAGATCTAATCAAGTCTGGTGACGGGGCTGTGGCCTCAGCTGGGCCACTAGCTAGCTGTGTCTGTCTTTAGGAAAGTCACATTACTGCTCTAACCCTCAGTTTACTCATCTGTAAGATGGGATAAGGATTACCCTTGCTCTGTCTACCTCACAGTGATGTGTGGCATTGTGACAGAGCCTTGGTTGTTGTTAAGGGGTGTACACAGGGCAGAGCTGGTTGTTCTTGCTTCTGTTGTTACTCTGCTGCAAGATCCTTTTTGCCTGACAAACCTCCCCTCTGGGTTCAGATGTAGGCAGAATTGATGGGTACCCATGTGGGACTATTGAGAGACCTAAGGACAGGAATCAGGACTTAAATTCTCTAAGTGTTCAGCCAACCAATCTTCATTCATTCATCATTCATTCAGTCAACATACATTTTTTTTGAGCTGCCTCTCTTATGTCAAGCACTTTGATGCCCTGGGCCTTTGAAGATGAATAAAGTATGTTTCTTGTCCTCAGGGAACTCCCAATCAGCTGGGAAAGGGGCTGAACACACACACACACAGCATTAACATACAATAATAACGAGTATTTATTGAGCACTTACTATGTGCCAGGAATGGTTCTAAGTACTCTATATACATTAATTCATATAATCATTTTCATTTTGAAGATGAGGAAACCAAAGCACAGAGAAGGTAAGCAACTTGCCAAAAGTCTCACAGCTAGGAAGGAACAGAACCAGGATTGACCCCAGGCAGTCTGTCTAGAGCCTGTGTTCTTAGCCAGTAACTAGTACACACAACATGCATGAACCTACACTAACAAGGGCAAAAGAATAGTAAAGAGAAGAGTGGGCTGAGCCTCTGAAGAAATGGAAAAGGAGAGGAGGGATTGGCTATAGTCCAGCTTCCACTAGGGCAGGAGAAGGTGAAACAGGCTTGACTAAGCTGGACAGATTTGCGATGTCTCAGACAGGAGGTCCTGGGATGGGTTTCCAAGGCAGGAGGCTGAGTCAGGCTTCTTTGAAGGCGGCAGAGAGCTAGTTGGGATAGATTCCCTGCCAGCCCTCTGCTTGAGGTCCTTTCCAGCCCAAAGCTCTGTGAGGGAGAACTTTGGAAGGTTCCTGGTAGGAGAGTGTGACACCTTCTCCACATATAACTTGAGTTTCCCAATTCCAAACTCCATTGGGCCCTTGCTCCTTCTCTGGGCTGTAGTGTGCTGGGAGCTGGGAGTTATTAAGTAGGACTGAGTGTGCCAGGAGATATTGCTCAGGGAGCAAGTGATGGAAATTCACCTCCAACTAGTTTAAGCAAAAGGAAGGGATTTATTGGCTCAAATAACCAGGAAGGATAGGAGTGTGTGTGTGTGTGCGTGTGCATGCACGTGCATGCACATGCATTGGGGCAGGGGGCAAAGTTTAGGGACTGCCATGCCTCAAAAGATATGTTCAGCTTTCTCTCTTGCATTCTTTCTTGATCTCATTCATATGGTGGCTATGCTTTTTGGTGTGTGATAGCCTCATCTTTTTGTTTTGTTTTGTTTTTCCTGTTGCAATTGATCTTCCTCTCTAACTGCAGTTGGGGCGTGGAGAGGGAGAGGGAGGTCAAGACTTCTCTCATCTGCTGGAGGGCAGAGAGAGGTGGGTAGAAGAGCCTGGCAGCAATTTCATGCTCACATCTCAGAAGAAAGAGAGGATTTGCTATTCCCAGCACCCTCCATCTATAACATTTTAGCGAAGAGCTCCTTTTGGCCTAGATTGGGTCATGTGCCCACCTTTTGGACAAATCAGGTGTCCAAGAAAGTTATGTTTGACAATTGGCTAGACCTGGCTCATGGGCCCACCCTGAGGCCAGAGGAGCTGGGGAGTTGTAATTGGCAGCCCCACAGAATTGCATGGAAGAGAGGAGCAGGGGTTCAATGAAGAAAGGGTTGTAGTTATCAAAAGTAGACAAGGCTGTCCACAACAACACCCTCTCTCTCCCTCCCTGGCCCCTACCGCAGAGGACAGAGGAAGCAGTAGAATAAACTTAGCACACCTTCTTGGAGCTTCCATTTTATCTCAAGATTTTGGGGGAACATTTTAAAATGACATTTAAAACATTATTTTAATTTATAATACACATAGTTATACTATGGAGTAAAATTCAAAGCTCATAGGCTTTTAAGATAAGATGCAAGATGTCAAAAAAGTTTTGGACTTGTAGGAGGCTGTTTTTCTTATAGAATCTCCCCTTCCTCCTCCCTCTATATTTGTTCAAGCTCCCCTGATGTTAAGGATACCTGGGCAGCGATGGATTTGGGGCTGGAAAGTTGGAGATGCACTAGAAATGGAAATAACATGGATTTTGGTGCCAGACAGATGAAGCTTAGAATCTTGCCTACCATTTTCTAGCAGTGTGATCTTAGGAGAGTCACATCCTCTCTCTGAGCCTGTTTGCTCCCCTGTGAAATGGGTACAATGATGCTTGGTTGGTAGAGAAGTGGTGAGAAGGAGTATGTGACCTAATGCTGAAACACACAGCCCGGTGCCTGGCTTGAGGGAGACACTTTGTAAATGTGAGCTCTCATTTCCCTCCTTCTTGTGTCTGCAGGTTCTGCAGGCCAGCCCTGGCAGTCCAGAGCCCTAGGACCTGAGGAAGGGGACCCCTCACATGGCCCCAGCTAAACCTCTACCAGTCTTGGAAGAAGACTTATGAGTTGCTCCTCTTGCGAGCTATAACTGTAGATATGGGCATGGCGATAGCTGGCCTTGCCACCTTGTAGATACTGAATAGGCAATTAGTGCTTTACTGGTGTAACATTAGCCACTGAGGAGCAGTTCATTGTCCCATTTCCCCAGAGCTCCTGTAATAACTTCTTTTGTGGTATATATTACCCAGCACCACAGTGATGCGTTTACCTGTTTATAAGTCTCTTGCTGCCACCCGTTTGTGAATTCTTGGAGGCAGGAATTGTTTTCTATACCTCTGTTTCTCTGGCGCTCCACACAGAAGTTGGCACGGAGTAGGGGCCCAGTGATGGACTGAAGAAGGAATGAGTGGGCACACCTGCTGCACTGAGGTGCTTTTTGTCCAGGTAACAACGGTTACTACCACTGTTTATTGAGCCATTACAATATATCAGGTATGTCCTGAGAACTCTTTCATTTTTAAACAATAACCCTTAAAACAACCCTATGTCTTAGGAACTATAATTTGCCTCCATTTTATTTATTTATTCACTTATTTATTTAAGACAGAGTCTCTCTCTGTCACCCAGGCTGGAGTGCAGTGGTGCGGATCTCGGCTCACTGCAACCTCTGCTTCCCAGGTTCAAGCGATGCTCCTACTTCTGCCTCCCAAGTAGCTGGGATTACAGGCATGCACCAGTACGCCCGGCTAATTTTTGTATTGTTAGTAGAGACAAGGTTTCACCATGTTGGCCAGGCTGGTCTTGAACTCCTGACCTCAGATGATCCACTCTCCTAGGCCTCCCAAAGTGCTGGGATTATAGGCGTGAGCTACTGCGCCAGGCCCTGCCCTGCCCTCATTTTAGAGGTGAGAACCTGAGGCCCAAAAAGCGTTAAGGAAATTGACCATGGTCACCTGGCCTGAACGTGGCAGCATCAGAATGCGAGTCCACTTCTGTTAGATGTCAAAGCCAGGGAACCAAACGTCTATGTGCTTCTGTCTTCCATTTCAGGTTATACGGAGGGGTGGAGAGAAGAGAGCTAGGGTATAGAGAAATTCTTAGGAATAAAGCTGAAATGGGGGGTCCACTAGAGACAGAAAGGCTTGGTGATCAGAGATGATTCAGGGTGGGGCTTGGGGGGGAAATGGAGGGGGACTCTTGGGGCTGAAGGTCATGGGGAAGTTCAAGGGGACTTTGGGTTTGGGGAAACTGGGTTGGTGGTCAAATACTGTAGGGGGAGGTGTCAGGGCAGTGGCTTCCCCTTGGAACTGGCTGGAGACAGAAGCAGCCCCTTCAGGTTGTTTTCAAGCGGGATTGGGGGTGTTTAATATTAATAGTAATGACTGTGGTGGGAAGATAATAGGCCTCAGTCAGATGAGAAGGGGGTAAGCGCTTATCTATGGCTGCCGAAGACACATGTCTTTCACCTGCTCCTTTAATATCCCCCTTCTTTCATTCCACCGCCCACCCCCTCCCACCAGCCTAGAACAAAAGGGGTATTATGGGCCGGGGTGTTTTCAGGCTGCAGCCAAGGAGACCTCCCCTTCCCCCTCTGCCTCCCCCCGCCCAGTTTGAATGAGGCTTTTTCCTCCCGCAGGAGATTAGCTCCGTTTGACAAGGCAGTGAACTTTGGGAGGGGTGAGTGGGGGTCTCCTCCGGGAGCCTCTGGAGTGCAGCCCTGAAGAACGAATGCTGCCGGAGAGAGACCCCGAGAGACAGCCACGAAGACAGACGCACGGAGTCAGCAGCAGGCAGACAGACAGACACAGAGCAGGAGGCATCGAGGTAGAGTTAGATTCTTAGATACAGGGACACACACACACACACACACACACACACACATGCACATTCTTCAGGATGTTGGAATAAGCAGGGAGAGACAGGGAGAGACACACACGGAGAGACAGACAGACACACAGACATCCACAAAGAACAAAGGGACAGAGAAACACACATACATGGACTCTTGCCACCAAATAGTCTGACCCAGAGAGAAAGAGGCAAAGGCAGAGAGAGAGTTGAGGGGATAGAAGACATAAAGAAGGAGACACCAAAGAGACAAATAGGATGAGAAGAAAGGAAATGCAAGAAGAAGGAAGTGAGAAAGTGAAATTGTCAAGAGGCAGGGGAAAAAAAGGAGACCCAGAAGGAAAGTTGTAAGAAGGCTGCTGAGCCCTTGACCTTCCTGAGTCTGCCCCTACTGACCCTGGCCTTGGACCCTGAGGAGTTAGGCCACCCTAGAGTGGGCATTTGCATAGCTTTGGAGGACTAGGGGTGGATATGGAGCTTGGGGTGAGAGAAGGAAAGAGACTGGGAGTCTCCCAGTCTCCAGACTGAGAGACTGACACGGAGATAAAGGTAGTGTGTTAAGACAAGAGGTGAGTAGAAAATGCCCACAGGAAATGTGGATTTCCTTGATAAGATAGCCCCAGCCTCTGAAGGGACTGTCTGATGGGCATGAGCAGGTGTGGAGGGGATGTGTTGGGGAACAGGGTTCTTTTGGGGGCCATATAGAAAGAAGGCTCATCACTTCTGCTGGTGGCCAGATGGAGAGAGGAGGAAAACCAAAGGCCACTTCCGCTATCACTATGACTTCCAACACTATCCTCCTGGTGGAGAGATCCAATGGCATGGACCATTGGCATGAGGGAGCTGGGCTGTTAGACCCAGACACTCCTGGGTTCAAATCCCTGCTCTGCCACTATGTGACTTCAGGTAAGGGACCTAACACATGTTAATCCCACTTTCCCTATCTATAAAATGGGAATAACATAAGTGTTTTCCATATGGGTGGCTGTAAGACTCAAATTACAATAAAGTATTTAGCGCTATCAGAGACCCAGAGTAAGGATGAACATCTATTGGCTACTTATGTTTGCAGACCCTGTTCCAAAGCATCTTTCAGGTATTATTTCTTTTAAATTTCAGAACAATCCCTCCAATCATAGACTAAAGAACAATGTAAATCATAAACTGTTAAATGGTGGAGATATGATTTGAATGTGGACAGTTGAAGCTTAATCACCACTGCCTCTCACACTGGATACTACCCTTATTAATAAGAGACAGACAGTCCCAGTCTTCACCATTCAGAAGGAGCTCCCCAGCCTTTTTGGGAGGAAAAATGGAGTTTTATATACCTGAAGGGACTTGCAGTTCTTATGGGTGGAAGAGCAGGTGAGGCAGTGACGTGCTGGTAAATGTTCAACAGTTGGCTCTTCAGGAGGAAAAAAAAGCATTTGCCAATTTCTGTCCTGTAAATACTCCACCATGGCCAACTTCAAGCTACTAACGTGGCATTCACTGGGCCAGGAATTGGGAAAAGATGCCTGCAGTCTGCCCTGGCGAGCCCATGTGAACTGGCTCCCGCACGGCCCTGAGTAAGCGGGGCCCAAGTTGCCTGTGTGAAGAGATGACTTCAGTGTGCCCATCTTTCCTGGCTGCTGGGAGCTTCAAACCTCATTCAAGAGAGAAGGGGCACCTGGTACCTGCATTTTGTGCCAATGCCAGGGGCTGCACAGAAGGTTCCAGACCAATGTCACATGCTATGGAGTCCGTAGAAATTCAGAGGTGGGAGAGAGTGCTGGGGGCTGGCTGGTGGGATTGGTGTCTGTTTTGTGTAACCCTGTGTCCTCTGCAGTTGGGAACTCCTAGACACAGGAGTGGCCTCTTCTCCCCTGACCCCATCGTTTCTCCCCAGCCTTGGCCAGTCCTTGCACTCCCTTGCCCTCCGCAATGCCCAGAACACCCCTCTAGGTGCTGTGAGCTCCCAGTGTGTGGTAACAACAGTGCTGGGGGAGGCGTGGCACCAAAGACCTGTACCCCCTTCTTCTTTGGGGCCCCAAGTGCCTTCTGTGAAACCAAATACTCCCCCTAGTCGCCCACCCGGACACCTGACTCCCTCCTGAGGCCCACTCAGGGTGAAAGCCGTTTCCTGTCTGGGTCTTGGTAACCCCCTGAAATCCCGGCCTCCCTCCCCCGATCCCTTCCAAATGCTTATTAAGCCGTTTGCAAATCCAGGGCTGAACCGCGGCGTGAGTTTAATAAAGCAGAAGACAGATGCCATCCATCACGGGGCCGGGTGGGGCGAAGCGGGCTGATGGGCTCACACCCTTCTGGCTGCTTCTAGGTCAGCCAGCCACACATCCACACAGGCCCTTCTCCTTGTCCAGGACCTCCTGGCTGTAACCACTCTTCAGCTCACCTCCCTGTCACAGATCCTGATCAGAAGATCACTGGCCCATGGTGGACAGAGAATGGCCAGGAATCGGGAGGTCAGCCCAACCCCCGCATTCCACATGGTTGTCTGCAGCAGGCAGGACTGCAACTCGGGTGCAAAATTTAAAGGGAGGCAGGAACAAAACTTCAGTAACCAAGATAAATCATATGTTAATGCAATATTTTAAGAAATCAAACAATGCAACAAAAAATTCATGATGAGCAAAACCTTATAATTTTAAACAGACACAGGATCAGTCTCCTGGATTGTTCCTCTAATATCACTCATCAGGCATTGATAACGGCCCCCTCAAATTCAGCAGGTTCGATGTTCAGATGAACCTGGTCTGTTCCCAAGCCTGTTCCTTCTGTAGTCTTCCCACTTCAGGAAAGGCGATTCCTGACCAAAAAAACCGGAGTCATACCTGACTGCTCTCTTTTTCCCATACCCCACATGCAACTCTTAAGCCATCTCGTTGGCTCTACTTTCAAAATATGTCCAGAATCTGACCACTTCTCACCCCCTCTATGGTGGGCCCCTGGTTCCTGTCTTCACCTCCTCTCCCTGGGAGGACTGTGGGGCCCTCCTCCCTGGTCTTCCTGCATCCCCTTCCCCCATGGGGTACTCTTTCCACAGAGTGGCAGGAAGATACTGTAGAATTCAGACGGTGCCAGTCTTCTACTTAAACTGCACCCCTACCCCTGCTTCCCCATTGCACTGGGAGGAAGAGCCAGGCTCTTACAGCAGCCGCAGGGTCCCACATGATCTGCGCCTACCTTCTCTAACATGCCTCCTATTTTTCTTTCTCTTGCCATCAGTTCCCTGGACACAATTGGCAGGCTAAGCACACTCCTGTCTCAGGGCCTTTGCACTCACTATTCCCTCTGCTGACACTCTTACCCCAGATGCTCATACTGCACCTACCCCCCCGCCCCACCCCCATGACGCCCACTATTCCCCTGTGCTGTTTTTCACTTTTTTGTTAGTTTGCTCCTTGAGGACAGAGTTTATCCCCTTTGGGATTCCAGGGCTGGGCACTCAGTAGAGACGCAGTCCATGCTGTCTGCCAGCCCCACTGTGGCGTAGCCTTCCCCACACACTGGTCTTTGAATAGAAGTCTCATCATTAAAAGCACTTCCTGGCCGGGCATGGTGGCTCACACCTGTAATCCCAGCACTTTGGGAGGCCGAGGTGGGTGGATCATGAGGTCAGAAGTTCGAGACCAGCCTGACCAACATGGTGAAACCCTGTCTCTGCTAAAAATACAAAAATTAGCCAGGCATGGTGGCACGTGCCTGCAATCCCAGCTACTCAGGAGGCTGAGGCAGGAGAATCACTTGAACCCAGGAAGCAGAGGTTGCAGTGAGCCGAGATCGTGCCACTGCACTCCAGCCTGGACAACAAGAGCAAAACTCCATCTCAAAAAAATACAATACAATACAATACAATACAATACAATACAATACAATACAAGCACTTCCTCCTGCCTGTGTGCTAGCCTATGATTCTCATCTTGTTCCAAGCCCTGCAAAAGACAGCTCCTCCAGGAAGCCCAGCTCTTGGACAAGGTTGTGGGAACCAGAGGCAGAAGTGTGGTGCTGTGAAGGGCTCTGAACAGGAATCAAGAGCCCTAGGATTCAGTCCTGCTGTGGGTCCAGCTTGTTGTGTGTCCTTGGGCAAGTCACTTCTCTCTGGTCTTTAATTCCTCCTTTAGAAAAGAAAGTGTTTGAACCAGGTTCCTTCAAGCTCTGACCTTTTCAGATTTTAAAGTCTTCCGAAACTGAGAGCCTAATGTGGTCATCAGTGGAGTCAGATTATCTGGGCTCAAATCCTAGTACCACCATTTTTAGATGGGCCAAATAGATGCTCTAGACCTCTGTGGTGGCATCTGTAAAATGGTGACAACTGTAGTCCTTATGTCATAATATTGTTGTGAAAATTACTTGACAGAATGCATTGACGTACGATGGCTCAGAAAGTACCTAAAAGACTCAATAACTGTAGCTGGTTTCATTGCCATTAGTGATAGATGTGGAGAATTCCAGAGTGGTATAATTGGCTTTTTGTATTTTACCAAATACATATATTTATAAACAGCAGCAGGAAACCTTTTTTTCCAAGAAAATAAAATGGTGGGCTGGTCATGGTGGCTCATGCCTACAATCCCAGCACTTTGGGAGGCTGAAATGGGAGGATTGCCTGAACTCAGGAGTTTGAGACCAGCCTGGGCAACATAGGAAGACCCCATCTCTATAAAAATAATTTTATAAAATGGCTGACAAGGGGCCAAGGGAAGGCCTGTCTCTCAGCGTCTCGGCTCTGGGCTGCCCTGGTCCCTCTCAGTCTGGTCTAATATCCCAGACAATCTGTCGGATGCCTCTAGGCCTCCCTCCAAGGACTCCCACATCCTTATCCTCTGCACCCCAGCCTCCTCCCTCCTGCAGCACCTGGACCCAGCCCTCTCCACCAGTGTCCCCTGAGCCCGGGCTCCTGATCCCACAGAGACCCAGGCCTGGCTGCAGCTCGCCTTTCACACCCAGATGTAGGAGCGGGCGCGGGAGCCCTGCCTGGGGCTGGGCTGGGGGCCAGCGCAACATCTGGGATCGATTACCAACGGTGGCTGCGGAGTGGACTCCTCTGCCTGCCACTCACCTATCTGCTGGGGTGACAGAGGAGATGGGAAAGAGGTTTTCACAGCTGGAATAAATTGACGGGAAGTGGAGGGGGAGGGTCGAAAAGAGACAAAAAACAACATTGAACTCAAGATGGAAAAAAGACAGTATTAGAGGAGGTAATGAAGAAAATATGTGTGTGTGTGAGTGTGCCTGTGTTTGCACATAGAAGTGTGTCTGGGCAAGTGTGAATGTGTGTGCGTGTGTCTGGGGTACGTGTGAGTGTGTGCACCTATGTGCGTGTACACTCATGTGTCTAGGATAAGCGGACATGTGTGTTTGTTAGCAAATCAGCCAGGGTCTTTTATTTAGTGTTGTTTAGTATTTTGTTTATTTTGGGGACCGCCCACACCTACTGAAGACTGGGCAGAATGCCTATTTCTGGTCTCCCAGGACACACCAAGCTGGAGGAAAAAGGGGAAAGGGGGTTGAGGAAGGGGAACCTGGAGGAAGACAGGGAAGAAAGCAGGCAAGAATGAGCAAGGAGATACCAAGAGGGCAAGAAGGGAAAGGAAGTGGCAGAAGGGGAACAGCAGAAAAATACAGACCTCAGAAAAGGAGAAGAAAACAAGCCGAGTGACCCAGAAAACACCAGTGGCCTTGCCCTCAGCCCACCACCTGGTCCCTGCTCCTGCTGGACCCGGGCCCCAGAAGCTGTGTCCATCTGTGGGTGACAGCCAGGCCAGGCCTCTCTCCCTCCCTCTCCTCCCCCACCTGCTGACCCCACACTGCTCCCCTCGTCCCTCCCTCCTCCTCCCACTTTCTCCCTCCCAGCCCCCGCCACCACCTCTGAGGCCAGGCTGCAGGAATTCCCCTCCTTCCCCATCTGCTCCCCACTGACACACTGCAGCTTTCAATTGCCCGCTCATTAGTCACCAAGATATTTCCCCTGGACCGCCCTCCTCTCCAACTCCTCTGCTCCAATCCAGCCAAGGCCAGCGGGGTCCCAGCCTCCCATCAGGCTCCTGTTTGCAGCGGACTATTCTGTAATAAGCTTGTCACAGGCAGCGGAGCCACTGCTGAGGGACTTGGCCCTTATGGTGGAGGGGCCCCTTGGAGGCCCCTGAAGTGTGTAGGAGGGGCTGGGGGCGGGCCCCCCACCGTGAGCAGCCCACTTTAGGCGGCTAACACCCTTCATAATATTATCCCTGTTGAGTCCATAAAAGCCCCCTCTGGCGTTACAGCATTTGAGAGACTATTAAATTTTAAGGCCTTCGGCCTCCGGGGAGGAGGCAAGTTGACGTGGGTGTTTTGTGGGCTCCTGGTTGCATGGCAGCCAGAAGGAGACTGAGGAGGGGCCAGGGCCTTGGAGAGGCTGCAGGGGCAGGGGAGAGGCTTGGGGCCAGCCCAGGGCCCAAGAGCTGTCTGTGTGTCCTGATGGGTTGGCTCTCACATTTTTGAAGACTGTGGGACTGGCCATCACTGGTGTGGGCACAGGAGAGCCGGGAGAAGAAGGGGCTCTTCCCCATGAGCCTGGGAGCGCTGAGGGACTCTGGGCCTTCAGGAGCCATGCTGTCTCCCATAATCCCTGGCCAGCCGGTGCCCCCTCAAGAGGGCCCCATTCTCTGGCCTCCTTGCCAGGTGTTTACAGTGGGGTATGTGTCAGCTGCTCTCCCCCCCAGGCCTTAATGCCACCCACATCTAGAGACTGGGGCTTTGGGTTGGTGCCCTCCCCACCTCTCCCGTGCCCTTCTGCACCTTTAGGCCAGCTCTACGAGAGCAGTCAAGGCCCCATCAGAGGCACTCTGGGCAGGTGGAGAGGCCCTGCCCAGGAGAAGAAAATCTGTGTGCAACCCAGGCTCTGCCACTGATGAGGCTTGTTCTTTGGGCTTCATGTTTTTTTTTTAGCTGCTATCTGAGGGAGTTGGACTGGATAATCCCTTAACTTGCACCAACTCTCTGAGTCTAATTTCACTACTTTGTGAGAGAAGGAGGGAATATTATGTTCAAGTAAAACTGCAGCACATTTATAGTAATGGCTAACGTATTTGGGCACTCACAATGGACTGGGCATTTTACATACATTCTCTCATGACAGCACCCCTCTGATGTGACAATTATTCACCCCCACTTTTACCAGAGGAAATGGAGGTATAGGGAGATGAAGTGTCCTGCTCAGGGCTG
The DNA here is from genome assembly GCF_000001405.40 of Homo sapiens. Classification (NCBI taxonomy): domain Eukaryota; kingdom Metazoa; phylum Chordata; class Mammalia; order Primates; family Hominidae; genus Homo; species Homo sapiens. The sequence continues at coordinate 41,487,475 of NC_000006.12, read as the reverse complement.
ACTGGCTCTAGAGAGTATTGCTTTGCAATTTTCAGTCCATTGCATGGCCCCGACCACCTATTAACCTGCTATGTGCTAGCATTGTGCAGGAGGACTCAGGATAGTGTGGTGGAAAAGACACAGCCTGGTCCTCTAGGAGTTCTCAGTACTCGTGTACATGTTCTCTCAGTCAACCCCTCTGAATCTCGTTTTCCCCCTCTGCACTTGGGGAATACCAAAGGTCCCCACCTCATTGGTGGCTTTGTAATGAACAGCAGACGTGCAGAGCACTTAGCACAGAACCAGCCCATATGGTGGGCTCCTTGCATGTTAGTTCCTACTGTCACTGTCACTGCCATCCTTACAGGTTGCAGGAGCCCTGCTTCAGCCAGCTCAGGAGGAAAGTGATCCAGAGAGAGGCCATGTAAAGAGGTCAGTGCAATGCAGTCTGCAGATGAAAAGAGGCCAACTAACTGTCACCAACTCTCTCTTCTCTTTTCCTAAGGCCTGTGATTTGGAGGTAATAGTAATAACAACACCTCACATTTGTAAAGTGCTCTCTTTAGCATTTCAATTCAATTCTACAAATATTTACTATGTGTCGACCCCGATTACCTTTTCCTAATTGTCAAACCCCTCCCCTTGGCCCCAGCACACACATGCACTTGCTCATATACTCCCGCATACATGCACGCACACCCCATCCACCTCCTGGCATGCAAATATAAGCACTGGCACATATGCACACATGTGTATGTACATGGGTGCATGTGCGTGCACACACACACACACACACACAGACACACACGGCTGCTGCTTGCTCTCTCCTGCCTCCCTCAGCCTTTGTATATGTTTTGCTGTTATCTTGGGTGAGTTCACCTTCAAATCCAAGCCTCTAAGCAGGCGGACACCTTGATTTTATAAGTCACCCTGAAGATCATGGTTCTGAGGGGTCATAGAAAGGCACTGAGCTGCATGATTCGCATATGGGTGTAGGAGTCAGCCAGCCCAGTTTGAGTTCCTGCTCTGCTAGGCAGTGGTCCTGGACAAGTTACTTAACCTTTCTGTGCTTCAGCTTCCTTATCTGTAAAATGAGGATGATGAAAGTAGTCACCTCACAGGGGCGTTGTCAGGATTAAACAAGACAACACACCTGTCACTGTGTCTGGTCTGCCATTGGCGATGGTGTTGAAGATATGATGACAGACGTGCAGGACTGGCCTCCTGCACAGACAATGCAGCATCACTGTGAGGGATCCCAGTGAAATATATTTCCCCTCATCAGTCTCTGATCAATGTCACTATCAGTCCTTTAGGTGAATGTATTTATCCCTTATTTAGCTATCCCTGGAATTCAATAGCTTTTCATCTTCACGTGAATGAGTTAAGCAGATCCCTTACAATTTGACTCTAGTTAGGGGAATGTTCCTCCCTTCAATTCTTCAGGAAATATTTACTGATCACTTCCTATGTGCTGAGTGCCAAAGACAAAAAGGTGAATGAGATACAGAACCTGCTCCCCAGAAACCCCTGTCTAGAGAGGGAAACATACCATGGCAGTCAGTGAGAAAATCTATGATGGAGATGAGCTCAGGGGTTGAGGGGGAGGCAGAACAGAGTCCCTAAGATGGAGGGGACCAAGCCTGGGAATGTGATCTGGGGGAAATGAGTGCTCAGGTTCACTGGAAGGAGGTGACAGACGGCACTCCAGGCTGGAGGGCGGGAAGGGACACTGATTTTGCAGACCAGGCAATGTTGGGGTGGGGAAGGGGGCAGGGAGGTGGGGCGCAGCTATGTGGAAAACAAGCTGCACCTACTCAGAGGTTTTCTGGAAGCTTCGCTGTCCTACTTTTGTGGCCTTGCCAGTGTTTTCTTCATCCTGGAATAGACTGGGATGTCTGCTGCTAAGATCGGACAAAGCATCTGGCTTTGTATAGGGGACTGCCTTGTTGAAACTGAGAATCATGTTCAAGTCTTGTTGGGATGACAGTGAAGGGCAGATAGACGCCAAATGATGTCCCCATAGCCAGCTCACTGGGTGCACACTCTTATCACCGGGTTTAATAGTGTCTCTCTCGTTTTCTGCTGTTTGGATGCTGTTGAGTAAATGCTCACGTGCTGTGACTCCCCTTCAGCCCCTTTTACGCAGCCCTCACCAGCTAGCGTGGCTCCTTTGCCTGTGCTGTTGGAGCGATATCCCTGCAACCAACCAGTGCAGTCTCCCTTTATTTTACTGAGCTTCAGAAAGGTCATGTGAGTTTGGGGTCAGTGGCAGAGCTGGGGCTTCATTCCAGGGCTTCTGCCTTCATGCCCGGTTCCTTGCCTGCCCTCCTTGTATTTGCCATAGAGGTGCTGGCAACTCAGTCCCAGGACCCAAAGGGAAGCTGCAATGCCAGAGGAGAAAGGACCAGGCTTTACAGGAGAGACAAGCTCGGAAGTCCACCCCCAGTCTCTCTACCCTGGGCCATCTGCCCACTCCGAGTCACTTGCTTCTATTGCTCCAGTTTGCCTCCAAGCCTAATAACACTGCTTTTAAAAATAGTATTCTTATTGATGTAGAATATATGTATAGACATGAACATAAATTGTAAGTGCACAGCTTGATGAATTTTCACTAAGTGAACACACCCATGTAAGCAACATTCAGATGAAGAAAAAGAACATTTATTAGCACCTTGGAATATGACCTCACGTCTCCTGCCAGTACCTGTTCACCTACTCCTCCCCCAAAGTAGCCATTATACTAACTTCTTTATTTTGTTTTATTTTATTTTATTTTATTTTCATTTTTAATAGAGACCGGGTCTCCTTGTGTTGCCTAGGCTGGTCTTGAACTCCTGGGCTCAAGGGATCCTTCCACCTTGGCCTCCCAAAATGTTGGGATTACAGGGGTGAGCCACCACTCCTGGCCTATACTAGCTTCTAATGCAATAGATTTATTTTGCCTGTTTTTGAACTTCATATAAATGGAATGATATAGTATGTAAGCTTTTTAAAAATTAAAACAAGTTTTTTTTTTTTTTAAGAGACAGGGTCTCACTATGTTGCCCAGGCTTGTCTTGAACTCCTGGGCTCGTGATCCTCCTGCCTCAGCCTCCCGAATAGATGGGATTACAGGCACATACCACCCACCTGGTTTCCTAATATGTAAACTTTTTGTGTCTGGCTTTCTTTGCTCAATATTATGTTTGTAAGATTCACTTACATTGTTGCATGGAGAAATAGTACATTCTTTCTCATTACTTTCTAGTGTTCCACTGTCTGAATTTACCTCAATCTATTTCTGCATTCTACTGTTGAGCTTTTCCCGATTTTTGCTATTATATATAGTGCTGCTATGAAAATTTGCTGATGAATAGAATTTCTGGGTCATAAAGAATGCATGTGTTCAGTTTTAGTAGGTAATGCCAAACAGTTCTCAATAGTTGTTGAACCAATATATACTCTCACCAGCAATACATCAGAGTTCCATTTGCTCCACATCCTCATCAACACTTGGTATTCTCTGTCTTATTATTTTAACCACTTTGCTGGATGAATGGTGGTATTGCATTGTGAGTTTAATTTTTGTATTTCTCTAATGACTAATGAAATGAAATCCATTTTCTCTTGTGTATTAGATATTTGAGTGTCCTTTTTTGTGAATGCTCATTCAATTTTTTTGCCAATTTTTTATTTTTTTTCTTGCTTTTTAAAAAAACATGTATTATTATCGATTTGTTTGTTGGTTGGTTTGTTAGAGATAGGAACTTGCTCTGTCACCCAGGCTGGAGTGCAGTGGCGCAATCATAGCTCATTGCAGCCTCGAACTCCTGGCCTCAAGTGATCCTCCTGCCTCGGCCTCCCAAATTGCTAGAATTACAGGCATGAGGCACTGTGCTGGACTGGTTTTCTTTTTCTTATTGATTTTCAAGAGTTCTATCTATATCTATATATCTGTATTTTAATTTCTATCTCCTGGATGTGCATCTTTTGGTGAATATATATTTTACATATATATTTTCTCATCCTGCAACTTGTCTTTTCACTCCCTTCAAAGTGTCTTTTGATGAGCATAACATCTTAATTGTAATGTTGGCCAGTGTATCAATTTATCCTTCATGGCTAAGTGCTTTTTGTGTTCTCTTTTTAAGAATACTTTGCCAACCTTAAAGTCATGAAGATATCTTATGTTTCTTCTAGAAACTTTATTGTCGTATTGTTTCCATTTGGATCTACAATCCATCTGGAGTTGATTTTTGTGTATGCCGTGAGGTAGGGGTCAAGATTCATTTAAAAAATACAGCTTGGCACCATCTTGACCTCTGACCCCATCCACTCCCAACGAAAGCCCTACTTTAATCAAGAAGGGCTTTTGTGTCCAAATGTGTCCTTTGACAGCTGAATTCAAGAGCAGCCCTCTGGGCCTCTGAGTAGGGGCCAGAGCTGAGCTCAACATGGGAGGTCCCAAAGTGTGCTTGGCCCACCTCTCCCGGGGAAGTGGCCTGGCAGATGAGAAAAGCAGGGACAGAGGGATGAAGCACCTTCTCCATCTTTCAGCTGGGACTCTTTCACCCACTGAACTCCTGTGATGGGACTTAAAGATGCCCATGGAGTCCTAACTCAAGGATTCCAATTCAGAACCTTGGGACTGCCTGCTTTCATACTCTGCCCATATTTATTCACTCAAAAAATGTTCAATTGCCTACTCTATATTGGCCACTGGTCACTGATGATACAACAATGAACCAAATGGACAACAAATCCCACCCTCATGAATCTAACATTCTGGTCGGGGTAGAGAGGCAATTAGAATACAGGCATACCTCAAAGATGTTGCAGGCTCAGTTCCAGGCCACCAAAGTAAAGCAAATATTACAATAAAGCAAGTCACATGAATTTTTTAGTTTCCTATTGCATATAGAAATTATGTATACACTGTACTGTAATCTATTGAGTGTGCAATAGCATTATGTCTAAAAAAATGTAGCTGCTTTAATTTTAAAATATTGTTAAAAATGTTAATGATCATTTAAGCCTTCAGTGAGTTGTAATGTTTTTGCTAGTGGAGGGTCTTGCTTTAGTGTTGATGGCCGTTGACTGATCAGGGTGGCGGTTGCTGAAGGTTGGGGTGGCTGTGACAATGTCTTAAAATATGACAATGAAGTTTGCGTAATTGATGAACTCTTCCTTTCATAAAATATTTCTCTAGTATGCAATGTTGTTTGATACCATTTTACTACAGTAGAACTTCTTTCAAAATTAGAGTGAATCCTCTCAAATTTTGCTGCTGCTTTATCAACTAAGTTTATGTAATATTCAAAATCCTTTGTTGTCATTTAAATAGTGCTCACAGCATCTTCACCAGAGTAGATTCTCAAGAAACCACTTCCTTTGCTCATCCATAAAAGCAATTCCTCACACACTAAAATTTTGTTATGAGATTCACTTCTGATTCTAGTTCTCTTGCTATTTGCACCACATCTGCAGCTACTTCCTCACTGAAGTCTTGAACCCCTCAAAGTCATTCGTGAGAGTTGGAATCAATTTCTTCCAAACTCCTGTTAATGTTGATATTTTGACCTCCTCTCATGATCATGAATGTTCTTAATAGCATCTAGAATGGTGAATCTTTTCTTTTTCTTTCTTTCTTTTTTTCTGGGATGGAGTCTTGCTCTGTCGCCCAGACTGGAGTGCAGTGGCGTGATCTCGGCTCACTGCAAGCTCCACCTCCCGGGTTCATGTCATTCTCCTGCCTCAGCCTCCTGAGTAGCTGGGACTACAGGCACCCGCCACCACGCCTGGCTAATTTTTTGTATTTTTAGTAGAGACAGGGTTTCACCATGTTAGCCAGGATGGTCTTGATCTCCTGACCTCATGATCTGCCCGCCTTGGCCTCCCAAAGTGCTGGGATTACAGGCATGAGCCACTGTGCTGGGCCTAGAATGGTGAATCTTTTCCAGTAGGTTTTCAATTTACTTTGCCCAGATCCATCAGAGAAATCACAGTCTATAGCAGTGATAGCCTTACAAAATGTATGTCCTTTTTTTTTTTTTTTTTCTCATGCCTGTAACTCCAGCACTTTGGGAGGCTGAGGTGGGTGGATCACAAAATGTATGTCTTTACAAAATGTATGTCCTTGCAAAATAAGACTTAAATAATAAGACTTGAAAGTCAAAATTATTCCTTGGTCCGTGGACTGGAGAATGGTCATTGTGTTAGCAGGCACAAAAACAACATCCATCACCTTGTACACCTCCATCAGGGCTCTTGGGTGGCTAGGTGCGTTGTCAGTGACCAGTAATATTTTGAAAGGAATCTTTTCTTCTGAGCAGTAGGTCTCAATCGTGGGTTCAAAAAACTCAGTAAAGTATGCTGTAAACAGATGTGCTATCATCCAGGATTTGTTGTTCCACTTATAGAACATAGGCAGAGTAGATTTAGCATAATTCTTAAAGGACCCAGGATTTTCAGAATATAATTCAGCATTGGCTTCAACTTAAAGTCATTAGCCCCTAACAAGAGAGTCATCCTGTCCCTTGAGGCTTTGAAGCCTGGCATTGACTTCTCCTCTCCAGCTGTGAAAGTCCTAGATGTCATCTTCTTACAATAGAAGGCTGTTTCATTTACATTGAAAATCTGTTGTTGGCCAGGCACCGTGGCTCACGCCTGTAATCCCAGCACTTTGGGAAGCCAAGGCGAGTGGATCATGAAGTCAGGAGATCGAGACCATTCTGGCTAACATGGTGAAACCCTGTCTCTACTAAAAAATACAAAAAAAAATTAGCTGGGCGTGGTGGCGGGTGCCTGTAGTCTCAGCTACTGGGGAGGCTGAGGCAGGAGAACGGGGAGAACCTGGGAGGCAGAGCTTGCAGTGAGTGGAGATTGCACCACTGCACTCGAGCCTGGGCGACAGAGCGAGACTCCATCTCAAAAAAAAAAAAAAAAAAAGAAAAAGAAAAGAAAATATGTTGTTTAGTGTAGCCACCTTCATCAGTGATCTTAGCCAGCTCTTCTGGATAACTTGGTGCAGCCTCTCCATCAGCACTTGCTGCTTCACCTTGCACTTTTATGTTATGGAGATGGCTTCTTTCCTTAAATCTCATGAACCCATCTCTGCTAGCTTCAGATTTTTCTTCTTCTTCTTCTTTTTTTTTTTTTTTTTGTTTTTGAGATGGAGTCTTGCTCTGTTGCCCAGGCTGGAGTGCAGTGGTGCGATCTCGGCTCACTGCAAGCTCTGCTTCCGGGGTTCACGCCATTCTCCTGCCTCAGCCTCCCGAGTAGCTGGGACTACAGGCGCCCACCACCACGCCCGGCTAATTTTTTGTATTTTTAGTAGAGACGGGGTTTCACTGTGTTAGCCAGGATGGTCTCAATCTCCTGACCTCATGATCTGCCCGCCTCTGCTTCCCAAAGTGCTGGGATTACAGGCGTGAGCCTCCACGCCCGGCCCCAGATTTTTCCTCTGCAGCTTCCTCACCTCTCTCAGCCTTCACAGAATTGAAGAGTTAGGCTCTTGCTCTGGGTTAGGCTTTGGCATAAGGGAATGTTGTGGCTGGTTTTATCTTCCATCCAGACCACTCAAACTTTCTCCGTATCAGCAATAAGTCTATTTCACTTTCTTTTTTTTTTCTTTTTTTTTGAGACAGGGTCTCACACTGTTGCCCAGGCTGGAGTGCAGTGGCACAATCTTGGCTCACTGCAACCTCCACCTCCCGGGTTCAAGCGATTCTCCTGCCTCAACCTCCTGAGTAGCCGGGATTACAGGTGTGCGCCACCACGCCTGCTTAATTTTTTTGTATTTTTAGTAGAGACGGGGTTTCACTGTGTTGGCCAGGCTGGTATCCAACGCCTGACCTCGTGATCCACCCGCCTCGGCTTCCCAAAGTGCTGAGATTACAGGCGTGAGCCACCGCACCTGGCCTCACTTTCTTATTATTGGTGTGTTCCCTGGAGTAGCACTTTTAATTTCCTCCAAGAACTTTGCCTTTGCATTCACAACTTGACTAACTGGCATTAGAGGCCTAGCTTTTGGCTTATCTTGCCTTTCAACGTATCTTCTTCACTAAGTTTAATCACTTCTAGCTTTTGATTTAAAGTGAGAAATGTGTGACTCTTCCTTTCACTTGAATGCTTATTGGCTAATGAAGGGCTATTAATTGGCTTGATTTCAGTATTATTTTGTCTCAGGGAATAGGGAGGCCCTAGGAGAGGAACAGAGATGGGGAAATGGGCAGTGAATGGAGTGGTCAGAATACACACGGTGCCCCAAGCAATTATAGTAGTAACATCAAAGATGGCTAATCACAGATCACTATAATAGATATAATAATAATAATAAAATTTGAAAGCCCATTGCAGTGGCAGACACCTGCAAATCCCAGCTACTTGAGAGGCTGAGGTGGAAGCATTGCTTGAGCCCAGGAATTTGAATCCAGCCTGGGCAACATAGCAAGACTCTGTCTCTCTCTCTTTTTTTTTTTTTGACAGAGTCTCGCTCTGTCACCCAGGCTGGAGTACAATGGCGCTATCTTGGCTCACTGCAACCTCCGCCTCCCAGGTTCTAAGTCATTCTCCTGCCTCAGCCTCTGGAATAGCTGGGATTACAGGCACGCACCACCATGCCCAGCTAATTTTTGTATTTTTAGTACAGATGGGGTTTCGCCATGTTGCCCAGGCTGGTCTCAAACTTCTGACCTCAAAATGAAAAAGTTTGAAATATTTCAAGAATTACTAAAATGTAACACACAGACATGAACTGTGCACATGCTGTTGGGAAAGTGGCACCAATAGGCTTGCTTGATGCAGGGTTGCCACGGACCTTCAATTTGTAAAAAATGTAGTATCTGTGAAGCACCATAAAGTGAAGCACAACAAAACGCAGGATGTCTGTATAAACAAGTAAAATGTAGAAAGGAAAGTATGAAAAAAGATGATAGCTGCTATGGAGAAAAATAAAACAGGAAAGAGAAATAACGAGTGCTGGGTGGTTAATTTTAAGTTGGGTGGTCCGGGCAGGGAGGCATCACTGAGAAGGTAACATTTGTGCAAAGACCAAAGAGCCCTGCAGATAACCGGGGGAAGAGCAGTCTTAGTAACAGGAGCAGCAAATACAAGATCCCAGAGGCAGGAAATGGTTACACAGGTGCTGGAAGAGCTGAGAAGCCAAAGAGGTACTGGTGAAGCTATTTAGTAGAAGCCACTACCGCTCCTAGGCTAGAGAGAAAAAAGAAGAAAGCAGTGTTTTGGGAACCCAAGGATGGGGTCAACCAGCGGAAGCTGCAACCATGGTAGGTTGCAGGGCCCACAGGGGCCAAGAGCTGGAGCCATGGAGGAAATGTGGCTGCAGATACTACCTGGGTAGTGTCTTGAGGATTTTTTTTGGAGACAGAGTCTCGTCTGTCCCCCAAGCTGGAGTGCAGTGGCAGGATCTTGGCTCACTGCAACCTCCACCTCTCCAGTTCAAGCAATTCTCCTGCCTCAGCCTCCCGAGTAGTGGGATTACATGCGTGTGCCACCATGCCGGCTAATTTTTGTATTTTTAGTAGAGATGGGGTTTCGGTGTGTTGGCCAAGCTGGTCTTGAACTCCTGACCTCAAGTGATCTGCTCACCTTGACCTCCCAAAGTGCTGGGATTACAGGCATGAACCACCGCACCCACCCTACCCTGACTTTTATCTTGCTCCCTCTCTCCAGTCTCCTGCCAGAGCCTCCTACTGGCTAAACCTGGCTAGCAGCCAGTCTCTAACAAGCGCAGGTAAAAGCAGCCTACCAGGGCAGCCTCCTGAGATACAGACCAGAGCAGGAGAGAGGAAAACTGGATTAGAAAATGGACCTTTCAACAATGAGATATCTTCTCATACTCACTAGCATGGCTAAAATAAAAAAGACTGATCCTACCAAATGTTGGCAAGAAGAGAGAGAAACTGGAACTCTCTTCCATTGCTGGCTTATGTGTAAGATAGTAAAATCATGTTAGAAAACTGTTTGGCAGCAGCCTGGGCAACATAGCAAGACTCCATCTCTACAAAAAAATCAAAAAATTAGCCAGGCATTGTGACTTATGCCTGTAGTCCCAGCTACTCAGGAGGCTGAGAAAGGAAGATCATGTGAGCCTAGGAGTTCGAGGCTGCAGTGAGCTGTAATTGTACCACTATGTTCCAGCATGGATGATGGAGAGAGACCTGGTCTAAAAAAAAAAAAGAAAAGAAAAGAAAAGAAAACTGTTTGGCGTTTGCTAGTAAAGTTGAATGCACACCTAACCTATGACCCAGCAATTCTACTCCTAAGGATATACCCAAAGAGGAATGAGAACATAGGTCCGGAAAAAGACTTGTACAAGAACATTCATACCAACAATGTCAGTGAAGCCAAGAAACTAGAAACAACGTCAAATGTCCACCAATAGGAAAATGGATTAAATATTATGGCACATTCATACAGCGGAATAGGTATTACAATAAAAATAAACTGATTACTGCTACATGCAATGATGTGAATGAATCCCAAGACATGCTGAGTGAAATACGCCAGACAAAAAAGAGAACATATTGTGTGACTCCACTTATATCCAAAGATGCAAAACTAACCTGTGGTGACAAGGGGTCCAAAAAATGGTTGCCTGGAGGAAGGAGGACTGACTGGGAAGGGACACAATGGAACCTTTCTGGGATTATGGAAATGTTCCCTACATTCATCTGGGTGTTGATAACGCAGACACGTTTGACAAAACTCATCTAACTGTCCACTTCAGATCTGTGCATTTTACTTTATACAAACTACACCTCAATAAAGGAAGCAAATGCAAAAACCAACAAAAAAGACTTAGACCTCTGTCTCCCCTTCTGCCATCAGCCTAGCTTGGGCCTCCGTGCAGGACCGGGACTGCTGTTTCATCTCTCAGCTGTCAGCCATCTGCAGCAGGCCCCCATGGCTCTCCCACATCCTGCACACAACAGCAGATCCATCTTTCTGAAGCAGCTGCAGGGGAGAGCAAGGAGCTCTGGGCTTGGAGCTTAAGGATTCCGGTTCAAATCTCAGCTCCATCTCTTTCCAGCTATGTCACTTGGGTGAGCCACACTGCTTCTCTGAGTCACCTTTCTTCATCTGAAAAATGGGAACACAACACCTCCTTCAGAGGACTTGTTGGGAGGATGAAAATGGGATTTTGTCTGTGAAAGGGCTTTAGAAACAAGAAGCCAGCAACCATAGGGTGGGGTTCATACCACCCAATTGCTTAGGAAGTTTTGTGGAACTTTCCAATGGATCATTGGTCCCAGTTATTCACTCTTACTTTCTACGTCCTATACCATCACTCCCTTTGTCATGTGACTCTACTTTCCCGCCACACTGGCGGTAGGCTTGGTCATGGTAGACTTGCTTTGGCCAATGCCATGTCAATCAATGGATTTGACCAGAATACAGGATTAAAAATGTCTGTGCTCTTTGGCTTGGTCTCTTGTCTCTAGAGTTTCTGTGATTGCCATGCTGGCTCAAGGAGAACGTGGAGCAGTCTGGAGCCCAACCCAAAGTCCGTGAGTGAGAAGACAAAGGCTTGTTGTAAGCCATAGTAGTGTTCATTTGATTTGCTAAGCAGCACTACTGTGGTAAGAACTGACTAATACAGCCTCAAGGTCATCACCATCTCCAAGCAGGTCTCTATCCACCTACCTCTCCAGCCCCATTCCAACAATTCGATTCCAGTCAAACCAGTCCATTCAGCATCCCACAAAATGTAGCATTCCCTCTCACTCCCACTTGCCTAACTTAATGTGCAGTTTTCCCTTCCTATCCTTCTTCTTATTGAAAGCCAAAGTTTTCCCCCTTTACTCAGTCTATATCAGTCATACCTATCCTTCGAAAGGTAACTGAAGTACCACCTCCCCAAGGAAGCTTTCCTCGATGCCCCCCACTGTGGTGCCAGCTCCCTCTGCTGAGCTCCTGCAGCCCTATAGGTCCGTGTCTCTCATGGGACGCTGAGTACACTCCGACCAGGATCATAATCAGCTGAATTTTTCCAAGTGAATAGTGACGTCTTTCATCTGGCCTGTGATTTAGGAGTCTTTTGTTGAGGATGGAATTGGTGCTTGGGAAATACTTGTTGAATGAATGAATGAATAAATGATTGGGTGAACGAAAAGATGACTCAATGATAGCTCCTGTGTAACCTGTTGCAGAACATCCAACTTTCTTAAAATTGTGATCTGCAAGTCTAGCTTCGGGCTCAATCTAGAAGTTCCAATTGGAATGGAGAAAGGGGCAGTGAACATCACCCACCCAGGAAGAGACAGGACATATTTGCCCCCATGGGGTCATGGGGAAAAGAAGGGTGGTAGCCCTGACCCTATACTTATCCCTTCCCTGTGCTCACCCCATTTCCTCTCCTATCCCTATCTGTATGTCACTGAATGGCTATAAGGACTTTCTGACTGTAACCTCTCAACCAGGCAGCTAGAATCTACATGCTGTCTTACTTATCTTGGTTTTCATCTTAGTGTGGGTGCCCAGTGCTTTGCATACAGCAGGTGCTCAATGAATGTTTAATGTCTAAAGGAATGAATAATATGCTCTTTTAAAGTTTGACTGGAAAATTATTTTATATTTGGCAGTTTGGGGCCCAGTCTCCCTGAGTTCAGAAACATCTAAAAATTCCAACATCAACTATTTTGGGTTTGGGGTGATGATGGCAGAGACTAACATCCTTCTGAAAGTTAAAGGGCATCTCTGTTGCTTAAAGGAGCCTTCTGAGTGGGCAAGGGGGCATCCATTAGAAAGTCCCTCTTCAGAAATTCCCCCCACACTCACACATCTATCTAATGACTAAAACATGGGGGTTAAAAAGTCCCTCTTAAAACTCAGACACTCCTTTAGGGAGATGCTACCACCCGACCAAAAGTTAAAGACCTTGGCTGGGTGGTGTTACAGGCAACAGGCAGAAGGGAAGGTTTTGCTCAAGGTCAGGCTGGCAGAGCTAGGCTGGTGGCAGAGTGGGGGCTTAAAACCAGGTTGAGCAAGAGCCAGAGAAGGGAAATTAAAGCGGGTGGGGCTGGGCACAGTGGCTCACTCCTGTAATCCCAGCAGTTTTGGAGGTGGAGCAGGAGGATCGCTTGAACCAAGGAGTTTGAGACCAGCCTGGGCAACACAGCAAGATCCCATTTCTACAAAAAAAATTTAAAATTAGCCGGGCGTGGCGGTATGTTCCCATAGTCCCAGGTACTCTGGAGGCTGAGGCAGGAAGATCATGTGAGCCATGGAGGCTCGATCATGATTGAGCCACTGCATTTTAGCTTGGGCGACAGAGTGAGACCCCCCATCTCAAAAAACACAAAAGGGGAGGGAGTAGATTTTAAGACAAATGTTCCTCACCCTGCACTTTTATCTAGGTCCGTGGGACATAGGCCTAGATATGGAGGGGTGGATTAACTTAAGCCTCCTTGTGGATTCCTATGCCTGGGTTCTTATTCCCCTAAACAGTGTGAAGAAGTAGAAGAAGTACCCAAGCTGGGGTAATCATAAGTGAGAGAGAAACCTTTTTTTTTTTTTTTTTTTTTTTTTTTGAGACAGGGTCTCACTTTGTTGCCCAGGCTGGAGTGCAGTGGCACAAACATGGCTCACTGCAGCCTTCTCAACCTCCTGGGCTCAGATGATCCTCCAACCTCAGCCTCCCAATAGTGGGAGTACAGGCATGTGCCACCATGCCTGACTAATTTTTTGTATTATTTGTAGAGATGGGGTTTCGCTATGTTGCCAGGCTTGTCTCAAACTCCTGAGCTCAAGCGATCCTCCCGCCTTGGCCTCCCAAAGTGCTAGGGTTACAGGTGTGCACCAAGGTGGCTGGCCAGAAACCTGTTTTTATGGCTTGGCCATGAATGCCTACTTGGGTGGGGAGGAGGAAGGAGGCACCTGGATGGGAGTGCAGGAGAGGAGGGCAGGAGAGTTGGGGCCTGAGAAAAAGAGTCTTGGGATCACACTGCCTCCATCCCACTCTGCAGGTAAGGCCCAGTGCCCACCCTTCCCCAGGGCACAGAGGTAGGGTTAAGCCTTCTGCAGCTGATGCAACTGGCCAGGGGTGAAAGAGGAGAAGGAGGTAAGTGAATTAAAGAGTCATAACTCCTAGGGAGTGACCCCAGTGCTCTGTGGGGCCCACCTGAGCCCCGCATCTTCAGGATTTATGCAGTTGCCATGTCTTCTTGAGGCCCTGCCTCCTAACTCAAGTCACCAGATTATTCATTCCTGCTAGTGTCAGCTGAGGGGACTGAAATCAATGCCAGCTCACCCAGAGCACACAGGGGAGCAAGTAGGGGAGAAGGATCAGGGCAAGAGCAGTGTATCCATGCAGACAGACAGACAGACAGACACACACACACACACACACACACACACACACACACGCCAGAATCGGCCCACAACCCCATCCCCCACAGCCACAATACAAGTCTGCAAGCCCCAAGATAGACCCAAGCGCCTAGTCCTGACAGCGCCTAGGGAATTGTGGAGGTTATTTTAAGGTTGTTTCCACATCTTTATCTCCCCTGCCCCCATCCAACAAACAGTCAGACAAAAACAAACAGGCCAGCGGAGGCCTAGGCTGTTCACACGGAGAGGCGGACCCCTCCATCCCTCCTCCACTCTCGGACTCCTCCCAACCAAATTCCTCCAGGCAGGGCCCCTGGAATGAGGCGATACCTCATTCATCTCTTCTGAGGGGGCTAACCCTGCTGTCCATTCTGAAAAGCTGATTCCTCTAATTGCTTTTTCCTCCTCTATTTCCTAGGAATTCACTGGCAGGGCCTTGGATAGGATGGGATAGGGCTCTTGCTGGCCAGGTGAGCCCCTGCACTTCCTGGCTGAGCCCACTATCTTGGCCGTTATGGGTTGGAGATCCCAAGTGGACTGTTGGTTTTTGCTGTAGGGTAATTTGTGACCTCTGTATGAGACCGTCCCCGCAAAATACTCAACTCCTGTCTCTGCAGAGAAGGAAGCTTTATAAACAGAAGGAAAAGCTAAAGCAGGATATCAGAGGGCCATACGGTGAGGGGCTTCTTTGTGTGCCAAGCCCTGTTGGGGTGGAGGGGGGACTTACAGAAAGAGAACTATAAGACACTCATTTAGTCAGCAAATGTTTGCTGGGTGGTTACTATGGGCCAGCACCATTCTAGGCACTGCAGAGTAGCTGGTGAACCTGACAGCCTAGGCTGGCACTCTTGGAGCTTAAATTGTAGGTGGGGGGAAGAAAGAAGGCCAGGGATGTGTCTGGAGCCAATGAAGAGGGGAAGAGGGAAATGAGACTGAGTTGGAGAGGTGGGGCCCAGGGCAGTTTGGCAGGCTCTTACCAGTTCAGATTTTATTGCAAATGAAATGGCAAAGGCAGGGGTCCCAGGGTCCCTCCCAAGGCAGGTCCCTGAGTGCACATGTTTGTTGAGAGAGAAAGGGAACATCTAAACGATGAAAGCAGTCTCCTAGGAGCTGGGATTCTCTGTGAGGGATGCACAGTCCCACTTAGTGAGGTGAGAGGCAGGGGTTCTCCCTGCTAATCTCAACTAAGGGAGCCGTAGACTGGTCCAGGCTTCCCGCTCCCATTCATCTCTATTCACCAACTCCCCCCTCCCCACTCCCTGCCTCCTCACCCCACCCCCTGCTTCCCACTTTTTCTCCGTACTCCCCATCTGGCCTTCCAGGTGCTAAGTGGCCTTTGCGTCCCCATCTGACTTAGGTCAGGGTCTCAGGAGTTCTGGGTCTGGGTGTTTGGGCTCTGTGGACAGTCAACACGGCAAAGGCAGCCCGGGGGCACAATCCAGACGTGACCCCAAGCCTTCTGGGCCAGCCTGAGCCCTGGTCAAGGAGCAGAGCCCTATCCCCTATCTGGCACCCAGCACCTCCACCCAGTCCCACCCCTATCTGTCTCTCTTGAGGCTACAGCTCCTCCTTTATCCCCAGTGCAGGCTGGACATTCTTAGGACAGACGTCTGAGCCCTAGGAGAGACCAAAGAGACTCATTAGGCAATCAATCAAGCAGTCAATCAGTCAATCAACCAGCAAGGCAGGGACCAAGCTCCAACTGAGAAGAGATTCACTAATTTGGAAATGTGTGGATGTTTAATCAAAATGAAGAAACTGCCCTGCTTCAGAAGAAAAGAGTGTCCTTCCAGCGACCGTTTGGTGGCTTTTGTGTTTTTTCTGTGGGGGAGGGGCAGGAGGCAGGCTCTTACTTGATTATCTGTGGGTGGGGGCTAGTAAATGAGTGGGAAGTTGGGGGTGCGGGGTCTCTGTCTTCCCCCGCATCCATAACTCCAATCCAATCCACATTTGGGTTGGGTTTCTTCCAACCCAAATGGTGGGTGCCGTCCACAGGTTAGGCCTCAGTGTTGACAGCAGCAGGGGTCTGCCCGGCGCTTCCTACCCCACCTCCACAACTCCATCCCTTGGCCTCTCTCTCTTCCCTCTATTCTCCCAGCGTCCCTCCAGCTCACAGTGGCTTTGGCATGGGCTAGAGTAGGAGGGGACGGTGAGATCATCAAAGTCCCTTGGGGCCCAGGAAGTCCCAACGGTGGCCAGCGCCTGAAGGCAGAGTAAGGACCCAGGGTGCCCAGGAGTTCCACCCGGAGCCTTTCTTGGATTCAAGCCTGAGCCGCAACCCCCACTTTCTGGCACAAAGCTGGAGGCGGCGCCTCCCTAAAAGCGCGCCCCGAAGCCTCGCGGGGTGTCCTTCCGGCTCCTCCGCTTGAGTCAGCCCAGCTGCGGATTCACCCCACCTAGGCCTGGCAGCCGACCCCTCCTCTCCCCTCCCCCGTCTCTCTTCAGTCCTCTCCTTCCCTCCCACTGCGCGTTAGCGCTCCCTTCGCGTTTTTCCGACGGTCCCGCGGGTCCCGCCGAGTGACTAATCCAGCAGGTTGAGCAACTAGCCGGCGCTGGCGCCCCGGAGACGGCGGGTCATCCCCCTCGGCGCTGCGCAGTGCCCGGGCCTTGAACTTCCCCGGCCCCCGCGCTGGCCCAGATGGCTCCCGCCGTCCAGTCCGGCTTAGCAGCTCGCTCCGGGTGCCTAGGACGCGCGGCCCGGCCCTGGCCGTCCCTGAGGGCGCGGGTGGGGCGGGGCGCTCGGGGACCACCAGACTCTCCAGGGTGGGAAAGGAAGGTGTCTCCTCTTCCCGAGCTCGAGCAGGGAGACTGCGTGGGGAGCGGCGCCCCGAGAAGGCGAGGACCAATGCAATGCCTGGCCCTCACCGCCTTCTCAGCTCAGTGTCTTTGCACGTTCTGGAAGGTCGGGTGTGTTTGAAGAATGTTTGAAGAATGCAGTCTGCACCTCCGGCTGGGGCTGTTGAGGGTGCCCAGAGGCACTCGCCCCAGAAACGTGCGCGCGCTCACACACACACACACGCGCGCGCGCGCGCGCGCACACACACACACACACACCCCTCTTCCTCAGGCCGCCGCTCACTCTTGGGGATCTCACTTTTCTTCTCGCTCAGGGACTCCTACGGTTGCCCCTCTTCGCCGCCCTTCGCACCACCCCCTTCCTTGCCTCTTCCCCACCTTTCTCACTGTCAGCGCCTACCGCTTTGTCTGTCTGTCTGTCTCTGACCGGCTCTCTCACTCACTCGGGATGTTTATCTAATTGTTTCCCCGAGCTCCGAGGCAGGCTCTCCTGCCGTCAAACTCTGCCATCCCCACTCTGCCTGTGTAATTTAAAGCTGTAGTTAAATTATGACTTCTCCGGACCTGTTGTGGCACCTACGCCTAAGCCTAATTAAATGATCACATCCATTCTGAAGGCAGCTCTCTTCTCCCCTCCAACGTTAATTACAACATAAGAGGCTTTAATGGCCCGCCTCACCTCCAGCTCCTGGAAAGAAAGGTCAGGCGATTAATTTTCGTCATTAATCTTTTCCCAATGTGGACACTGTGCTGTCACCGGAGCCTATTAAGCCCCCTTTGGCCCCCCTTCCAGCCTCCCTCACCCCTCACCCCCTCCTCCCTGAGTGACTGCAGAGAAGGAAAATGTTTAAGAATCACTTTGTCTCTCTGCTTTCCCCCCCACCCCCTTTCCTAGAGACAGCTTCTCCTTGGGGGTCTCTGGGGTGGGGTAGTGGGGGGGCCGCCAAGTTTGTTTCCCGGTGGCTTCAGACAGCACCTCTGAAGACTGCTCATGTCGGAAATGTTATGAATCCAGCAGTCAGGCTGGGGAGCGGAGGGGCTGGGTCTGTGGCCTTCCATCACTCCCAGGTTGGGGAAGAGGCAGGGCCTGCCACCCTTGTGTGGAGGCAGAGATGAGGACAGGGCTGCCACTTGTCCACCCTCCACCTGGATCCCTACAGAAAAAAGCACTGTGTTGGCACCTAGGGCTTCAGCATCTAAGAAAGACCATTTGTTTTCCTGCGCAGGCCTAGGTTTCTTCTCCATAACCTCCCACTTTTTCTTTATTCCTTTCTCCCTTACCCTGCAACTTCAGCTTCATTAAATGGGCGATAATCTAGATTTCTGCAGTTGTGGGGGGCTGAGCAATGGCAACTCTCCGGGGAAGCCAATTCCAGACCCATGCCTAGGAACTGGGCATCCTGGTGGTGGTCCTGGGCTCAGAGTGAGGAGTGGTCAGTAGGGAGGGGCAGCAGATAGAAAAAGACTGCCTGTGAGGGCCGAGGGGCACATGCGTGCATGCAGACTGTGGAGGACCTGAGACCACGCCTTTCCAGCATTCCCACTTCCCGAAGCAGGCAAAAGAGAGGGAGAAGGAGAAATGTGAGCAGGCTCTCTGTAGACAGCTTTTATTTCAACCCCAGAATTTATTCGCTTTAAAATTCTAATCCAGAACAGAGTCCCCAGGAAGTGGAGGGGGTAAGGGAGCGGCCAGAAGGGGCATCAACCTGGCAGAAGCACAAGGGGTGCCGTGCAGGTGGGGGACATCCTGACGATACAGGGTGGCTCTGGCCACTGCTCTCTGTGGGGCCCAGCCCTGTCCCAGGGAAGACGGTTCAAGGGTGCAGGCCAGTAGGGTGATGATTAGAAAGTGACCACACCAGGGGGTATGGTGGGAGCTGCATGGAGGGTAGGAGCCCATGCAGACAGGCGATACTCTGCACCAACTCACAGTCCAGAACACACATGCTGCATGCCATGCCCTGCTCTCTGCAGCGCTCCCCGCACATCCATGCTACTTTGTCCACACAGGCCAAGCTACCTATCCTCTCCAGGCTGAGGGAACTCATGACTCCCCTGGAGCGGCCTTACTTGGAGCACAGACCCATCACCTCAAGGAAAGCTGCATTGGCCCTCCGCCACGCCCCAGAAACCCAGGGCTGCTGTGATTTCTAGAACTTCTGGCACTATATAGAAAGATGCTAAGTAGAAGGCAAAATGTCACTGGGACCCTGAGACACACCCCCAGCCCCAACCAGCCAGGAAGAAAGGGCAGCTCGGCCACAGCATTCACTGACCCATTGTGCCCAGTGACAGAGTGAAGTGAAGCCCTTTTGGGAATCCACAAAACTTGTGTGAGGCCCTATTCGGTTCTGGACTGGGGCAGCAGGGAAGGTGAGGAAGCCGGTTTGCAAAAGGGACTCGGAAAACCCCATCAGTGACCTGAACTGTCTTGTATCTAGCAAGGCTGGTTATGCCTAAATCACTGGTTGTTAAAAGAAGAAACTTCTAGGAAGCCCAAGAAGAGTTGGCCAGGACCCAGGAGCCTTCGATTCCTCCCACAGAGGCCTGCTTTCTAGGAAAGCGTCCCCTGTCGCCTCCACCTCCCTAGAGCTGGGCTCCGACTGGCTCCTGCCACAAGGTGGGCATCTGCATCCTCTTGTGGCCCAGAAGCAAACCTCCCCATCCAGAGTCAGCCCCTCCCCTGACGCCCGCCCCCCCCAGCTCCACCCCAAGGACATTGGGGACATCACGTCCACAGAGCCCTGCACAGCCGGATAATAATAATTAATAACCATTAGGAACAATACGGAGAAGACCAGTGCCCAGTCAGCCCAATGTGCAGCCTTGGCTTTTTTCTTTCTTCCTTTTTTTTTTTTTTTTTTTACTTTAATGAAAACAATGATTTGACTTTGAAGAAAGTGACTTTTTTAAAGTGAAAGCTGGATTGAGTTCCTCATCCGCCCCCTCCCCCGCATGCTGCCCCCCTTCCCTTCCGAGCTCCTCCTCCCATCTTGCCCCCACCATTTTTCTCTCTCCCTTTTTTCTTTTTCTTTTAATACTCTGCGTTCTATCATGCAAATCCCCTTTCAAATTATGAGAGTATTAGAGCCATCAACGGTAATGTCACCGCCACAAAATGAGAGTGGGGACTTAAGCACCTAACGAACAATGAAATGTGCGAGCCCTGGGACAGGACAATTAAGAACTGGGCTTAGCCAGCCAGGGAAATTTATTGCTATCAAATCCATATTTCTATTTTCCCCCTGAACAGTAACCTATTTGAATATGATTAAAGGGTTTCATTACGGCAGAGAGAAAGGCCCGTGTCCCGTGGTTCCTTGTGAGCTCACAAACACAGGCTTGGAGCTGGGCGCCCCTGTGAGGATATGGGTGGGGGCCAGTGGGGAGGGGAGGGGAGGACCCAGGGGTCCAGAAATTGAACATTAGGGAGCCGGCTCCCTGTGTAGGCAGGTCTGGTTGGAGAAAGTGGTTGGCTAGAAATGGGGTCTGGGAGTCTCTGGTTCTCTGACTCTTGGCAGAAGGTACCGGAAGATTCATTAGTAGATGGGGAAACTGAAGCAGCTTGAGGTTGTTGAGTAATAAGAGGTTGGGCAACTTGGTGAAGGACACTCAAATTTGTGAGAGTGGTAGATCCAAGACTGGATGCAAATCCAGTGCTATCCTTTCCTTCCCTCCCTTCCTCCTTCCTCCCCCCTTCTCTTCCTTCCTTCCTTCCCCCTTTTCCTTCATCCTTCCTTCCTCTCTCCTTCCTTCTGCCTTCCTTCTATCCCTATCTCCTTCTCCTTTCCCTCCTCCCTTTCCTCCCTTCCTCCTTCTTCCCTCTCTTCCTTCCTTCCTTTCTTCCCCTTTTTTTCTTTCTTTCTCCTCTCTCCATCTCTCCATTCCTATCTCCCTCTCTTCATCCCCATCTGCCTCTCCTTTCCCTTCTTCTTTTTTTTTTTTTGAGACGGAGTTTTACTCTTGTTTCCCAAGCTCAAGCGATTCTCCTGCCTCAGCCTCCCGAGTAGCTGGGATTACAGGCATGCGCCACCATGCCTGGCTAATGTTTGTAGTTTTAGTAGAGACGGGGTTTCTTCATGTTGGTCAGGCTGGTCTCGAACTCCCGACCTCAGATGATCCGCCCACCTCGGCCTTCCAAAGTACTGGAATTACAGGTGTGAGCCACCACACCCGGCCCCCTTCTCCTTTTCTTTTCCTTCACATTTTGTGTTCCCCCACAGTGCTAAGTGCTCTAGAGAGAAATGTACAGTCTGGAAATGTACAGTCTGGGAAATGTACAGTCTGGGAAATGTATAGTCTAGGGAAATGTACAGTCTGGGAAATGTACAGCCTGGGGAAATGTACAGTCTGGGGAATGTACAGTCTAGGGAAATGTACAGTCTGGGAAATGTACAGTCTGGGGAAATGTACGGTCTGGGAAATGTACAGTCTAGGGAAATGTACAGTCTGGGGAAATGTACAGTCTGGGAAATGTACAGTCTGGGGAAATGTGCAGTCGGGGAAATGTGCAGTCTGGGAAACATACAGTTTGCGGAAATGTACAGTCTGGGAAATGTACAGTCTGGGGAAATGTACAGTCTGGGGAAATGTACAGTCTGGCTGAGGAGATGAGATATAGAAAAGGGGGCTGAGAAGAGTTGGAGACAGTGGATGGCTGAATGTGAAGAGTGGTGCCCACGCTGAGTTCTGAAGGGGCTCAGGATGGGTTCCAAGGGGCAGGGAGGGGGTGGGGTGGCAAATCCCCAGAAAGATCTGTTGTAACACAAACAGATGGCAAAGAATTTTTCTTCCCTAGAAGTCTGCACATTATCACTCTGATCTATAGCAGAACCTTAATAAGATCTGGCTGTTGCCCCTTCCTGCTTTGTCAGCTACACCTAAACCAATAATGATCATGATCATGATACCAAGAATAATTCTAATGCTCCTGTGGATTTTCAGATCACTTAAGTTTATAACGTGCTTTCACACCCCTGTCCTCAAATTCTCAAAATAACCCTTTAAAGGGGGGCAGCTTGCCCAGCAAGCTACTCCCCAGCCCCTACTTGTGGCAGCTTTCTTCTTACTGGAAGCCCTAAACAAAAGAATTCTGGCCTGTGGTGGCACTGTAGTCCCAGCTACTTGGGAGGCTGAGGCAGAAGGATCACTTGAACCCAGGAGTTCGAGGCTACAGTGAGATATAATTCTATGATTGCAGCACTGCACTCCAGCCTGGGTGATAGAGTGAGACCCCCCCACCTTTTTTTTGAGACGGAGTCTTGTTCTGTCGCCAGGCTAGGGTGCAGTGGCACCATCTCGGCTCACTGCAACCTCCACCTCTGGGGTTCAAGCGATCCTCCTGCCTCAGCCTCCTGAGTAGCTGGGACTACAGGCGTGCGCCACCATGCCCAGCTAATTTTTTGTATTTTTAATAGAGACAGGGTTTCACCACATTGGCCAGGATGGTCTCGATCTCTTGACCTCATGATCCGCCTGCCTCAGCCTCCCAAAGTGTTGGAATTACAGGCATGAGCCACTGTGCCCGGCCAAGACCTCCTTTCTAAGAGAGAAGAAAAAGAATAGTGGCCTTGCCAGAGAGACCAGCTGTAACTCCTGTGGCCATGGGTGGGTGGTGGGTACATGGAAGAGCACCCTCACGTACAGCACATGCGCACATGAGCAAACGGCGAATCCTATTCCATAGGAAATAATTAAGCGCTGAATCATGTGTACTGAGCTGGGAGGAGGCTGAGATCACCCAGGGATGATTCCAGAGTGTGGGGCAGGATTTGGAGACAGAGCCCTGGCCTTCCAAATAGGCCCTGGATATGAGAAAGAGGGGAGCCCAGAGAGAGACTTGGGAAGGGGCAGCCAGCCAGGCTGGGGATCTGAGAAGGGATGCGTTGATGGTACCACTAGAGTGAGGGGAGGGAGGGCAAGGTTTGAAGTCAAGGTCGGTGTGCTCCTCAGCTCCTCCAGCCTTGGTCTTCTCCTCTAGCCTTTCTGGTTCCCTGTCTTGTCTTCTGGTGCTTCCCCTCTCCCTTCATTGGACAACCCTGAGTTTCATACCTGGAGCTCACAGAGACTGCAGTGGTGCACCCTGGGAAGCTGGATGAAGCAGCGCTACCCACACTAGGATCTGCCTTCAGGGGCCCACTCTCCCACGAGGACATATGCTGGCCTCATGCTCCCAAAACTTGGGCATCACCAGGGTAGTGAAGGAGGCACATGAGGAGTTGATCAAGGGTGCGAGAAGATCCCTTCTGATACTGGGCAGTGCCCCTCCCTGGTCTTCCCCCTCTCCACCTCCCATCCATCTTACAACAACTTCCCCCATGTGCACCCTACTCTCTCCTGCTATACTTTTCAGAGTCTGCTCTTTTTTTCATTCACTCATTCATTACTCCTGCATTCATCCATTCAACCAACATTTACCAAGCACGCTCTGGGATATAAAGATGTTTTATACTGCATCCTTGTTTGCAAAGAGCTCATTATCTATTAGAGAAACGGGCACGTGCAGAGCAAAGAATAATGCCTAGAGGAGCGAGGGACAGATTCCAACCAGGCACGACCACCCTCTAAAGTGGGCAAGGCAGATACTGTTCTCACTTGAGAGGTGAGCAGACTGAGGCTCAGAGTTCTACTAAATAGCCCAAGGTCATGGTTGAGTGTGAGAAACAAAAACCCACTCACCTGACAAGCGAGTTGGCTTGTCACAAGTTCCTACCTACTTCCTTCCAGTTCTTCCTTCCCTAAAATCATCTAATTTCACATTCAGTCCTGGCCTCTGTTCATCTGCCCACTCAGGAGTGTTGGTTAAAATAATAATCCCGTATACTGACCAATAAGAATGGACGCTGGTCATAGCAATGGAGCAGGGGCCTGAGGCCCCCTGCTGGGCGGGGTGCTAATGTTTACTTGCTGAATGGTATGAGGTCCAGCAAGTCCCAGATGGTTGGAGGTTGGCCTTCCCTGGTTAGGGGCAACGACTACTTACTAACTTTAACAACCAGCCTCGGCACAGTGACATACAGCACCTAGTGATCAGTGTTGCATCCATCCACTCATCCATCTGTTCATTTACCCATGATTCCCATCCATCTGTAAACCTATCACCCCACACTGGCCCCACCCACTAGGATGCACTGAAGACTGTAGGGGAGCATCTTTGAAGTCAAAGACAAGCTTCCTTCTCCCTAGGAGCTTACGCTGGGGAGTTGGGGAGCCAGGACCGACCCATTCAAATGTTAAACAACAGCCCAAGAGGTGTCTCAGGGAAGTTCAGGACGGGTTGCCTAGTGCCTGGCATGTGCCTGAAGGGTTCAGAGCAGTTAAGATGTTGTGTATGTGGGTGAGGAAGGAGAGAGCAGGGAGGCTGTCAGGGTGCAACTAGCCTTTGAGCTGGAGCTTTGAGCAAATGATGGTAAGCCTCTCAGCTTCTCCTTGGCCCGGCCTCCTTCTCTATCCCTAATGTCCAGGTCTGAGTATTAGTTTGTTGTGGGCCTGCCTACACGCTCCCTCAGAAACCAGAGGGCAGGGACCCAGAGGTGCCGCTTACTCTGATCCTGGACTCTCTCTTGGGCACACACAATGCCTCCTACAAGGAAGGAGCCGGCCTGCTGTTGGGTTTCCAGCTCTCCCCCTCTACCTTCTCTTTCCCTCACTTTCCTTCCAGGGGCTGTCAGTTTAACGGACAGGTGTTTAATTCCAGCCTGTCAGGCGCCTGGAAATGCCAGCCTCACTGCACATCAGTTGGTGGAGTTTGCTTTTAAAAGAGTGGCAAGAAACTGAACTCTGCTATCTGCAGCTGAGCCCTCTCTCTGTCTCCATCTCATTGGCAAATGTGGTTGCACCTTTCTTGCTGTTTTCCATTGAGGCACCTGAGCTCTGGGAAGCAGAGAAGGCAAAGAGCCTCTCCAAGTGCCTCCAGTGGAGGTTGAATGCCTGAGTGCCCAGTGTGACCAGCTATGTCCTTGGCATGTGCTGGGCCTGCTTTTTAACTATTAAGTCATGCCATAGCTAAAACACACTGCTTCTGCAGCCCTGGGGCAGAGAGGCAGCTGTCAGCTTCTCCAGCCGGTGCAAGCTGCTGCTTCTTTCTGTATCCACCCTGCTCCGGTATGAGCCAGGAACTGCGTGCTCACCTCTGGCCTGGGAAATACATGGAAGCAGCCCCAGGAATCTGCCCACAGAGCTCTGGCAGCTTAGCTATAGGGGTTAGAGCATGGTCCACAGTTCACCGTGTAATGCTACCACAGAAGGACTAGCCAACCAGCTCCTCTATGAGTCTTTGGGAGAGGGTGTCAGGGCTGGAAGACCAGAGGTTAGAAAAGAGAACCTATCTTTGGAGGTTGGGGATAAAGCTTGAGGAATTGGGTCAGAAGTAGGGGCCTTTGGGGCATATCAACTAAAGCCAGAGGACAGAGTTCACAGCCCAGCTCAGGCAATGAAAGCACTTGAGTGGCATCTCAGAGGGGTGCTGGGCTCGCCCTGGCACATGGCTTCCCTCTAGTTCCTTTTCTGCCCTCCCATGCCCATTTCCCTCCTGCTTGCTTATCTATTCTTTTTGCTTTGCCATCTCCTACCTGTCCCTCACACAGACCTCCACCCACCACATACCCCAACGAGGCATCACAGTTCCTAACGAAACGGAACCACTGCCAGATGAAATATATTACTATTAAATACTTAATTCTTCTTGTGAGCAGAGAGCAGGCAGTATGAATACGATTATTAAAGAAAATTACTTTGGCTGATCAGATATTTCTGCATACTAATTTCTGACCCCTCTTCCCTCACTCCCGCTTCTTGTCCCTTAGAGACCAGGACAGATAAAATTCCATCACAAATAGCTGATTACTGAGGCTTGCATTAAAAATCACATTTTCTCCCCGCCTCTCCCTCTCTGGAGCCTTTTCTACGCTGATGTCCTTGCTTGAAGAAGGGGTGTCCCTAGATAGCAGCTACCACTGGACAACATCTAGGGAGACCCTATTTCATCCTTCTTCTCCTCTCCCCACACATTTTCTCTGATATCAGCAGATCCACTTTTCCAGCTAGTTCCCTAAATGGCCAGAGATCCTGCAAGCTCCAGGGCTCCTGCTGTCAGCTCCTAAAGCATCTCATCACAGCCTCTTGCTCCACTGTTCTGTGCTTAAGAACATGGTGGGGCTGCCCACTAACCAAGATGGTTGACTTTGCACCAGTGGGATGTCAAGATCTTAAGAGGAGAACAGGAAGTGGGATCAGACCCCACCTTAAAAGGGAGGGACTTCCTAACTGTTCAGAGCTTTTTGATTGGCTAAGCTTTAGACCTCTTTGTAAATATCTGGGGAATACAAAGTGAGGGAATTCATTCATTCACCCATTAAAATCAGCAAACTTGTGTGTGTGTAGAGATGCACATATGTAACTCCAATGTCTAACTCAAAATTACACTTAAATTTTGTATGCCTTGGTTTTCTCATCTGCAAAATGGGGATAATAGCTGTGCCTACTTCACATGATTGTTGTGAGGATTAATGAGTTAATTTACAAAAAGCATTTAGAACACTGCCTAGCACTTAACAAGTATGATGTAAGGGTCAGATATCATTACTATTATTGTTATTGTTACTATTATTACTATTGCTATATATAATTTTTAAAATGTACTCTCCACCTGCTCACGAACGACTCTTCCCCGTAATTCCCTATCAGAGAGCATTTCCCCAGGCCCCTTTCCTAGGTTCCCACTTGGCTTAGCAAGGTTCTCAGTGCCTCCTGGATCCCCTTCTCAATGACCCCTTGACCCCACTCTGAGACCTCCACCTTGGTTCCAACCACTGGTGCCAGAGCAATTACCAGGGTTCTGGCAATCAAGGGTGGTGAGGGGAGGGAGCTAAAAATACACCCATTTTCCACAGTCCCATAAGCCTTCAATTTACCTGCTTTTATAAAAAGATGCTTCCTTAGGTGTCACCAGCAGAAGGTATAATTACAGCCTGGAAATGTTAATTCCCTTGCTCCTGATATGTGGATCGTTGCTCTGCAGGGCTCCTGTCCTCCTCAGAGCCCTGGGAGGGGAGATGGGCAGGCTGTGGGAGGGAGTCAGAGTGGGAGGCAATGCCAGGCCTGAAGGCCAGCAGGGACCACCCTAAATGAGAACAGGAAGCAGTGGAGGAGGTGCCTTCTCATACCTGGCTACCCCCAGGAATCTCCCAGGCGGCTGGGGCTGGAGAAGGTGGACACTGAGCTAGAGACAGATGTGGGGAAGTGGGAACTCTAAGGCACCTGTTTCAGATCAGTGAAACTGAGCTTTATCAATGCTCCCCAGAACTCACTTACCCTTTTTTTCAAATGAGCTAGTTGTACTGTTTTCCCCTCCAGGTCACAGTGAAGTGACACCGCTTTGGGAATGCAGAGAGGACCTATAGGTCACATAGACAGTCATTCCTAATGCATTCTCCCAGTGGGCTTGAGTGTTTGCTCTGGGGCAGGTAGTGGGCCAGGGTAACAGAGATCACAGTGCAGATAGGGAGGAGATGAAGATAGTCATGGTAGGGTGTGGCCAGGGCTGTCCATAAGTAAGCAAAGGGTGATCCAGGGACCAGGACGGAGCAGCCTCACTCAGACAAGGGATCATTCTTGAGCTTTTTTTTAGATGAATTTATTTTTTCTTGAAACAGATCTCACTCTGTCACCCAGGCTGGAGTGCAATGGCGTGATCTCAGCTCACTGCAACCTCCCCTTCCCGGGTTCAAGCCATTGTCTTGCCTCAGCCTCCTGAGTAGCTGGGATTACAGGTGCCCTCCACCATGCCTGGCTAATTTCTGTATCTTTAGTAAAGATGGGGTTTCACCATGTTGGGCCAGGCTGGTCTCGAACTCTTGACCTCAGGTGATCCGCCTGCCTCAGCCTCCCAAAGTGCTGGGATTACAGGTGTGAGTCACCATGCCCAGCCCATTCTTGAGCTTTGAAGGACAAGCAGGGTGTGGCTTGCTAGTCTCCTTGCCCCCATCTGTCCCCCTTCAGTTTATCCACACATGATAGCCAGAGGGATTATCCTAAAACCTAAGAGAGATCATGTCATTCTCTGCTTAGCATCCTCTAATGGTTCCCCATTTCACTCAGAATTATCACAGTGGCCTCAAGGCCCTATTCATCCTGCCTTCCGTGCTGCAGTTTCGGCCATAGCGCTCGGTAGCACCTACTGTTGTGTATTATAGTCATCCATGGGGCAGGACTCCTCGCTGATACCAAAATCCAGGCACCTCAGGTCCCCTATATAAAATGGCATAGTATTTCTACATAACCTGTGCACATCCTCCCATATACTTTAAATCATCTTTAGATTACTTATGATAACTAATACAATATAAATGCTATGTAAATAGTTGTTGTATTGTTTAGGGAATAATAACAAGAAAAAAGTCTATACATGTTCAGTACAGGTGCAACCATTGGAAGCTTAACTACATTTTCTGTCTATGTTTGGTTGAATCCACGATGCAGATGTGGATATGAGGGGTGACTTCTTTGTTTTGTTTTAGTCTCTATCCCTCACCATGATATAAAACTCCATGAGGACAAGGATTTTTGTCTGTTTTGTTCCCAGGGTTCAGAACAGTGTCAGGCACACAGTAGGTGTTCATTAAGTGTTTGTGAATGAATGAGACCCTTCAGGAAGGATTTCCAAATACAGGGCAGAGTAAATGCAAAGTGCAGTGACATGGAAGGGCCCCATGCATTTGGGAAACTTGAGTTCCATATGCCTGGTGCATAAGATGCTGGTGGAAAAGAGGAACAGGATGAGACCAAGGCCAGTGTGGCATTTTTCTATGGAAAAGGCAGAGGAGAGCAGTGACATGGTTATATTTGTGTTTCTGGAAGATTCCATGGGCTGTTGAGAGTGGGTTAGAGCTGAGGAAAGCTGGAGGCAGAAAGACCAGGAAGGAAGCTGTGTAGGCATTCAGGGGAGAGGATGAGGCCCCTGTCCAAAGCAGGGCAGGCATGGACAGAGGTGGGTTTCTAAGAGGCATAGGGGGTCTGCAGTGAGAAGCAAGGTGCCAGGCCTCTTCCCCCTTCTCCAAAACAGGTCATCCTGCTCCCCAGCGGAACCCCACTCCCAGCCAGGCTGACACCCATTCCGAGCCTGGGAAACCCTTCCCTTCAACACTCCACCCAATCCCTTTCTCTGGCTCCCATCCCTCTGTGTCACACGGAGGTCCTCTGAATGACCACAGCATCCCTCAGTAGCCACTCCTGCCATTGCTTGTCCCCACCTGTCATGAAACATTTCATTAGGGTGTTTCTTGTGAACTTCTTGAGGGCAGGGACTGTGGTGTTTCTGTTCCAGACCTGACAGAATTGCACAGTGGTTTAGAGCCTAGGACTTTTGTCTTGGGCAATCTTGGATTTAAATTCTGAGTCTCCCACTTAGTACCTAATTGACTTTCAGTTATGTCCCCATCTGTGAAATGGGAATACAAGTTTTTTAATTTTGATTTTTACTGTTTTTTTGTTTGTTTGTTTGACAGTCTCTCTCTGTCACCCAGGCTGGAGTGCAATGGCACGATCTTGGCTCACTGCAACCTCTCTCTGCCTCCCGGGTTCAAGCGATTCTCCTGCCTCAGCCTCTGGAGTAGCTGGGATTACAGTCACACGCCACCATGCCCGGCCCAGGATTGCTCTGAGGATTAACTGAGCTAATGCATGTAATAGATATTAGCGAGATGTAAAGTGCTCTTATAAACTCTCAGAGCATCCTGTACTCCTGCGCTGCACTTCCCACGCCTGTAAATACTAAATTAACTGCATCTTTACGGCTGGCTTTCTTCCCCACTAGACTGTAAGCACCACGAGGACAGGAGCCAGCATAGCCTAGCATGATTCCTCAACATAGTCACAGTTGTTAAATAATTGTGCTGACTGAGTGGATTGCTGTATTACTAAACACTTAACACGTTTAATTCAACTGAAACTCAGCTGCTAAAGAAGAGAGAATTTTAATCAATCCAAATTGGCCATGGTTCTCCCCAGGACCCCCAGCGCTTGTGGGAGCACAGACAGAGTGGACTTCCCTAGAAGACAGCGGGCGGGGCTGCTGGGCTGGGCAGGTGGGTGGGCAGCTGTTTCAGCACACCCTTTCATAGAAGGGGAATATGGAAGTCTGAGCCTTGAAACTTTGACCTGGGCCCAGCCTAGGGCAAGGTAGGTGCAGCCTGCAGGGTGACCTGGCTGAGTCCAGAGTGAGGTGGCTGCCTTACCCCCCACACTCCTGCTTTAACTGGAAGATGCTGGGATCAGAGGGAGGGGTGGGGCTCAGCCTGCCTGACCCTCTGGGGAGCTGGCAGGCCTGAGATGCTGCAGAGCACTGCAGGTCCCAAGGCTGTATATACATAGGGCCGGGAATGTTTATTTTTCCTTATTGACTTTCTCCAAATAAACCCCTGCCCAGCAGAAAGGGGCTCCCAGCAGCAGCTGTTTACCCAGTGTTTGCGATAAAGAGGCTTCTCCATAGCAACAGGTGGCAATGTGCAGCTCTCGGGGAACATGGCAGGGCCTCGCCGCAGGGCTGTGTTTACCCAAGGGGAAAGAAAAAGGGGCAGAGGGAGATGGAAGGAAGGAGGGGAGGAAAGAAGGGAGGAAGGAAGGAAGGGAGACAGGAAGGGAGGAGAGAGGGAGGCAGACCAGGAGACTGTGGGCTTGGGAGTGAACAGGAGGGTCCAGGGAGGAAGCTCCAGAAGATGGAGTTTGGAGAGTTTCTGTCCTCAGGAAGCTTCCACTGAGAGTTCCTGGTGGGCCCAGAGGAGGGAAGGCTGTCAGGTGATGTGTGAGAAGTGCGTGCCCGGCTAGGCTGGGGTAACTCTGAGCGGGAGTACCTTGCATAGGAGCCAGGGGGCACCTGCTCAGCACAAGCCTGTGTGGCCTGGTCAGAGTGTTAGTCTAAGTCATTGTCTACTGTGTGTGTGTGTGTGTGTGTGTGTGTGTGTGTGTGTGTGTGTGTGTGTCCATTCTGCCCTGGGAGGGAGGTTTTCGTTTTCTAAGACTGCTGTAGGAGCACACAGTCTTGGTGTCTTAAAGCAACAGAAATGTATTGTGCCAACTAAAATGAGCAGCAGGGAGACCAACTCTCCAAAACAAAGGTTTATTTGGGAATAGCAGGGGATTGCAATCTGGGATATGTGTGCTATAACGGGTCATAGGCCCATAGTAGGTCCAAGGGGGTTGGGGCCAGGAGGAAGCTTTTAAAGACAAAAAGGAGAAATCGTGTAAGCAGTTTTGAAACAAAGACCATGGGTTACAGGGTCTCATAGGAATTGGCATAAGCTCTTTGGTGAAGACACCCATTGTCAGGCAAGTGTCCTGGGGCAAGTGGCTTATCTGGAATGCTGCGATTCTGAGGAATTCCTTGCATAGTTCCCATCATAGACATGTATGGATGAGGGCCCCTTCTTCATGGCCCCCTGGCTCCATTTTCTTAGGGTTTGACAGTGACTGTATTTCGATTCTAATAACTTTCACAGTTGTCTCACAGTTCTGGAGGACAGAAGTCTGAGATTAAGATGTGGCAAAGTCAGTCCCTTCTGTCGGCTCTGAGGGGACTATGCCTCTGTTCCTGGCTTCTGGACTGCTGCAATACTTGCTGAACCTTGGCTTGAAGACACCTCACCCCAATCTCTGCTCCCATCATCACATAGCATTTTCCCTATGTGTCTCTGTGGCTAAATTTCCCTCTTGTTGTAAGAACACCAGTTACTGCATTTAGAGTCCACTCCAATCCAGTATGACCTCATCTTAACTGGATTACATCTGCAAAGAGCCTATTTCCAAATAAGGTCACATTCATAGGTACCAAAGGTTAGGACTTGGCATCTTTTTGGAGGACACAGTCGTACCCACTACTGGCGGAGTTGACATGAGGGGAGGGACAGCTCTCTGTAAGGCTGGGATAATGAACCTGCTTGCAAGCCTCTCAGCAGACAGCTTCTTCATGCTCTTGCCATTCCTTCTCTTGCAAAAGAAGGCGGTGGTTCTGGGGTGAAGAAGGGGGCCCCACCCCACTGTCTCATCTAGGTGAAGTCCTCAGGCAGCGGGGAAAGGAGGACTTGAGGCATAAGGAGTGAGTTGCAGGTGACTTCGGGAACCTGGTGCCCGTGTCCATGTCTTACTAACTAGTTGTGTGACTTTGGACAAGTTACTCCTTCCCTCAGTGCCGCTGTGTCCTCATCTGTACCAATGATACCCGCCCCACAGAGTTGTCAGAATTGTGAAGCCCTTGGAACGATTCTGATACATAGCAGGCACCACCCGAAGTATGGCCATTCTCAGTATTTTCCACAAGCCTTGGTTTTTCCACTGGGAGTGCATGGAAACCCAGTTAGGAATGCCACACCAGGGTGCTGCCCATTCCTGCGGAAAGCAGTGACCCAGGCACCAAGATGGGCATGATTTGATGTGGGCATGGCCCTGGCGGAGGAGTCTGTCCCAGAGACCTGGTGTGGGTGAGGACATCAGTGGGAGATCTTCAAGCTGGAAGCAGGGCACTCCTGCCCAAGCAGGCAGATGCACACCGGCACCCCACTCCAACTCACCCAGTGTGCTCAACCCCGAGACTCAGCAGCTGAGTGTGTGAAGGGAGTCAGCGACCAGATTGAAAGCACACACACACGTACACACTTGCATACATACAACTCACAGATATAGATGCTTGCACACTTCACAGAAATACACACACCTCACAGACACACATACCTTATAGACACACACCTTATACACACAGCTCACAGACACACACACGGCTCACAGACACACACCTCATGGGTACACGTACCTCATAGACACACAGCTCACAGATGCACACACAGGCATATCTCACACACACACATACTTTATAGACACACACCTCACACACACAGCTCACAGACACACACCTCATGGATACACACACACAGACTTTATAGACGCACAACTCTCACACACAGCTCACAGACATACACCTCATGAATACACACACACACACTTTATAGACACACACCTCACGCACACAGCTCATAGACACACACCTCATGGATACACGTACCTCATGGACACACAGCTCACAGATGCACACACAGTTCACAGACACGCATACCTCACAGACACACATACTTTATAGACACACACCTCACACATACCTCACACACACGGCTCACAGACACACACCTCATGGATACACACATACCTCACACATATACATTTCACACACACACCTCACACACACGTCTCACAGACACACATCACAGACACACACATCTTATGCACATACCCATCACAGACATGTACACACCTCACACACTTCACACACACACACCTCACACACAGACCTCACAGACATGTCGTACAACTCACACATACCCTTCACATACACACGCACCTCACACACACACATTTCACACACAGACACACACACACACCTCACAGACATTCCCCGCCCACCACACATACGCACAGATGCAGACTTCAGCCACGTAAGAACCCATCTCTAGCCCGATGGGTCCCAAGAGTCCACACAGCACAGCAAAGCTCAAACGTATTTGTTCATGCGCCAATCTTTCTTGAACACCTACTCTGGGCTAGGCGCTGTTGGAGGAATGGCCGGAGACGAAACATGAAGATTTCATTTTCGTCAGGGGGACAGATGTAAGAAAAATGAATAAGCAAATTATATTGTACATTACAGGGAATTTAGTGCTATGGAGAAAAGTGAAGGAGGAAAAGGGATTGTCGGGAGGCTGTAATTTAAAATGCATCCTTCACGCCTTCCTAGGGTCCCCTTTTCCGACAACCCAAGGCCAAGATGTGAGCTGAAGGCCCGCAGGCCCCAGTCTAAGCCACTCTCCTCTGAGTGGGATGGGCTGGGGACAGCAGCCAGAGTTGGACATTTGCCTGGTGCCTGCTGGACTGGCTCCTGCAGCTTCTGTCAGGGTCCCCAGGAGCTGGCGTCCCTGCAGCGGGGCGGGCAGGCACCCCCCAGAGATCTGTTGCTCTCTAACTACAGTGTGTCACCCTCCTCGTTAACTATTCTCATCCTCATTACAGGGAAATGTCCTCGCACTCAAACACAACCACCACGCAGCGCAGTTCCATAGCCCCGCGGAGAGACAGGACATTTTTCTGGAGCTGCTGGAGAGAACAGTCAGAGAAGCCTGGGGAGGAAGAGTTGATGCCTTCTGGAGTTTCTTGTGGCGGGTGGTGGGTGGTGGGGGGAGCCCTTTCCGGGTGTCAACTTTTTCTTTCCTCTCTTCCCCCAGCTCCTGTTTTCATCCTTACCAATGAGAATTCAGCTAATTGTTTACTCCAGGCTTGTGCCTGTCACCAACTAACCCAGGAGGCCCTCAGAGCCAAGCCCTGCCCTTTGCCTCATTCTTTGTAACTGGACACCTGCAAGAGTGCTGGGCACACAGTAGGTGCTCCATAAATGCTACTCAAATGGATAAGTAGGATAAATAAATGCAGAGTTTGGTAGTTCAAGGTTGGGCGCAGTGGCTCACGCCTGTAATCTCAGCACTTTGGGAGGCCAAGGCAGGCAGATCGCCTGAGGTCAGGAGTTTGAGACCAGCCTGGCCAACATGGTGAACCCCCCACTCTACTAAAAATGCAAAAGTTAGCGGGTGTGGTGGGCACCTGTAATCCCAGCTATTTAGGAGGCTGAGGCAGGAGAATCGCTTGAACCCGGGAGACGGAGGTTTCAGTGAGCCAGACTGCACCATTGCACTCCAGCCTGGGCAACAAGAGTAAAACTCTGTCTCAAAAAAAAAAAGAAAAGAAAAAAGAGTTTGATAGTGCAGAAGTGTGGCCTATTGCCTGAGGCCCACAGGTGGTGCAGTGGGACCCAGGAAGGGTGAGAGAGAGACAGGAGCTTCCCCATCCCTCCCTCAAGCAGCTGAGCTCATCTGGAATCATAGTCCTTGGAGTTCCACCATTATAGAATCTTTCCTTTGTGCTAATGATGACCTCTTCCTCCCAGGGCTCTCATTTAAAAGACAAATGTACTCCATAATGTATTTGGTGATCTGTGGTGTGGTGTGAAATGACCTGAGGCAAGTCCTTGAACTCTCCTGGGCCTCAGTGGCCTGGTCTGTCTAGTGGGGACATGACTCAGACCTACCCCAGGGTTGCTGCCCTGGTTCCATACTTTTCCATGTATTACCTCCCTCTGCGGAGCTAAGTCCCCATCCTAGGGGCTGCTCAGTGAATGGTGGATCATGTCAATATGTGAGGCAGGCAAGTGTGTCCTCTGACAGGACGTGTCACTGAGGTGATACCGGATGAAGGAAGAATCTGCTTGACTGATCCTTTTCCCCAGGGCTGGCTGGCCTTGGCTTTGTGGAAGAGACTGGGGTAGGTAGGGGTGGGTCTGGAAGGCAGGAGAGAGGAGAGCGGGGGGACTTAAAACCTCAGTCATGGGCTTGGCTCCTGTGAAGACAAGGCTAGGGCCAGCATCTGGGTGACTGGCAGGGAGAAGTGGGAAGGTGAGGAACGGCGGGGACCAGCAGGTTTACTTCCCGCCGCAAGCGATGAGCACAAGGGAGACAGCTAGAGAACAGAGCCCTCAGAAAGTTTCCAGCACATTCCTGCTAAAATTAGCCCCAGCTTGCATACGCAACTCTATATTTAAACCAGCGGCCTGTCAGAGTCACTGTGTTGTGCCGCCAGCACACGCCTGCGGGTTTGGGGCCCGGTGCCGAAGCAGGGGTGCAGGCAGCATCCCAGGGCCTGAGCGAGCCGCCCTCTGCCTACCCACGCCTGCTTGTGGAGAGTCACCCGGGGGTGCATGAGTGGGCGGGCGTAAGTGTTGCTCCCAGACAGTATGTGAGGCCTCCTGCCTCTTGTCCCCGCTCCAGGGGCAGAGCCCCAGCAGGACAGACGGACACAAACACAGGTACCGATACAGCCACATGCAGAAGGGACAGGGCAGACAGGTGTAAAGAACACTCTGGGAGAAAAGGGAGGAGAAAGAAGACAGCGATGGAGAGAGGGGAGAGGGCAGAACGAATAAGCATCTGTGGAAAAGGCAGGAGGGAGGGAAACAGATTCAAAGACAGCTTGACACGCAGGTGGTATGCCCCACACTTGGGCTGTCCAGGAGATGGCGTGGGGGTGGGGTCTCAAGGGGAGCTCAGCCTCTCGAAAGAGCCTTAGCCTTCTGACCACCAAGCCACCCACACTCACACTCTCTAAGGGCGAGGGGAGCCCAAGCTGCTCCCCTGCTTCCCTGCCTGCTGCCCGGCCCTCTCTAGGGAAAGCACTGGCTGATAAGAAGCCACATTTTACCCGAGGCTTGGAACATTAACTTCGACACTGAAAAGGGGATGTTTTATTACCCAGGAATATTTCTGCATCTCTTCAGAGATCTTGCTCGGCCCCCACCCCAGCAGCAAGCCTCTTTTGACAATTAAACCCAGCTCTCTCTGGTTAATCCTAATGATCTAGCCCTGTGTAGGCCCCAAAGAGGGGATTTTATACGTGGGCAAGTGTCTCCTTTATCCTGTGTGGCTGACCCCTCTCCCTTGCCTACCATTTTGTGTGAGTGCATGTGTGTGTGTGTGTGTGTGTGTGCGCGCGCTGCCGTGTGCATGTGCGCATGCTGCGGACAGGTGGGGCGATCCCTGGGCCCTCCCACCAGGCCCTTCCTGCGGCTCTATTCCCCTTTGGTTGCGGACCTGCAAGGATCCTCAGAGAGCAATCAGTCTCCGATAAAATGACAGATGGGACAACTGAGTCTCAGAGAAGGAGCGTGACTAGCCCAGGATCACTCAGGGAGTTCACGGCTGATCTGGGCCTGAATCCCTTTTTCCGTACTTTCCCGTGTGTTATTCCCCTTCTGCAGAGCTAAGTCCCCATCCTCCTTAGTGTGTGCCTAGCTTGGACATCCCTTCTCTTTGAGACCCAGTTCTAACTTCCAGGCAGGGTGAACAACTGTCCTGGTTTTCCTGTGACTGCCCTGGTTTCAGTATTGCAAGTCTGAAGCTCAGCACCGGAAGCTAGGATGGTTGACCGCCCGATTTCCAGGTCAAAAGGATGACTCCTCTTCATGGGCTCCCAGAAATATTCAATGATAATGCCTAACATTTGCTGACCCTCTCTACATGTTAAGCACTGCTGTTCTAAGCCCTTAACACAGATTCATTCATTTAATTATCTCAATAACACTTTGAGGTGGACACTGTTGACCCATTTTACAGATGATAAAAGGGAGATAGATAGAAAGAAGTAAGACAGCACACCTAGCTGAGAAGGGGAGAGGCAGGATTTAAACCTGAGTGCTTGGGTCCCAGGAGAAGCACTCTTAGCCACTAGGCTATCCGATCCTCTCTTAGAGAATGCCTGTTGCGGTTAGTACATAAGGCTGTCTCCTTGCTCAACCAAACTCAGCAGGGCAAAGTCCCATGTGTCCTTAACCTCTGTGCCTGGCACAGTGCCAGGTGTGTGATAAGCACTAAGCATAATTTTGTTGACTGGGTCCATGCCTGGCCTGCCCTCCACTCGGCTGGCACTCATTCCTTTCCCTTGTCCCATACCCTGGGCCTGTCATCTAGAGGGCCCCTTCTCAGCCATCTTCTTTGCTCCTGTTTGGCATCTTCTCAGCTCCTTAGCCCTATATTCCAGTGTCTTGAAAGAATCTGCTTTCTTGTGAGCCAACAAAGTTCAGAAGAAACCCATGCACGTGTTCTGAGAGGTTCCAGACTGAGTCTTTGGCCTGAGGCCAACCCAGCCCCGCCCTCTCTGCATGGCCCCAAGATAGGAGTGCCCCAGATTCTAGCAGCAAGACCCTGTTGGCGACCTCTGGCTTCTGGGGCCTCTGTTTCAGCCACCCTGCTCCCGTGTGGGTGCAGCCCCCACACAGGGTTATGGGTGGTACAACTCTTGCGGTTTACTCTGTTTCCAGAAACCCTTAGTGAAATTACAGCTTTAATTAAATACAGCTGGCTGTATGTTATACTCTGTATAATTATCACTTAGACAAAAGTTCAAACAAAGTTTATTGTAAATTCTATTTGACAGAAACAACTGGAAGAGCTGAGGGCTATTGGCCTGCCTGAGTGACAGAGAGGTGGAGCCACTGCTGCTCAGTGGGAATGGAAAGAAGGAGCCCTCTGAGGGATACAGGTGTGCATGGGGCATTTGGGAAGACAGCACCCTGGATCCAGGTCAGACTAGGTTGCCATGTGATACTGGACAAGTCCCTGCCCCATCTCTAGGGCTCAGTTCCCTTCCCTGGGGTAGAGAGGTTTCATTTCTCTTGCAGATATTGACTGAGAGCTACTATGTGTCAGGCACTGTTGTAGGCCCTGGAGCTCGGTGGCCAACCAAGCAGATAAAAGTCCTGACTTCAGCTGGGCTCAGTGGCTCAAGCCTGTAATCCCAGCACTTTGGGAGGCTGAGGCGGATGGATCACCTGAGGTCAGGAGTTCGAGACCAGCCTGGCCAACATAGTGAAACCCCATCTCTACTAAAAATACAAAACATTAGCTGGGCATGGTGGTGCATGCCTGTAATCCCAGCTACTGGGGAGGCTGAGACAGAATTGCTTGAACCCAGAAGGCAGAGGTTGCAGTAAGCCGAGATCGCATCATTGCACTTCAGCCTGGCCAACAGAGCCAGACTCTGTCTCAAGGAAAAAAAAAAAAAAAAAAAAAAAGTCCTGATCTCATGGAAGCTTAAAGGCAACCAATTCATGCATAAATAAATGTGTAATATAATGTCAGGTAGCAATGAGTAACCTGAGGAAAAATAAATCAGGGTAAGGCGAGAGAAAGGGATAATGGAAGGGTGAGGAGCACTATTTCAGGAAAGGAACATGAAAGGTGACATGAAGCAGGGATCTGAAGAAAGTGAAGGAGTTAGCTGTGGTAAAATAAGGAGGAAAAACACTCCAGGCAGAGGGAGGAGCCTGTGCAAAGGCCCTGAGGCAAGAACCCATTCAGCATGTTCAAGAAAGGGCAAGGAGGCCAGAGTGCTTGCAGTAGGAGAAGGGAAGAAAAAAGTGGTAGAAGATGAGGTCTGAGGGGGGAGTGGAGCACAGAGCATGTAAGACCTGGCAGGCCTTAGAGAGGACTTTAGATTTTATTCAAAATGTGATAGAAGGCCACTGTGAGGTTAAGAGAAGGAGAGTGACATCATGATCTGATTAGGATTAGATTCAAAGTAGGATCACTAAAGCCCCTCCCAACTCTGACTTGCCCTGACTCTAATGCCCATTGCTGAGGAACAAACCACCTCAAAACTTAGTTGCTTAAAACAAAAAATTTATTATTAACTCTCACAGTTCTGTGGGTTGACTTGTTCCAGCTAGGCAGTTCTTGCTTGGGGTATCTCACCTGGTTCCCAGGTAGTAGCTGGAATGGAGTTGCTTGAAGGCTGGATTGGGTGGGATGTCCAGGCTCTTCTTCACTAACATACCTAGCATTTTAGCTGGGGTAGATGGAACAGCTGGGTGCTTGGCCAAGCATCACTTTCTCTTTCTTCCTGGCCCCTCCACATGGCTAGCTTGAGCTTCCTCACGGCATGCTGGGCTATGGCGAGTTGGACTTCCTATATGGTGTGTGACAGGGACCCTATCAAGAGACCCAGGCAGAAGCTGCAAGGTCTAGCATTAGAAGTCACACAGTGTCTGGCCGGGCACGATGGCTCATGCCTGTAATCCCAGCACTTTGGGAGACCAAGGCGGGCAGATCACGAGGTCAGGAGATCGAGACCATCCTGGCTAATGGGGTGAAACCCCGTCTCTACTAAAAATACAAAACATTAGCTGGGTGTGGTGGCATGCGTCTGTAGTCCCAGCTATTCGGGAGGCTGAGGCAAGAGAATCGCTTGAACCTGGGAGGCGGAGGTTGCACTGAGCTGAGATTGCGCCACTGCACTCCAGCTTGGGCGACAGAGTGAGATTCCGTCTCAAAAAAAAAAAAAAAAAATCACACAGTGCCACTTTTGCCACATTCTATTGGTTACCCTGGGCTGTCCCAGATTTGACATGAGAGGGGTCAGTCCTACACAAGAGTATATATTTGAGGAGGTGTGATTCATGTTGAGGTCATCGTTGGAGACAAGCTGCTATAGATACCCACTAGAAAAGCCAGATAAATAATAATAGCGACTATTCATTGAGAGCCTACTATGGGCTGGGCACTGTTCTGGTTTCCATATTTTAATTCATTTAATCTTCATATCAACCTCATGAGGTGGGTACTATTGTTAGCCCCACTTTACAGATGGGACGTCTGAGGCACAGAGAGGTAAGCATCTTGCCAAAAGTCACACAGCTAGTGAGTGGGAGCTGAGATTGAACCCACGCTGTCTGGCTCCAGAGTCTTTGCTCCACCAGACTCAAGTTTCCTTGGCTGCTCCAAGAGAGACACTCCAAAACAGCTGGAGACAGAGGGACCCTTCCCTGGTATCCCCAACTTCCCTCATCAGGGCATAGTGGGTGTCTTTGATTGAATTGGTTTGCTGAAATGCACAGCCTAAGGGAATTTTTCCAGGTGTGAAAGGAGAAGGCTTTCTGAGCCCGTTGCCCAAAATACATCCACAGCCCTTGAACTTGGTACGTACAATCACAGGTCCATGACACTTTTTTTTCTTTATTTCTTATTTCTTCTTCTTTTTTTGTTTTTGAGATGGAGTTTTGCTCTTGTTGCCCAGGCTGGAGTGCAATGGCGCGATCTTGGCTCACTGCAACCTCTGCCTCCCGGGTTCAAGCGATTTGCCCGCCTCGGCCTCCTGAGTAGCTGGGATTACAAGCACCCACCACTACGCCTGGCTAATTTTTTGTATTTTTAGTAGAAACAGAGTTTCACTATGTTGGCCAGGCTGGTCTTGAACTCCTGACCTTCAGGTGATCCACCCGCCTCAGCCTCCCAAAGTGCTGGGATTACAGATGTGAGCCACTATGCCCAGCAACACTTTTGAATGGAAAGGAATCTTCAAAATCAAGCCAGGTGTGGTGGCATGAACCTATAGTGCATGCCCACTACGGGGGCTAGTTCAGAGTAGCCCCAGCTACTCTGGATGCTGAGGTGAGAGGCTTGCTTGAGCCCAGGAGTTCAAGACCAGACTGGGCAACATAGTGAGATCCTGTCTCAAGACGAAAAAAGAAAAAAAAAAAGCCCAAATTGTATGGTATGGACATGAGAACCGAAATTGAGAGAGTCAGGGACTTGCTCAGGGTCACCACATTAACTTGGCAGTGCCAGGGACTTGCTCAGGGTCACCACATTAACTTGGCAGTGCATCAGTAGGATTTGCCCCATGACCATACGTGGGTGGGGTCCTCACTGAGGTCTGTGCGGGTGGAAACTCCAGTACAGGGCAGGGCTGGAGTGGTAGCCCCAGCACCTCTCTGCTCCAAACTCAGGCCACGTGGTGTGCATGGCCCTGCGCCTAAGCGTGTGCAACTGCGTCAGAGCTCTGAGCTGGAGAAGGCAGGCATGAGCTTGGGGTGCAGTGGCACCCCATGATTCTTATTCCAGGCATGGGGTTTCTGAAAATATGCTGGTAGGAGCAGGGAATGAAAAGGGTTGGGTCTGCCATTTCCAAATCCATGGGCTTCTGCAAGGGACTGGGTCCCATACTGACTAAGTCCAGAGTGACTATAAGATCGATGTTGAACCCCAGCTCTCCATGGGGGTTGAGGAGGTTGGGTGAGCTTGGATGGGCCTGCCATGTTTTTTCCCCCCAGGATCTCAAACCCGTGGCTGTCCTGGTTTGGAGACAGGGGCAGACTGTTCTGGTCTCCAGGCCGCCGCTGTGGACCTGCTGTTTTTCCTCCTTCTGGGCCCATCACCTGGCTCGGAGCATGGAGCAGGTTGCTAACTTCTGCTGACACTGGCAGGGGCAGCCGCTCCCAGCCTGATACCTCATGGCAGCCACACTTGCACAAATCTTTAATTGTTTAGTTTAAAGAATTGTGTTTTGACCGCGAGGGGATTTTGGCTGGAGCTCAAGAAGTGATAATGATATTTCGCTGCCAAGACGTCTCCTTGGCTCTCTGTGTGTTAATGTGCACTTTCAAGACGCTCCAATTAACTGCATCAGCTCTCAGGGAGAGAAAGGGAGAGGGAGCGGGCAGGAGAGAGAAGGGAAGGAGAACACTGGCGATGATTGGGAGGAGGCGATGGAGAGGAAAAGAGACAGCCCACCCCCCCAATCTTTTTACTAGCAAACAAATTGGGGGGGATGGGTGACAAAGTTTTGAAGATGAGCTCCAAGTGAAGTGGTGTCTCATGCTTTGGAGGGGGAGACATTGATGAGACAGGGAAAAGTCTTGAGGTCAGGTGCCCTGGCCCAATAGGAGGCCTCGAGGGCACCTCCTTGCCAGGAGTTCTCCAGGTGGACCTGTTTTCAGTTGTCTCCACCCTGATCTCCCACCTCTATCCAAGTCCTCCACGCAGGCCTCTGCCTACATGCCTTCAGTTTCCCCAACACTCAGAGACGGGAGACAGAGCTAGTGCAGACCTCTGCTCTGATTCTAATCCAACC
The DNA here is from genome assembly GCF_000001405.40 of Homo sapiens. Lineage (NCBI taxonomy): Eukaryota > Metazoa > Chordata > Mammalia > Primates > Hominidae > Homo > Homo sapiens. Next base: position 41,444,881 of record NC_000006.12, on the reverse strand, counting down.
CTGCTCTCAGCCCATCACCACTCTGGCCTCTTCTCTCCTCCCTACTCTCCTCACCTTCTTCCCAGCTACACTAATCTTTTAGCTGTTCCTTGAACGAGCTGGGCGTACTTACACACGCCAGGGATTTTGCATTTGCTGTTCCCTCTGCTTAGAATGCTCTTCACCAAGATATTTACTCGGCTGGCTTCCCTAACCCCTTGAGGTTTTGACTCAGATGTCACCTTCTCAGTGAGCCCATGTTTAAAATTGCAATGCGTGCCCTATTACTCCCTAACCCCCTTCCCAGCTTTGTCTCTATAGCATTGACATACAATTTATTCTCCCATTTACTTTATTATCTGCTTCCACCACTGGCATGTCACCTCTGAGGGGGCAGAGTTTTGTGTTGTACTCACTGTTATATGTTATTTCCAGCAAGTAGAACAGAGCCTGGTATATGGGAGGTCCTCGATTAATATTTGTTGATTGCTAACAGAATGAACTCCGGACTTACCATTATGCCTTGTACCAACACATTTCCCTACCTTGAATCCTAACTCCAACTCCACATCCACCCTAACCCCACCTCCCATGACTCTTTCTTTACCCTCAAATCTCACTCACTCTCTTACCCCGGATTCAACCAGCTCTAGCCCTGCCCTTCACCTCTGCCGTTGCCCGTGCCCCCACCAATAAAATCTTGACCTCTTCCCCTGTGCAGTTGGCTCCTTCTTAATTAAATGTCCTCTGCCCTCCCTGGAAGCCTTGAGCTCCCATGTGCTTTGAGATTCTGCTTCCATCCTAGGCCTGGAAGCAGCCCAGGGAGGGAGGAGGGCTCCCCCATTGAAAATCTCAACAGGGGCCATCCCAGGCTGCGGATCTCCAGGGATTTCCTGGACTCCTTCCTCCACTCCCACTCACGCTGGCCCCAGGGATCCTCAGTTGTTAGAAGAGCTGTGGAGAGGGATTCTGGGCAGGCGCTGTCTCAGACCAGAGTGGCTGTGGGAGGCTCCTCCCTGGTTAGTTTACTTTACACCCCCTCCGAAAGCGAGGACTCCCTCGTCTCCCCTGATCTCTGTCTGCTCCCAACTCAAGCATGAAAATGACTTTTCCACATGCTGGGCCTTCCCCCATCCCCTCGCACACACTCACACTATGCTCAGAAGCTTCCAGAATCCCAAACCCGCCCCAAAGCTGCCACTTTGCAAAGGCTTCCTCTAAAGCCACATCTGTCCCAGAGAGACCCCCGAAAGTGGAGGAAAGGGGTCGGCTGGCTGGAGTTGGGGCCCGGAGGCTGCCCAGATCAGGAGGAATGGGTGAGGGCTGAGGTCCCAACGGGATGGTCAGAACCCTCTCCCCGCACCTCCCTCCTGCTTTTACCCCCACCCTCCCGCTTCCCCTCCCCCCCCCACCCCTCCCCTTCTCGTACCCTTCAGGCCTCCGAGGGAGGGTCAGCTCTGCCGGCTCAAGTTACAAGAACTTGAAGACAGGAAGATTTAGCGAGGGAGCCGCGGCCAAGCACAGTGCGCTGTTTGTCCGCCTTTGAAACCAGAGGCTGCGAGGCGGGGGTAGGGGGCAGGCGGGAGGCCGCGGGACACTAGGGTGAATTATCGCTCCTTTCGGGTTCTGACTTCGAAGGCTCTGGCCGCCCTCCCCCAGCCCCAGCTCCTGTTTCTCCAGGTGCTGGGGTGTTTTCCTACGTGTTAATTTGCCCCAGTTGACGCGCCCATTCTTGGCCCCCGGCCCCCCAAGGGGAGACCAGCCCGCCCTGGGGTGGGTCAGGAGGGGCCTTGGGGGTGGAGAGACGCGTGAGGTGCGGCCCGAGCCCTCAGGGTCTAGCCCCGGGGCTGGGAGGGACAAGAGACGGGGTGGGAAGTGTGCGTTTGGAGTGGGTGGGTGTTAGAACAGACTGTACATTGTCCTCTCCAGGCCGGCGCCCCCTCCCCACAGCCCCGGCGAGTTCCTGGACGGGCGCGCGCAAGCACAGCGACCCCTACCGGCTCCTCCACTCTCCCCAGCCACCTCCTCCAGGAAGCTCGCTCGGGCTTCCGGGACCTGGAAGAGTCCTGTAGAGACTGTCTGAGAGATGCTTTTGGCCTCCCAGACATTTTGTCCTTGGGTCCTCACTAATACATCACGAGGTCAGTTTGGCTTCTAGGTCTATGACTTTTAGAGACCACATTTTAGAGTGGGAAACAGGCTCTGAGAGGCTCGGCAGCTTGCCCAAGTCCACACAACTACTGAGAAGCAAGGTTGGGATATGAACTAGGTTTTCTGAGCTCCATGATCTTTCCCCTGGTGCATGCTGGAAGGAGAGGGGAGCACAGAGTGGGTGTTGGGGTGGGGTGGCAAACTCACCCATGGGCAGGGGAGGTGCCCAGCAGCCTGGAAGGCTCTGAGGAATACCAGGGACCAGCCTGGCCTTGCCCTTTGACCTGCGTACTCGGTGTTCATTGCTCCCCTCCCAGGCTGGGCTGGGGCCAGGACCTGAGGTTTGGGGTAGGGTCTACCCCCAGCCCCAGCTAACCCTCAGGGTGGCCCCTGTGGGGATGCCCATACCTCCCTACTTCCTCTCCTCCTACAGTCCCTGCCCTGCAGGCCTGAGGCCCAAGTAGGGGGGCAAATTCCTATTAATTAGGCCTAGGAGTCGAAGGCTGCGGATTAGAGAGGGGCTTGTTCCCCTGCAAAAAGCCAAAAGCTGGCAGTACAAAGGGTCTCCTAGTGACAGGGCCTTTTCCCACTCCTCTTCCTGGGCTGGGTAGGGGTGCGGGTAGGAGGCCAGGGCTGGACTATGAGAGGGAGGAGGGAGGGGAGCCATTTCTGCTGACGGTTCTCCCTCTCAGGCCCGCTCTGCCTTGACCAGTCAGACAAGGGCCTGTGCCCTCTCCACCTCCAGGCTTCTCACCCTGACGCTTGCTCACCCCCCTCCTTCCCTCCTTCCTGGCTGAGGCCCCTCTCACCTTTCCTTCTCTTCCAAAGACTGATAGAACCACATCCCCAGGCAAGCCCCTATTTGTCTGTGGGGGGCACTGATGCACCCCCTTCCCATACTGCCCCTCCTCTTTCCCTCTTACCGCACATGCCTCAGCCCTTAAGAGCCCTGTCAGGTGAGGGGATGTGGGCAGGCAGGTCAGGGACAGGAAATGGTTACCTCCCTTCCTTGCCCCAAATTTCCAACCTTCTGAGCATAGACCTGTAATAGACAAGGAAAGAAGACAGGCATTCAGAATTTGGGGTGGTCACATCTTCCCATCAACCTGTCTGTCCATCTTCTCCCTTCACCACCGCCGACTGGAAGCCAGGGCTCAGTCCCTGCCCAAGACCAAACCCCGCGTCCTCTCCCCAACACACACCTTGCCCTTACCCTCCCAGACTTTCTGACTTTTGAGGCCCTGTTCCTTACCTCTTGCTCCTGGCAGAACCCCAGGGTAGAAGGGCAAGAAGGGTATCAAGGAAGGGGTGGGCACACTACAGCGGGGGAGGGTTCAAAGCCCTTCTCACAGCCCCTCTTGGTGGCTTGGTGTAATTTAACTGGATCAGACAGCCCTGGATTTGAATCCCACCTTACCACTCACTACTGTGGTCCTGGGCAAATTATTTAGCCTCTCTGGGGCATGGTTTCTCATTTGGAAAAGAATCTTGTCTTTTGCTAATCTATCCTTGCAGTTGGTTGTGAGGGCAAGCTGCACCCGGTACGTAGTAGGTGCTTTAGAAATGACGCTGTATCCCAGGCTTGTTGGCTAGTGAGAGCTCGTGTGGGCACTGGGGAACGCAGAAGGAAGAGAGGAGGCAGAGTTTCTGGGTGGGATAGCACCCAGCACTCCTGATGCTAGGGGCTCTGAAGAACTCTGGGTTTGTGCAGGGCATGGCTGGAGATGCTAATTAAATAGTCAGCAGCATCTTCACTGAGTTCCAGTGGTTTCCCTGGCAATCAGTTAGGCGTGATGGAAGATAGAGAAAGGTTCATCACTGATCCAATAGATTTTTTAAACACCTTCTATGGGTCAAGGCCTATGTTGGACCAATTGTGCCAGGGGAGATGGCCTGTCTTCATCATGTTTATGTTCTAATAAAGTGACACAGACAGAAAGAAAGTCAGTGGACGTGAAAGAACACTGCAAAAATAATGGCAAGTAACTCTAAGCAAAAGGAAGAAAATTAACAAAGGGCTGACTGAGCTGGGTGGCCACCCAGGAGGATGCCATGTAGATGTGAGCTCTACAGGATGAGAAAGGGCTGGGAATAGGCCAGGTGCAGTGGCTCACACCTGTAATCCCAGCAATTTGGGAGGCTGAGGCGGGCGAATCACCTGAGGTCAGGAGTTTAAGACCAGCCTAGCTAACATGGGGAAACTCCATCTTTACCAAAAATACAAAAATTAGCCAGGTATGGAGGCATGCGCCTATAATCCCAGCAACTTGGGTGGCTGAGGTATGAGAATCCCTTGAACCCAGGAGGCGGAGGTTGCAGTGAGCCAAGATCATGCCACTGCACTCTAGCCTGGGTGACAGAGTGAGATTCTATCTCAAAAAAAAGATAAAGGGTTGGGAGCAGCCTGACAGGCAGAGGGGCAGAAGATGTAGGGCTAGAGCCAGTGAGGCAGGAGAGATCTTGGCCGGTTTGCAGAACTGAAAAAAAAAAAAAAAACAAAACCAAAAAACCCCCAAACCCTGGTGAGGCAATGATTGCAGGAAATGAGGGGAGAGTGGCAAGTCAGGAAGTGGGAGAGGTGGCAGGAGACTAGAGGCCATGTTGTGTGCTGTCAGCCCAGTCTAAAAAAAAAAAATTATATATATATATGGATTTGACCAAGCAGGACTGGCTAGTGGGTTGGAGATGTGGGGCGAGGAGAAGGGAGGAATTGAAGAGGACACGTTTGCTTTGGGCTGGAGTGTTTTGGCAAATGTGGTGCCATTTCCCGAGGGGGAAGCATGAGGGAGGAACACCAGAACGCTGCTTTGGTGGGAGGTGAACAGCTGGAGAAATGAATTGGGCGAGAAGATTAGGGCTGGAGATAAAATCTTAGTGTCTGGAGCCATATGGAGTCTTTAAATCCGTGGTCATGGATGAGACCACCTGGGGAAGGTGTGTATTGGGAACAGACTGGCAAGGTGGCTCACTTCTGTAATCCCAGCACTTTGGAAGGCCGAGGTGGGAGGATCACCACAGGCCAGGAGTTTGGGACCAGCCTGGGCAACATAGTGAGACCCCTATCTCTACAAAAAGTAAAAAGAGAGAGAGAGAGAGAGAGAAACAAAGGGTTCAGCCTGGGCCAGGAGGAAGACCTAGAACTATAGCAAGGAGAGGCCAGCAACAACAAGTGAGGAGTGTGTGGGGCTGGGAGGTAGGAGGGGCTGGCAGAAGGCCATGGGAGCTAGGAGAGGAGATGGTTTCAGGGGGCACCTCCAAACATGGCTAAGGCTGCTGGGAAGGGCAGAAAGTCAAGGACAGGAAAATGACTGTAGGTCTTGACCATATGGAGGTGGTTTCTGCAGAGCATGTCATGATTGAGTGCTGTGGCTGCAAGTTCAATGGCAGGAAGGAAAGCTCTCTCTAGCTGCAGCTATGGGGAAGAATTCCTGGGAGAGGCTCCCCGAGGGAGTAGAGGGTGAGAGGTTGAGTTGTGTTTCTTCCTCTGCCTTAAACCCTTTGCTACATGCACCCTCTCCCCCTGCTTCCTCAACACCCCAAATCCTGCAGTACCAACCATTCCAGTTGCAGCAGCAACTGCTAGCCAACCCCAGTATCCATTCTCTTCATCTTCCTTAGTAATAGAATCACTAATTCTGCTGTGCATGTGCCCACTCAGAATAAAGACTGTATTCTCTGGCCTCCTCTGTAGCTAGGCATGGCTATGAGACAGGGTTTTGGCTCATGACATGTCAATGGAAGTATGTAGGGCTTCCAGGGAATCTTAAATGGAAGGAGAATCCTTCAAGGTTCCTTTTTGCTGCTGACTGGAATGTAGATCTGATAGCTGGAGCGTTAGCAGCCCTGTTGAATCATAAGGTGGAAGCTATGTACTGAGGAAGACAGGGCAAAGTAACAGAAGGAGCCTGGAATTCTGATGACTTTGTGAATCTGCCCACCCTTCTTTGAGCTTCCCATATATGAAATTTCTGCATGTGTCAGAGAAATAAACTTTCATCTTTTATAAGTAATTGTTATCTTAGATTTTCGGACACTTGGAAAAACCTAATCCTCACTGAAATACTAGCAAAGCAGAGATTTCCTGGGAGCAGAGGGAGAACAGGGAGTCACGGCACCCTCTCACTTGGGCTTTAAGAAGTGTATAGCCCTGACCGTAAAGAACAGGGCCAAGACCGTACTCAGCTCCTCAGACACTGGTTCTCTGGAGGGCTCAGGAGCAGCCTGGGAGCCTGCCCTGGAGGTTGGTGACCAAAGGGTCTGGTCAGTCAGGACTTGAGAAGCGCACCCAATGTGCCCATTATCCCATTTGCCCCTTACCTCCAGCCCAGTCTGCTCCTTACCCATCTCCACTCTGCTGTAAGCCGAGGGAGGCTGAGCCCTCTGGCTTGTTTTTGGGTTTGGCCAATGTGAATAAGCAACTGGGGTGGGAGAGAGGGAGGAGAGGCTCAGCCCTAGGTCTCTCCAAGACTGCAGCTGCTGCAGGCAGCCCCTTTCCCAGGCCCCAGCCCTCACTGGTCGCATACAGTACTTTTGCTTCCTTTGCCTCTCAGGGTGATCATGGCATCCAGTGTTGTTAGTCTCTGGTGCCTCAATATCCCTAGTTCCTCCCCTTAACTCTAGAAATATGTCTTTATGTCTTTAGGTCTCTTCACTTGAACCAGTTGGGGGTAAACTTCGTTTCCCGTCGTGACCCTGCCTGATACAGCACCTTCTGCCCAGGCCACAAAACAAGCCATGGCCAGCGGGAGGCCAAGGGACAAGAGAGAGATTGCCAGAGGGCAGAAACACACAGGACAAAATGGGGCAGAGAAGCAGAAACAGGGAGAGATTAAAAAGGCAAAGGCTGGCCGGGCGCTGTGGCTCATGCCTGTAATCTCAACATTTTGGGAGGCCTGAAGGAGGTGGATCACTTGAGCCCAAGAGTTTGAGATCAGCCTGGGCAACATAGCAAGACCCCGTCTCTGCAAAAAAAAATTAAAAAATTTAGCTAGGCATGATGGTTCACCCCTCTGATTGCCTGATTGCTTAAGTTCCAGGCTGCAGTGAGCTGCGATTGCACCATTGTACTCTGGCCTGGGCAACAGAGCCAGATCCTGTCTCTAAAAATAAATAAATAGATAAATATATAAGACAATGACCATCATCTTTCTTCATAGCCAAGAACCCTCAGCTTCGAGAGATGAACTTTAAGGACCTCCTCCTCCCCAGGAAGGGAGATATGGAGCTCATTACAAACCAGAGCCCAGAGCCCCACTTTACACCTGCAGGTTCAGTAACTAGAGAATCAGGGACCCAGAGTCTGCATTTTCAATAGGAACTAGAGGGGATTCTAATGCTGGGACCACTGGGGTGCATTTTGAGGAACATTTTCTTACACATTTAGCCTAGCCTTAGAAAGAGTAGGTTTCACAGAACACTGAAAAAAAAAATCTCAAAAGAGAAAATGTCAGGAAGAATTTGTGCCTAAAGAAACCAATAACCAGGGCTGGGCGCAGTGGCTCATGCCTGTAATACCAGCACTTTGGGAGGCCGAGGTGGGCAGATCACCTGAGGTTGGGAGTTTGAGACCAGACTGACCAACATGGAGAAACCCCATCTCTACTAAAAATACAAAATTAGCCGGGTGTGGTGGCACATGCCTGTTAATCCCAGCTACTCGGGAGGCTGAGGCAGGAGAATCGCTTGAACCTGGGAGGCAGAGGTTGCGGTGAGCTGAGATAGCGCCATTGCACTGCAGCCTGGGCAACAAGAGTGAAACTCCGTCTCAAAAAAAAAAAAAAGAAACCGATAACCATAATAGCTGACAAAACCTGCGCTGTTTGGCTCAGCATCATGAACGCTTGTTATAACACCCTGCATGGAGTGGGTGCTTGGGGAGGGTCGGTGGTGCCACTGTGAGGAGATACCTGGTCTTCAGGCTGGCAGCAAGCAGAGGCCTGGGAAACCTCAGTGCAGCAGTGTGACCAAGAAAGAACGAAAGAGTCCGGCAGGAGTGAGGAGCAGTTGCCAGAACATGTGAGCAACCAAGAACACCTTTAGAGGAGGTAAGTGGGACCAAGTTTTATTTTAATGTTTTAACATTTTTACTCTAGAAATTTCAAGCATAGGCCGGGCGCGGTGGCTCACGCCTGTAATCCCAGCACTTTGGGAGGCCGAGGCGGGCGGATCACGAGGTCAGGAGATCGAGACCATCCTGGCTAACACGGTGAAACCCCGTCTCTACTAAAAATACAAAAAATTAGCCGGGCGAGGTGGCGGGCGCCTGTAGTCCCAGCTACTCGGGAGGCTGAGGCAGGAGAATGGCGTGAACCCCAGGGGGCGGAGCCTGCAGTGAGCCGAGATTGCGCCACTGCACTCCAGCCTGGGCGACAGCGAGACTCCGTCTCAAAAAAAAAAAAAAAAAAAAAAAAAAAAGAAATTTCAAGCATATACTAAAGTAGACAGAACAGTATACACAGTCCCTATGCATCCCATCACCCAGCCTCAACATAGAGCAATTCATGGTCAATCTTGTTTCTTCTTCTTCTTCTTTTTTTTTTTTTGAGACAGAGTCTCGCTCTGTTGCCCAGGCTGGAGTACAATGGCGCGATGTGGGCTCACCGCAACTTCTGCCTCTTGGGTTCAAGCGATTCTCCTGCCTCAGCCTCCCAAGTAGGTGGGATTACAGGCGTGTGACACCACGCCCAGCTAATTTTTTTTGTATTTCTAGTACAGATGGGGTTTTGCCATGTTGGCCAGGCTGGTCTTGAACTCCTGACCTCATGATCCGCCTGCCTCAGCCTCCCCAAGTGCTGGGATTACAGGTGTGAGCCACTGCGCCCAGCCTTTGTGTCTTCTATATTCTGTCTCTCCCTGTATTCTTTTGAAGCAAATCACAGACATTATATTATTTCAGCCATAAACATTTTATATAAATCTGGAAAAGATAAGAGCTTTTCAAAATATCTTAAATACCTTTATTACATACAAAAATTAAGTCTGTAACTGCACACCTAGCACCCAGAGCTAGGTTCCAAGGAAATGAAACGGCTCCTTGGAGAAATGGCTGAATCTGAGACTAGGGCAGGAAAATATACAAGAGGAATTTGGAGGTCTTATAGTTCCAGAAAGTATGGAAATGCTTAAAACAAAACAAAGGAAAACAAAAAAGCCAAAACAAAACTCCCACATTGATGGGGGTATGTCAAAGGAACACAGGAGCCAACTGAAATAGCTCCCAATGGCCAAAACTGGAACAATCTGAGCGAAAAAAATAAATATACTAGTATTGGATTATTACCCAAAGTATAAAATAAATATCCCCGAGTCCCTGCTGATATAAATAATTGAATAAATAAATAAATGGAGGAGAAGAGAGAACTCTCGCATGCAGAAGAAATCCAAATCTTTTATGGAGACACTTTGTCCTCATGGAGGAGGAGCGTTAACTCCCCATGGCTTCTGTGTGGGCTGCGCATAGTGACTTCCCTCCAAAGAGCACAGTAGGAGAAGCGTGGTGGGAAAGCCTAACTTTGCAATGAAGTAATCTGGTAAGTTACTTGCCGAAGCACTACCCCAGCCAGGTAATGAAGGGCAACATAACAGTCACAAAACTTGCTATATACAATGTGATACAAATGGCACTTTATCTCTGTGACCTTCCTCCCCATTTTTTTAACCCTAGTCTAGTCATGAGAAAAACATCAAATTCCAAGAGAGAAACATTCCTCAAAATACCTGATCAGTACTCCTTGAAACTGTCAAGGTCATCAAAAACAACGGAGGCCTAAGAAACTGTCACAGGAAGCGGAGGGGGGAGGGGCATAAGGAGACATGACGATTAAATGTGGCATCCTGAAGGAGGTCCTGGAATTAGAAAAGAACATTAGGTGAAAACTAAGGAAATATGAATTCACTGGGGGGTTTTAGTTAATGTATCAGGCCAACCATGGTGGCTCATGCCTGTAATCCCAGCACTTTGGTAGGCTGAGGTCAGAAGATGGCTTGAGGCCAGGAGTTCAAGACCAGCCTGGGCAACATGGCGAGACTCCCACATCTTTACTTTAATAATAATAGTAACAATAGTAATGTATCAATACTGGTTTATTAATTCTAATGAATGTACTATCCCAATATAAGATGTTAATAATAGAGGACACTAGGTACAGGGGGTATATGGGAACTCTCTGTACTATTTTCTCAATTTTTTTTGTAAACCAAAAACTCTTCTAAGAAAAGGTTTATTATTAAAAAATTAAGTCTTGGCCAGGCGTGGTGGCTCACACCTGTAATCTCAGCACTTTGGGAGGCCAAGGCGGGTGGATCACGAGGTCAGGAGATCAAGACCATCCTGGCCAACACGGTGAGACCCCATTTCTACTAAAAATACAAAAATTAGCTGGGCGTGGTGGCGCATGCCTATAATCCCAACTACTCGGGAGGCTGAGGCAGGAGAATCGCTCGAACCCAGTAGGTGGAGATTGCGGTGAGCTGAGATGGCGCCACTGCACTCCAGCCTAGTGACAGAGCAGGAGTTGGTCTCAAAAAAAAAAAAAAAAATTAAGTGTTTAATATCCACAAATATCCAGTCAGTGTTCACATTTTCTGTCTTTCTTTCTTTCTTTTTTGAGACCGAGTCTCGCTCTATTGCCCAGGTTGGAGTGCAGTGGCACCATCTCGGCTCACTGCAACTTCTACCTCCTAGGTTCAAGTGATTCTCCTGCCTCAGCCTCCCGAGTAGCTGGGATTACAGGCATGCAGCATCACGCCCAGCTAATTTTTGTATTTTTCGTAGAGATGGGGTTTCACCATGTTGCCCAGGCTGGTCTCAAACTCTTGACCTCAGGTGATCGACCCATCTCAGCTTCCCAAAGTGCTGGGATTACAGGCGTGAGCCACCACGCCGGGCCCAACTTTTCCATTGTGTCATAAAACATAGGATTCAAATTAAGTCTCTGCCTTGATATTGGTTATGGACCAAATTTTGAATGAGGTGATATAAATTATTAGGGGAGAAAAACATCTAAATTGCATGATACATAACTTGGGCAGGAGAATTCGGGGCAGGAGGTGCGTGTGGATTTGGTAGTCTTGGCTTGAGCAGCATGGTAAGGGGAAGAGGGGGCAGAATAAAGTCTCAGGGTGGAGACATGGGGAGAAGTGGCCCCAAGTCTTCAATCAAAGGAAAGTTGTCTGGGTGCGGTGGCTCATGCTTGTAATCCCAGCGCTTTGGGAGGCCGAACTGGGCGGATCACCTGAGGTCAGGAGTTCGAGACCAGCCTGGCCAACATGGTGAAACCCTGTCTCTGCTAAAAATACAAAAATTAGCTGGGCGTGGTGGCGGGTGCCTGTAATCCCAGTTACTTGGGAGGCTGAGGCAGGAGAATCACTTGAACATGGGAGGCGGAGGCTGCAGTGAGCTGAGATTGTGCCACTGCACTCCAGCCTGGGTGACAAGAGCCATAGTCCACCTCAAAAAAAAAAAAAAAAAAAAAAAGGAAAACTGACAGATATAACGGGCGCCTTGAGTGATAGATTCAAGGTCTTGTAAGTGCCCTGTCTCTTGTCCACTGTATTGTCATTGATCTGCCTGCAGGATGATATCATTATAGGGCTCAGCAAAGGGGACGTGAGCTTTAGACTCAGCTCTGAGATCAAATCATTGCTCTGCCACCTCGGCAAGTAACTTAACTCCTCTGAACTTCAGTTTCCTCATCTACAAAACTTGACATATTTTCAATCTTTTAGGGCTATTGTGAAGATTAAATGCAATAGTACAGCTGAAAGTGCCTGAGATTGTGTCTTTCCTCTCTCTTTCTCAGGGCAGAAGAAAAAGGTAGACTATTGCTGATCTAACAAAAATATTTATTTTGAAGAAAAGTGGGGTAAGGGGTGGTCACATGCACCTGGGGAGCAGGAGGCCTCCTTGGCAGAGGGTGCATGTCGCTCTTTGAGAGGTGAGCTCTCGGAGGGGGTTTTGATAATAATCGGAGGCCAAATTGTCATTGGGGCCAGCTGTTGCTGGGCCTGGAAGGTGCTGGATCCTTTAGGGGAGGCCTGGGTCCTGGCCTTGGGAGGAAGCTTCTGCTCTACCTTGGGGATCTTCACACAGGAAGCTGACTGAGGCTTCCTCCGAGGCTGGTCCCCCAAAGTGGTGGGCTTTTCTTTGGATGACAAGGAGGGGAAGTCTTGAGGGGTGGAGCAGGAGGCTGGGGTGGGGCAGGAGGCTGGGGTGGGCCAGGGGGGTGGAGCATCACCTTTGTCCTCAGGCTGTACTCACAGAGGGAGGGCCCAGAGATGGGGGGAAGGGAGAAATATTCTTCCCACCTCGGGGCCTGCTCCCTGGAGGACTTGGGCCAGGCCACCAGCCCCCCATACCGACTCCTGCCTGGGCACTTGGAGGAGTGCCTTGTTCCTGAGCAAAGGTGAAGGGATATTTGGATCAGAGTGGACTGGGAGAGAGAAGAGGCAATGACAGAGGAATCTGGAGAGAGAGAGAGAGAGAGAGAGAGAGAGAGAGAGGCAGAGAGGAGACAGGGACACCAGGGTGGGGATCAGAGATGGAGAGACAGCAAAGGAGGCCGAAGGCAAGAACATACACCCTGCTTCCTCCTCCACCTCCTCTTTGCCACAGATGTCCTCTGCTGATGGGGTCTCACACACAGGTTTGGAGGTGGAGCTCACCCAACGTTCCTCTTAAAGAAAAAAAAATGGAGAGAAGAGAGGGGACCCTCAGACCAGGAAGGGGAACCAGGATTGAGAGAAGCTCCTGGGTTTGGGGAAGATGTCAGAAACCCCCCATCTCCTCTCACCTCTCCCAGTTAGTCCTCTCGTCCCAGGTTCCTGTTTTAGGTCTGTGTATTCCAGGCTGTTTGAATGCTGTTCCCACCATCCAGAATACTTTGCCAGCCCCCTCTCTGCCTGATAAAAATTCTGCCAGTTATGCAAAGCCCTCTCAAAGCCTTAACCGTTCTTCACCTTGAAACATTCCTTGCTTAGGTCCTCCTAGCCCCTCGCTCCTTTCTGATGGTCGTGAGCTCATATTTGTACCTGGCATGTAAAGTATGCTGATTGAAATCTTATTTATTTATTTATTTATTTTTGAGATGGAGTTTCGCTCTTGTTGCCCAGGCTGGAGTGCAATGGCACGATCTCAGCTCACTGCAACCTCTGCCTCCCAGGTTCAAGCAATTCTCCTGCCTCAACCTCCTGAGTAGCTGGGATTATAGGCATGCACCACCATGCCTGGCTAATTTTTGTATTTTTAGTAGAGACGGGGTTTCTCCATGTTGAGGCTGGTCTCGAACTCCTGACCTCAGGTGATCCGCCCGACTTGGCCTCCCAAAGTGCTGGGATTACAGGCGTGAGCCACCATGCCCGGCCCTGAAATCTTTAATGTACCACAGTGGGTTTTTTACTGTATATCTTTCTCTCTAACTGGTATTTCCTTACAGGTTGGGACTTGCGGTCATCTCTGATTGTGCCTGTCCTTGAGAAGGATCTCTAAATTCACTTTCCAAATGGACAAAAGGTCATGGGACCCACCCCATTTCATCCTACCCTCTCTGGGGTGATAGCACGGGAAAGACAGCTGTGAGGGAAGAAGTACCCATCTACATCCTTCAAAGTCCAAAAGAATATGAGCTCAAGGGTGCTGGCCACACCTCCCAATCCCACTGTAACATCATACATGTGAGTCACACACCCCAGGGAGCCATTGTGGCTTCACCCTGGGTGAACTCTCTGGAAGTTTCTGCACCCAACTGTCCCCTAGATCCTCTGTGCCACAGATGGTCTTGCAGACAGAGCCCTCAGCTCGTCTGGGGGGCTCTTTCCTTCCCTGAGGGATGAGGCGGTTGCCCACTTTAAAATCCTTATGACGGACTCTGGAAAGGTGTTGGGATCTGGAGTTAGTCAGGGAATGGGCAGGAAGGGGCATCTGGCATATACCCCGGGGCCCCAAAACCTATGTCCAGGCCCTGGCAGTGACTCTCTGCAGTGCTTTAAGGGGAGGGCCTCTCACCTGAGCATGACACACTCAGGGCCCCACTTAAGCAGTAAGCAGTAAGGAAGACTGAAGGTAGGAAATCCAGATGGCTGAGAGAAGCCCTAAAGGAGAGGTGAGACCTCTAGGGTTGCTTGCTTTGGGACTCTGGGTACTGGCTTTCTCTTACAATTCACACTAGAGTCTTTGGCAGCAAGTGCCCTTTAGAATTCACCAGACACTGCCATTTTCTCTTTCTCAATAAGTAGCCCCCTTCCTCCCACTCCCCATTCCCATGGTGTATTTTTCCCCCTCCCAGGAAGCTGTCCTCCTACTGGGCCCAGTTGAGGGTGCTTTCTCCTTCTCCCCTTGATACCAGCCACCTTGAAGGCATTTCTATTTAGAGATTGACACGAAACTTACACAATAACCGAATTCAATTTGATTACAATGAGGCCCTGTATTTATACGGTAGTGTAGCTGGAATCCTGGAGTCTTAGGATTGAAATGGATTTCTGAGCAAGAGGCTACAGGAATTTCATTGGCAGCACCATGGGCTGGGAGTCTCCAGGCTGTGCTGGGACACTGGCAGTGACGGGAAACTCAGTGCCCCACACAGCCGCCCACTTGGCTGTGAAAGAATCCCAGGCCCCTGGAGATGCCTTCCTTCTACTGAAGCACAACCTGGACTCTGTTTTCGGGGTGTGTGTGTGTCTTTGGATGGGCACGGAGGAGGCACTACTAAGCACACAACCTCATTGAGAAAAAGAAGCTGTTTTTGTTATTGTTGCTGCTGCTTTCCTTCTCGCCACCGTTGTGGGTGGTGGAGTGCAGCATCACAAGAGGCTTGTCTAGCAAGAGATCCCTCAGCCGCAGGGGCTGGAGAGCCTGTGGTTTGAAGAGGGAGAGGGGAGAGGGAAGATTGAGTATAGGAGGGAGGAGGAACAAGGGCAAGAAAGTGGCCTGCACACAGGACTGCAGGGGGACGTGGAGGGAGGAAGGAGGCTTGGCTGGTAGGAAAACCTGAGGTCGTTGAGGGACAGAAGGAAACCTAGTGGTCTTTCATTCACAGAAATCCCTGGAGAAATTCAATCTTGGGCAAGGAACGTAATCTCCTGGAGCCTCAGTATCGTCAATCTGGAAAGTGGGTATAATATTTATAATATTATGCCCAACTTCCTAGGCTTGTGGGAGTCAAATGAGACAAATTGTGAAGTAGTGTCTGGCACATACTAGGTACTCAATACAATTCAGAAATAATATATTATTTGTAGTACTATATTATGTTACAAATAATATATTATTATTTACTCTTTTGGGAGCCCCAGCTCTCCTTTCAGCTTCAGAATCTGGGCTCCAGTTCTGCCTCTATTTAAAAAATCTGTGCCTCCCACGTGTGTGGTTCCTCTTCTTAGTGGCTCCCTGCCGCAGACAGCAGCCATCACTGGGTGGAGCAGGGCAGAGGCTCCCCTGTCCATTACTCAGGGTTTCCAAGGCTCTGGCAGGGACTCCCTCCTCCTCCTTTCCAGGCGGCTGCAGGGACAGGAAGTGGGTATGTTTGGAGGGGGAGGGAGTCTTCCCCCAGGGGAAGACTTATGGTGGGTGTCCACAGCATCCCAGAGCCCAGAGCTGGGACCTTCTGCTGCCCTAGCTGCACTGGGACCTGCTCCAGCATCCTCCTCTTCCAAGCCCTGCACCAGTGCCGATGGCTGCGCAGTTAGGCAACCTAGCCTGGGCTCCAGCACAAAGTTGCTGTGTGACCTAAGGCAAGTCTCTTCCCCTCTCTGGGCCTCAGTTTGCTCCTGTGATAACGGAGGCGATAAGAATTTTATTTCCATGATTTAATGGTGTAAGATAATCGGATGGGGAAAGAGAAGAAAGTTAAGGAAAGGAAAGATTTTACCAGTAGAGTCCAGGCACTGGTCTGCAAGGGAAAGCGTTTGGGTGAATTATCTGAATAACACTCCCTAATCAGCCGGGTGATCACAGGAGCGGAGGCCGGGTTTGAGCAACTCCCAGAGTCTGAGAACACATCTGTCCCTCTGCTTTCCTCCTCTGGTTCTAGCCCGGCCCCTTCCAGGGGCTTTAACCCTGTTTACAGAAATGGGAATTTGCATGATGAAAATAACCCCAGCCGGACTGCGATTTTACTGCGCTTGGCACAGGGCTCGGAAAAAGCGGCTGCATAGCCAATTACTGGAATTTTTAAACACAAATAATATTTTATGGGATCAGTGGGCTGGCGCGGGGCCGCCGCACCCGGCGCGGCTCCTCCGCCCACAAACAAGCTCCGATTGTGCGGCAGGCAAGCGCGCCAGCCCTGGGGTGGGGGTGTGGGGTAGAGGGGGCGGGGGTCCCTCCGCGGGCAGGTGCAGCTGAGGGCTAGGCCTCCCGGGCGCCGGACTGGCAAGGAGCGTCGGCGAGGCCCAGGCCCAGGGTCCGGTGTGCTGGGCATCCCGGCTCACCTGCAGGGCCAGCCAGGAAGCGTTTAGTGCGCGAGGGCGCGCCCAGCGTTAGCTCCCCCGCCTGGCGGCCGCCCGCTGGGCCTGGCCCGCGCCCCGCGCCCTTGGCATGGCCGTGGCCGCCGCGCCGCCTCCGGAAGGCCGGCTTCCCGGAACGCCCCGAAGGCGGCGGGGAGTCAGCGCCGAGGCCCCGGAGCCACCCCTCGCCTTCCCTCTCCCGCCCGAGCCGCCCTGGCGCGCTGGAGGCCGACCAGGGAGCCCTAAGGGGCCAGCGCAGGTCGAGAGCCACCACCAGCGGTAGCGGTACAGTGCTAGCCCTGGTGGTGCCCCTCGACAGATCTCCACTAGGGAGCCCCATTCTTGCTCTCTCCGAGACCGCCAGACCTGGCCCGGGGCCCCCGAGGCTGGCCGCACGCAGCCTGCGTCGCTCCCGGCGCTGGCTGCCAACGCCCCCGCTCCCCCTGCCCCTGCGCTGCGCACCCTGCCCCAGCGCGCACAGGGTTAAGCGGGAGCAGGTGTGTAGCCAGATGCCGCTGACCAGCCCCCTCCCTGGCAGCCGGGTCGGCCGCCTCCTCCTCCGCCCACCCGCTCAGAACCAAACAGTCCCAAATAAAAGTGCTATTGTTGCCGGGCCTTTCCCCACCCCCGTCGCTGCCCCGCCACCTGGAGCGGAGCCCGGTCCCCTCTTCACCTGCCCCGGGGCAGGCCGGGGGGAGGGGCGAAGGGGAAGTTGGGCCTCCCAGCAGGGACTTCCGCTCCCGTACCCCCCAGCTTCCCCTCTCCCAGTGCCCCCGACACCGACCCCTAGGCCTGGGGGTAGGCGCCCCCGCTTTGCGCTGAGGGGCTTCTTTCTGGCTAGACAGCCAGGTTCTGGCCTCACCCCCCACCCCTCCCTTTAGCCCCCATTCTCACTGGCTGGAGAAGCGGCGGGATTTACAAAGCCGGGAGAACACGGAGGTCTTGGACGATGCGCCCAGGACAGTGCCAGGCTCACTGGGGCTCAGCAATTGGCAGGTGGTATTGCTTTTTTAAAAAACATTATTTGTCCAGCAACAAGCCAAGGAAGGTAGGGGCAAGAGCGATGCCCTTTACAGACAAGGAAACTGAGGCACAGAGAGGCAAAGTGTCTAGCCCAATGACAAGCCTGGTAAATGTTGTGGCTTCGCACAAAATTCAGGTCCTCTGACTCCAGCCCCGACACTACAGGGTCTCCGGTGCTCATCTGACGGGCTAGAATGGAGGAGAGACCCCAGAGACTGGGAGTCTAGCGCCGCCCTGGACTCGCCGTGGGACCTTGGGCGAGTTACCTCTCCCCTCGGTTTCTCCGTTCTTAAATAGAGATGGGTAGACTGTCGTGGTTCCTGAATTCTCACGTTGACACTTGGAATCCAAGGGGCTGCTGGCCCCCAGAAGACTGGGGGCCCTGGGTGGGACTCTATGCGTGAGCTCGGCCTGCGCATGGAAAGGAAAATGTTTCCTCTTTCGCTCCCCTTCTCCCCCAGCTTTCTCCGCCCTGCCTCCATCCCTTCCCTGCAGGCCCCCAGGAGGCTGAACTGCGAGGTTAAATAAATATCTGACGGTGGCTCAAGGAAACAGTCAAGACCGTTGCGAGAGAAGAAACCCAGACCTCGGTGGAGATCCGCTCCTAAGCCCAGCAGCCCCCACTCCGGCCCAGTTGCATGCTGAGCCCTTGGCCCCCTCGGGCCTCACCCAACTTCCCCAAGATAGCCAGCCCCCTCCAGTACGGCCCCTCTCCTCTGACCTCCTCCAGCTCTGGCGCTGGTAGAGCTAGAGCTAGAGCTAGAGCTAGGGCTAGGGTAGTGCGCTCAGGGTTACCGTATTTCCTCTTTGCGTTTTAGGTTTTGAGCGCAGGTATTTAAATTCTCCAGCCCACGGGAGAGTACTCTACGTACTGTGAAAAGAACTCTGTTGGGAGTCGAGAGATGTGAGATTTTGGTTTTGTTCTCTTAGCTCTACTATTAATCTTGCTCCTGACCTGCAGATCCATAAATCCAGTTTCCTACTTCACCTGGATATCTAGCAGGCATCTCAAACTCAACTTGTTCTACTTGGAAATCCTGATCTCCACCCCGGTCCCCCACCTGTCAGTCTTCTCCATCTCAGAAAAGGGCAGCTTCATCTTCCCAGTTGCTGGGGAAGAAAATCTTGGAGTTATTCTCAACTCCTCTCTTTTTCTGTCATCATTCATCCAAATGCCTTAGCAAATCTTGTTTATTTTGTCTTCAAAATATGTCCAGAATTTGCTACTCTTCACCACCTCCTCACTGAGCTCACTGTTCCAAGCCACCATCGTCTCCTGCTAGAGTAGTGCAACACCTCCTAGCTTGTCTCTCTGCCTCCCTTCTCCCTCTTAGTCTGTTCTCAACAGAGTAGCCAGGGTTGTCCCTTTAAAACTAAAGTCAGATCATGTCCCTATTCTGCTCAAAACCTCCAATAGCAGTATATCTCACTCAGAGAAAATGTTCCTTACAAAACCCTAGTGATCTGATCACCCCTCTGCCCCTTCTTGTCACCCTTCACCTCCTCCTCATCACTCTACTCCAGCCATACCTGCCTCCTAGATGTTCCCTGGGCAGGACAGCACACTCCTGCCTCAGGACCTTTGCACTTGCTGTTCCCTCCAGATTCCTACAATGGTCTCCTCTCTGCTGAGGCTTTCTCTGACCAATGTCCCACCCCAATGCACACACCAGGCTCTCCACCTCCCTTGCCCTGCTCTGTTTTTCTTAGTTGCGCTTGTCATCATCTAACCTGCTGCATATTTACCTGATGATTTGTGTATCTCCTTCTGTTAGATTGGAGGTGCTGTGAAGACAGAGGCTTACAAAAAGTCTCAGCCCTTAGAACAGGGCTTCACACAAATAGGCACTCAGTAAGTATTTGTTGTAGGAATGAGCTAGTCACTTTCCCTTCCTGAGCCTTACTTTCCTCACCTGTGCAAGTGAATTGGACCCATTGAAAGTCCCCCTCAGCTTTGAGTCTCATGGTAAGGGATGAACATTGTGAGAAGGTGAGAGGGAGAGGTAGACAATGGCACAAAGCTGTCAGTTAGCTCTGTGTTGGAGTGGAGCAATGCATGGCAGAGAAGGCTTACTCCAGGGAGGCCCAGAGGGCCCACATATTCATTCGTTCATTCATTCATACATTCATTCATTCTTCACTCATTCAAGAAGTGTCCCTCAAGATCCCTGGTGTGCTCAGCCTGGGGCAAATCCATGGGGGGCGGGGGGCGGGGACATGTAGAGTAAGACCTGGGCCATCAACAGCTCTGCCCCATGTTGGCTGTGTGTCCCTAGGTGAGCCTAGGATCTCTCAGAGACTAGGCTGTCTCACCTGTAAAGGTCATAGATAATTTCACCTGCCCTACAGGACTCACGAATTAGACTGAGTGTCAAATGAGATAATCCCACCATACATACTTAAAGTGTATGACTGAGAAACAAGAATGAACATATACATCAAGATCACAGTCCTTTGAGAACTTAGAGTATGGTCTTTGTAGCTTAGAGCCCTCTCCCTCCTATTTTCGCCTGGCTGTTGATGGGGTCCCTTGGGACTGACTGAATTTTATTTTTCCCCAGCCTTATACTTGAAATTGGCTTCCTTTCTGACCCCAGGCATCCAAATGAAGGCTCCCCCTCGTGGCATTTCCTGGAATAACAGGTCTCTGCACCTACTGAGCCTAGAGATGGTCAGCTAAACAGCACAGAAAGGAAGCAGGAAGAGGCCAGAAGAGAGAGAGTCTGAAGACTTAGGAAAGGGGCAGAGCAAACCTGCAAAGAAATGCTAGACTGGGAGGGACCTGGGACTGCCTCCTCACACCCCGTTTTACAGATGAGAAGCTGAGGTTCAGGGAAAGGGAGGTTAGAGGCAGGACTGTAACTCAGGAATCTACACACTCCTGTGCTGGTTTCTTTACCCCAAGTACCATAGGCATTTATACAAGTCAATGAGCAAACAGTATAGATGACAAATTCCCTCTACATCTGGCAGCATCCCCTGAGGGCCTCTGACTATGCAGTATTTTCTCCCAGGACGAAGATTCCCAAATGTCAAAGACAGCATCCGGAGAGGCTGGTATAACTTCAGATCTAACCTATTTCAGAGGCAGAGGTTAAAGATAGACAATTCACCTGGATTTTTCTCTTCTTACTGGGGTATGGGTGCAGGGGTGAGGGTGGGCACACAACTAAATCCAGTCCTACTTAGAGATCCAAAATGACCAACTCAATCAGAGGGATGCGTGTGTGTGTGTGTGTGTGTGTGTGTGTGTGTGTATGTGGTGTTACAATTGCAAGTAAGAGTGCCTTATAAAGTTTCTTTTTTTCACCTGCATCTTATAATTTACTCCTCACTGCTAGTATTAGCCATTTCAGAGATGACAACAATGAGCTACCAAAGGACCAAGTGATTTGCTCAAGATCAGAAAGAATATTAGGGAAAGACCAATGTAGTGCATACAGAAGGCACTCAATATGTACTCAATCACCTATCCATAAGACTTCTTTGTTTTATTGAGTTGACTTTGGGAGGAACTCTTCCCAATCTGAGGTTGCTTCCCACTGTGCGGGAGATTCATCCTGCCTTCCTTGGATCCTGGCAGCCTGGAGGGGCCTCTGGCTCTCTATTTAAGGCAAGCGGGGAAGTCGGGCATGACCACAAAGAATGTAGCAGCAGAAGAGGGTGCAATGATGGGGTGGGCAGGGGAAGAGACTACTTGCCTCAGTTGAGCTGAGGGGCTTCCAAATAGCCTCCACTGGCTGGCTGATGGGAGGCCTGGTCTTCTGATCACCCTGGGGAGCTTGGGACCACTATGAAAATACGCTGATGTTGTCTAGGAGCCAGGAGTAAATCTTATTGTCCTATCCCCTTGATATATCAGCAGGGTGCTCAGTAGGTGGAGGAAATCCTGGAACTGGGTTCTGGTGCTTAGGTTCAAGTGCTTAACTTCAAGTGTGACCCTGCAGTTGTTGTAGAGCAGTGGTTGGGAACACAGGCTCTGGAGCCAGGCTACCTGGGCTCATGTGCCAGCTTCCCACTTAATATATCTGTGACCTTGACTGCACCTCTTGGAGCCTCAGTTTTCTTATCAGTAAAATGGGGAATCATAGTACCTACTCAAAGGATTTTTGGATGCATTAAATGAATGAATCACATAAAGTATGTAGGAAAATGCCTGGCACATAGTAACTGCTCAGTAAATGTTATTGTTAGGAAAGACCCTTCTGTCTGGGTTACAAGATCATTACCTGTATGGTGAAAGAGATTGGGTTAGATCAGTTTTTTAGTTGCAGGGGCACAGCTCCCTGGAGAAGATTTTGTTTTGTTTTGCAGGAAGGGAAAAACTATAGAAAGTAAAACTTGGTAAAACATTCTGTTGGTGCAGCTTGCAGAAGATTTCACTGTTTTCCCAAAGGGGCATGAGTTTACAAGATGGATTCACAGAATTGGAGCATCTTAGGATCTTAGGAGCCTCAGATGCTCAGGGCTGTGACATTATTCTGTTGCTCTGGGGTTATCCTCTCCATCTAGACGGTGATGCCATCAGGGCAGTATCGTGCTGGATTATTGGGAAAGCCAAGGCCAAACCTGGCAGCTCAAGCCTTGGTACCTAGAGTGTCTCTTGGGGGGGGGTCCCAGGGTACTGAGTGTCATGGATTGTCCTGCACTCAGCCTGTCCCTGGGGGCTGGATTTGGGTGGAAGAGGAAGGAGAGGCCTTTGTAGGAGAGGGACAGGCAGGCAAAGCTCCTTGCCGGTCATGTTTACTGAACTGCACTGAATTATGACTAAATGCCAAGATCTGGCTTCAGGCAATTGCCTAAATCATTTAGGGGTTGACAGGGAAGGGAGGGAGGGGACATGGGGAGCTGGGGGGGAGAATGTTCTTGTAATTCTTCAGTCTGAGGTACATTAAGGAGCCATAAGCCATGTCGAGAGCTTGAATTACATTAGAGAGATTATCCTGTTACAGTTCATAATCCTGGATAATATACCGTCTTGGAGCACACCTGCCTGTGATAAATCTCGCCCTGTAATGGCCTGACCCTGGGGACCCAGGGATGCTGGGGCAGCTGGCAGGGGTTATCAGAGTGGACGCAGCCTCAGCAGAGGCACCTGTGAGTCCCATTGTCCTCCTTAGTGATCTTTGTGTCCTTTACTCCTGCCTCTGCCCAGAGGGAGTGGATGTAGCTGGGAGCTTCAAACTTCTCCATCTTTATTCAAGGTTCTTGGCTCCCTAAGGCCCCTCTACCTTAACTCCCACCCCATAACCCCACTCCCTGCTCTGGTGAGACAGGCTATTTGTGTTCCTGTCTCCAGACTCTCCTCTCTCTAAATGCTTTCCCCTTAATCTCTCCAAACCCAGCCTGGCATGTCCTGGTCAATGGAGACCTCTCTGAGAACCTGCACTAACATCCTCCTTGGCTCCAGCTCAAGTACTGACTCTCTGATGTGAATGGGTGTGTTACCCGCCACCCAAGGGGTCTGCCAACCTTTTCTGAGTCTCTGACTCTCCAGCTAGACTGCTGATGCCGTGAAATCAGGAACCATGACTACTTCCGCAGCACTTAGCACAGACAGGCTCAATAGCCATGCAACTGGTTAATGGCAGAATCAGGGTTTGAACCCCAGTTGACTGGCTTCAAAGTTTGCAGCTACTGCAGAACACTGTCTCTCTGACCCGAGAGCCCTGTCCTGTGTCATTTGTAGGTCTAATCGCAATTTCTATGAGCTGTTAAATCCTTCCTAGACTGTATTTGCCTTGCATTGGGAAACATCACAAGCCAAAGGGATGACTCTCTCATGGTATAGCTTAGGGTGGGATGGCACCCAAGCCTCCCAGATTTATCCTCAGCCTTTTCAAGAGAAACAGCCCACTGAGAGAGCTCATTCACATTGCCCAATTAGCTTGGTCAGCTCTCTCCCACTTCCAGCCGATTGCTCAGTTTCCAGCTCTTGGGAGGCCTGGCAGTATCTGGGTACCTGCCATATGTTCCTAGTATCTCTCTGCATGACACCCTAAACCCCACCTGCCTCAGGCTCTGCTTTATCCCTCCCACCTGCCTTCCCCAAACACATACCATGTTGCACCTTTACCAGGAGACAAGTGGAGGGCACCTTTCTGGGCTTCTTGAGGTTAGCTATGCTACTGGGGCTTCGGCTAACCCAGGCCATCAAGATCTTCCAAAAGGAGGCACAGCTACCATTTATGAAGTACTCACTAGGTGCCAAGCACTGGGTTATGCTTTTCACCTGATCTATCTCATTTATCCCATGCCAGTCTTATGAGCTAGGTGTTTCATGATTTCTATCTTACAGGTGAGAAAGCTGAGGCTCAGAGAGGTTTAATACGGTTCACAGGTCAATACCTAGTAAAGGGCAGAGCTGAATTTTTTTTTTTTTTTTTTTTTGAGATGGAGTCTTGCTCTGTCACCAGGCTGGAGTGCAGTGGCGCAGTCTCAGCTCACTGCAACCTCCAACTCCCTGGTTCAAGCGATTCTCCTGCCTCAGCCTCCTGAGTAGCTGGGATTATGGGCATGCGCCACCACACCCAGCTAATTTTTGTAGTTTTAGTAGAGACGGGGTTTCACCATTTTGGCCAGGATGGTCTCTATCTCCTGACCTCGTGATCTGCCCGCCTTGGCCTCCCAAAATGCTGGGATTACAGGCATGAGCCACTGTGCCCGGCCAATAGAGCTGACATTTAAACACATGCCTGCTAGCCCCAAAGCATGTGTGCTTAACCCTTGATGCCACACTGGCTTCTCATGGTGAGTGCAGGCACCCCAGGCTGCCTCCCCAGCTCTACCTCCCAAGCCTACCCTTCTCCATCCCTTCTCATCCCCGTAGCCATTGCTAGCAGCCTCCTCCCGGCCCTTCTGTTGCCAAGTTCCAGAACTCCCCCACATTCCAAGCCACTCCGTGCTTCATGGATTCATTCCCTCTCTCTGTACTTCCACATTATTCATCCAGAGACGGGAACCATAGCAGTTTGATCATCCACCCATCCATTCATTCCCATCATTCATTCATGGAATCCTGAAATGTCAGGGCTAGCAGGGGCCTTAGAAATTATCTGGTCCAGTAGTTTTGCAACCACAATGCATTTTTCAAAGAAAATCTTCTGTAAATGTTCCATAGAGAAATCAGATCAACAGTGGTGGTGGCGGGTGTTGTGGGGGGTGGGAGGCAGCTACTAGACTCCTGCCTTCTTGGTCCCACCTCATCCACTGCAACCCCCCTGCCCTGGACTCCCAGTGTACAATTGGGAAGCAGCTGCTCTCCGCTTCCTCTCATAGTGTACAGCAGGGCACTGAGGTTCAGGAATAAAATGAGTTGCGCTACTGGTCAAGGGCTATTTCCAGACACCTAGTCGATGACAACCTGTTGCCTTCAGCAACTAACTGAGGGTTAACTGTTGCAACAACTCATTTTCCTCAGGCTCTGAGTTTCCCAGACCTAGGCCCTAGCCTCAGCTGCCACTTGCTAATTAAAAAGCTACACAACCTTGGGAAAGTAATCACATAACATTTATAGCCCTCCATCTATTTCCTCCTCCTCTGAAAAATGGGGAAAATAACAGGACCTGCCCGTTTTTAGTGTTCTATTGCTATGTAAAAAAAAACACCCCAAAACACAGTGGCTTAAAACAACCATCGTACTATCTTTCCTAGGACTGTGGGCTGGCTGGGCTCAGCTGGGTGATTCTTCTGCAGGTCTTTCTTAGAGTTTCAGCCTGATGGAGGCTGGGGCTGCAGTCAGCGGAGGACTGATTGAGATGCTGGGATGGCTGGACCTGTTGCTCTCCAGGCATCCTCAGGGCCTCTCTTCTCCACATGGTCTTTCCAGTTGGCTAACCAGACTTTGTACATAGCATCTCAGAGCTCCAAGATGCACAAAAGTGGAAGCTTCCAGGTTGACTTAGGGCTTAGGCCCAAAGTGGCATAGCCTCACATCTGCAACATTCTATTAGTGAAGTAGTCAAGGGAAAAGGAAATAAACTTTACCTCTCAGTGGGAGAATGACCAAAAATTTGTAGTAATTTTTAACTTACCACAGTCTGTGTGACCATGAACAAGAAAATTACTTAACCTTTCTAATTTTCCCATCTATGAGGAATAAGTACATCAATCCATGGAAAGTGCTTAGAACAGTACCTGGCACCTAGTAAGCACTCACATGTTAACTGGTGCTATTTTTATTTCTAACCCGTATGCCTAGCAGTGTGCTAGGTAACTGGTGGTGATGGTGGGGTTACAAGAGTAATGGCAAACACAGTTTATACGTTTATACTCTTGATAATAAATAATCTAGTTCATGAGATAAAATTAACACACAGAGAGATCAAAGTACTAATTCAAGGCATTGTGTAATTAAGGAACCCATGAGAGGTACAGATAACATATACTTGAGGAAGGTGGAGGACAAAGAGATTGGATATGGGGGCTGGGTGGCCAGTGAAGGCTTTAAGGAGGAAGAGGGTGCCCTTGAGAGGCAGAGTAGTGTAATAGTTAAAAGTGTAGATTCTGAAGCCAACCTCCTAAGGTTTGATAAGTTTTCACATCTTAGCTTTGCCACTTTCTGGATGTGCCTATGTGATTTTAGCAAGTCGCTTTGCATCTCTTTGCCTCAGTTTCCTTTCTGTAAAGTCTATCCATCTTATAGGGCTCAAGTGAAGAGTAAATGATTTATTTCTTATAAAGGGACTAGAACAATGCTGGACATGTGTTAAGTACTCAACAAAGTTGAGTTAACCTCAAAACCCCTAAAGAGAGGAGAGATTAGGTGGAGGGAAGAAACAGAGGCCTCCAGATGGATAAAAACAGTGACTGCATGTGTAAAGTAGGAAGACGGACGTGTCATGCTCAGGGACAGAGAGCCGCTTTGCACAGGAGGAGATGTTTCTAGAGGGTGGCAGGGGTGATGGTGGTGAGGATGGTAGGGGTAGCAGGAGCGAAGGTAGAGAGGAGAGTGAGGGGCAGACTGCGGGAGACTTTGAGTCCAGCTTTAGCAATCTGGACTTGATCCTTCCAGGCAAAGGGAAGCTATTGATGGTTTCTGACAAGGGAAGGATGCCATCTGGGCTATGTCTTAGAAAGAGACTCCTGGTAGTGGTGTGCAAGTGGGTTAAAGAGAGGGAGACAGTTTAGGAGGCTGTTGTCACAATTCAGCCATGAAATGGGGATGTCCTGAACCAGAATGGAGGCAGAGGGAAAGTACAGGGACTGGCAGCCTGGAGAGGGAATTACCGCAAGCTCTAGGGGAGCCCTTGCCTCCTGCCCATCTGACCCACCATGGCTGGCTGCTGGCTTCTGCCCTGGCTTCCTCCCTTCTGGGCCAGCCTTGAAGTCTGTATTCAGGGAGGGGCAAGGCACCAGGGAAGCACAGGGCCAGCTCCACAGCCAGAGCCTGGACTGGATCCTGCCTGGTCTTACCTGGACCAAAAGGAGCAATTCTGGAAGCTTGGCTGTGGCCCAAGCCGGGCTATGGGCCTGGAGTGGCAGATTGTGAGCAGGGACCCAGCACTGACTCTGTGTGTGTGTGTGTGTGTGTGTGTGTGTGTGTGTGTGAGTGAGAGAGAGAGAGAGAGAGAAAGAGAGAGAGAGGCTGAGAGGCTGAGAGTGTGTGACAAAGAGGAAAGACGGAGGACCATATGCCTATTTTCTTTGAGGAACAGCTGTCTCCTCAAGTGGGTGAGAGAGTCAGTAAGAGAGGGGAAGTGGGGTTAGAGGGTCAGCTCCACATTCACAAATACATTGTCACAGGGCCCTTGTATGTGAGTCAACTTTTCTAATTTTCCAGATATGTTCCTTTTTTTCCCTCCCTTTCTAAATCTTTCCTTTTCCACTTCTTTTTCCTTTCTCTCTCCCCTGAGCTCACACACTCACACACAGCCTCAGGGCTGGGTATTCCTCTGTCTGAGGGTCCTGGAGAGGGGTGGGATGGCCACAGAGCAGGTAACTTTCTCTGTTCCACCCCTGCTGGGACTTGCCCTGGGACCACACCCTCCCCTCCTTCCCTCTTCCAACAAATACTGAATGCTCTAGGTGCTGGTCCAGGCCCAGGGACAAGCTTATTCTAGAGTCCCCCTTACCCAGTGCCTTTGCTTTGGAAGAGTGGGACAGGAAGGGACATCTTTGGCTTAATGTTCAGGGATAAAGTACCAGAAGAACGAGCTCCCTCGGTGCTCTTTTCTGGTTTGCCCCTTCTCTTCCTGTTGTCTGCTCTTCCGTCCCACTTTTTTTTAGGTGAGAAGAGCAGAGAAACTGGAGTCAGAGAAGCCGGGGTTCAAATCCCAGTTCTGCCTCTTTCAAGCTGTGGGATCTGCAGCAAGATGCTCCACCTCTCTGACAAAGACTGGAATAACCTTCATTTCTGGAGGTTGGGAGAATTAAACGGGAAAATCAGTCTAAATGCCTGGCAAAAGCACCTCTGTCTGTTTTTCTTCTTGTTTCTTTTTCCTTATCCCATTTCCTTTATTCATTAAGGAACTGCTTACTTAATGAAGGAGGCTTCGTTGTGCTGGAGCCGGAGGAGAGGAGCAGGGGTCCTGGTTGAGGCACCGCAGGAAACAAGACTCCAGCCTGAGCCTCACAGCCTCACAGCCTCCTCCCTTGGGCCCCTGCCTTCATCATGTCCTGTCTTTATCCTTCAGGAAGTGGGGAGCCAATGAAGGTTTCTGAGCAGGGGAGTGACTGAATCTCAGACCTGTGCTTTAGCACCTATGATCTGGTCGGGTGGGGTACTGGGGGGACTGGGACATGGTGTGTGTGTCTGGTGGGTGGAGGGAACGGGGCCGCAGGAGCCTGTCATGCCCTCCTTTCCTCCACCTTCCTGTGTCCTTCACCGTGACTCTCTTCTTTCCCCCTCTGTCTCTCCTCCGCTCCCTCCATTCCTCTCTCCCCTTCAGCTCCCCCTGCGGCTTGCCAGCTGCCAGCAGATGACATCTCCTTTCATGTTTGGGGCTGAGCACAGCTTTGAATGTTCGTTTGATTCCGTTAAGATAATAGCTGGTTCACTGTCAGATGCAGACTGATCAGTTAAAACCTTAATCACTGCCTGTCTCCTCACTCGGCACTTATTTTTTAAGAGATTAATCCCCTCAGCCCTGCTCCAGCTCACATTCAGCTTGGAAAAAAAAAAAAAGGCAAGGTTTGTGTTATTCTTGTTATTATTATTGTTATGATTGTCACTCTCATTATTCTGCGTATTAACTCTGTCCCTCTCTGCCCTTTCAACTATTCTTTCTTTTTTCTCCCCCGTGGTTTCCCAGTCTTCCCCTCATCTCACTTGTATATTCTCTCTCTCTCTCTCTCTCTCTCACACACACACACACACACACACACACACTCTGATGTGGCTTTCCAGATCCAGTGTGAGATATGTCCAGATATTGATATAGTGTGAGTATATACAATTCCCCTGCACACACCTTCCCTACCTCCACGTGCACACCCGGGTGTTCAGCACAGGGACAGGACACAGGACACAGGTCCAGGCACCCAGGCACATGTGGTCCAGGGAAGCCAGGAGATACAGCTCTGTACCATGGGCAGAGTCTAATATTTGGGATCAGGCACATGTGCCCTGATTCTCTCTCAGAGACTCGCTTGCTTTGTGACCTTGGAGAGAAGTCTTACTTTCCTCATCTGTAAAATGGGATAAGAGCACTCACTTCAGGGAGGCTGTGAGCACTGAATACAAGACAACATATAGGCTACCCACAGCAGGGCCTGGCACAGGGTGGCAACTCAGTGTCATTCCGGTTCCTTGTTCCTACCTCCCACGCTCCATGGAAAGATCCTTTCTGGAGGTTGCCCGGTCCCTCCTCCCCCACAAGATGCTGTACCCTCTCTGGGCCATTTTACAGACACTTCTCACTTTATTACCTATCTCAGCAGTCAAGCCTTACCCAGGATCAGGGAAGGATATTCTGCTTGACACTGACCTGTGAAGGTTGGAGTTTACAATTTGCAATTAAAGCTAGAATTTTACAGAGGAAAGTAACCCAGGGGCCATCCAGTCCAAACCCTCAAAGTACATGAAGAGAGAAAGGCTCAGAGAGGGGCTGACTTGCCCTGGGCCACACAGCAAGTTATAGCAGGGCTGGAAGTGGAATTCCGCCCTGGCTTTGCATGCATCACCCAGGGAGATTCAGCCCAGAAGCCAGCCATGGACTCAGCAATTACTATGTGCCCAGCCCTAAGCCATTAGAGAGAGCAACCAGGCTATGCCACACTGGATGTTACCCAGGGTGGCAGAGACCTGTTTCTGATCCAAATGGTACTGTGGGCATAGCAAGGCTTTCTGAAGTGGGTGGAGTGGGGGATTTGGGCTAGCAGGACACTTAGACAGGGAGATAGAAGTGAGTGTCTGAGGGCCACCGGGGACACCAGCCCCATTTCTGGGTTTGAGGGCATGCAGCATATCCTGGACTGAGCGAGATGATCTGACAGAGGCCAGGAACTGTCTGTAGGCTCCATCTCCTTGGAACTGGGAAAACAAAGCATGAGGTGGTATTTGCAGTTGCAGAGAGTCATGAAAGGTAGGGGGAAGAAGTTTCTAACCCTGAGGACTGAGAAGAGATGACCAGAGAAGCCCAGCATCTGGGTCATTGGTGACATTCGTTTCTTCACAGTGAGGCAATAAGGTCTTCGGCTCTGGAGCCAGACCACCTGGGTTCCAATCACCTCTTTCCTTTTCCTCTTTTTCTTCTCATTCCTTCATCCTCGGCTTTGTCATTTTCTCTCTCTCCTTGTTCCCCTGTGTAAACTGAGGGCAGGGCCAGGTGTGTGATGGAATTCTCTAGACTAGGTTCGAGGTGACCTATACCCACAGGCATCGGCCTTTCCCTGGGGAGCTGGGGTTAGCACCCAGCCAGACTCTTGGACTAGAGCTGAGGTTGGAGGCAGGGAGTGACGACACCGTGGACAAGTCACTTCACCTTTCTGTGATTCCATTTTCTCCTCTAAAATAGGAATAATAATAATGTCTCTTAGCACTTGGCAGCTGATACATAGTAAGTGCTACATGAGTGTAAGTCATGACTATTTAGTAAAGATGTAGTGAACATGTAAATGTCCCAGGCCCTGCAGCAGGGGCTGAGGATACAGAGTTGAACAAGGCAGGCTCCCTGCTGTCAGTATGTGCTCAGCCCAGGGGGGAGGCAAGTAAGCTCCTAATTGTGGTCCCATGTGGGAGACACCTAGCCCACCTTCAGGGGATGAGGGACAGCCTCCTGGAAGGAGCAGCTTGTGGGCTTCATGAGGGTGGGAATTTGTTTTGTTCCCAGCTGCACTTCCAGTGCCTACAATGGGATCTGGTGTTCAGAGTAGGAGTTCAGTCAACTTTTGCTGAATGGACAAATGAACCAGCTGAGCGAGGTCCTAAAGGAGGAACAGGATGACAAACATCACTTCCATGGGTCTCAGTCTTCTCATGTATAAAATGAGGGCTTAGATAGGAGTCCAGGGACCTTCTGGCTATTCTCAAAATCCCTGCAACTCACAGGGTTGGGGATGGGGTATGGGGAAGCTTAGGAGGATGGGGTAGGGGAGTCCATGCCTATTGATGGGGGCAGGGGTAGGGTGATGGAGAAATTGAGCTGGGGGTGGGTTCCATTTCTGCTTAGAGGCAGGGGGCAGGAAAGGGTTGTGGGGGCCTGAAACATCCTCCCCCAGCTGCCTACACCAGCAGGAGGCGGCCCGGGGTTAATGGCATGACATCCCTGCGGCAGTCTGCCCGATGGGCTTCTGATGCCTTTTCTAATTTGGTGAGCGCTGAAGATTAGAAGGCAGGGAGAAGAGAGTTTTCCTCTCGCAGGTTATTATCCTGCCAACTCCCCCGGCGCCCAAGGGAGGGAGTCAGCGTGTTCCAGGAGAAAAGGAAGCAGGGCCTGGCATTCTGGATCGGGTGCCCCTGGGGAGCGGGGAGGGAGCTGGGGCTGGTGCAAATAAAATTGATGCTATTAATGGATCTGGTGCTGTTTGAAATGGGAGCAGGAGCCACCTCAGCAGCAGCAGAACTGGGAAGGGGGGAGTGGAGAGGGAAGGGGGCTTCCTGGAAGTAGAACTCACAGGTGCTGAGAGCCGAGGTCTTTGCCTTGAAGAGTCCTCGGATCTCCTTTTCTTGAAAAAAAGGGGCAGCCCTACCATGCTGGGTCACACTGTCTTTCTCCCCCAACTCCCTGCCTCCAACCTCAGCTCTAGGCCAAGAGTCTGGCTGGGTGCTAACCCCAGCTCCCCAGGGAAAGGCCGATGCCTGTGGGTATAGGTCACCTGGAACCTAGTCTAGAGAATTCCATCACACACCTGGCCCTGCCCTCAGTTTACACAGGGGAACAAGGAGAGAGAGAAAATGACAAAGCCGAGGATGAAGGAATGAGAAGAAAAAGAGGAAGAGGAAAGAGAGAATGGAAAGAGGGAAAGGCCACCTGAGCTCAAGGCTCCAACCTGCACCAAGCTGGGGGATGGGCAGGAAGAGACACAAGGGTCGGGACCCCAGGGGCTTAAGAGAGGGAACAGAGGACAGCCAGCTGCAGAGGAGCCCAGTCCTACTGACGGATGCACAAGGAGGCCAATGGCATCAGAGAAGCCCGAATGGGTTGCTTGGAGGTGAGTTCTGAGGTGGACTGAGACAGGGGGTAGGGCTTGGCAGAAGGTGCCTTGCATGATTAGGTCTCCACAGGTTCCAGGGGGAGCTGGCACCCTGAGTAGTGTCCTCTTCTGAAGCTACCCACACTCCCACCTCTTTTTGCCAGCCTTTTATTAGGCATCCTTCAAGCCCAAGCACTGCCTCCTCTGGGAAGCCCTCTCATACTGCCCCCAGCCTGCTTTAGGAGTTCTGTTCTGGGCACCCTGAACATTCTGTGCTGAGTCTGATGTGACATCGAAAACCCAGTCTTTATGCCTTGATTATTCTCTTGAAGTCAGTGGCAGTGACTTATTTATTTCTGTGTCTCTGGGGTATAGCACAAGTCTAGGCAATAGTAGGGGCCAAAATGTCTTTGATGAGTCAATTGCCATCAGCCTCTTCCTTTGTGCCAAGAGGAGCACCATTAGCAGCCCAAGGCTGGGAGTTTGGCTACTCTGGAGCCAGAAAAGGGCGCGAGGACAGCCCTCCTGGCCAGAAAGAACACCCAGGGAGGCCTGCCGCTGATGACTAAAGTTCTCCCATTAGCCCATCTTGTTAGGTTACGGCTGAGTGGTGTCATGAAAGGACACAGACAGGCAGGCCAGAAGTAATGAGTTCCAGCTCTGCCCTGACCCACTAACCGGCTAGGGGATCTTAGGCTGGGTATTGCCTCTCTTTGGCCTCAGTTTCCCCAATATGCTGAGGCTCTTGAACAGGATGCATTCTCAGGTCCTGCTGAGGCTGTGGCCTACATTGAACTGTGCCAGCCCTGAGGTCATACCTTAGCTCCTCTGAGAGACTTCCCTACCCAGTCACAACTGAGACTGGGCTGAGAGGACAGGGAAGAGAAGGATGAGGGGTGGATGGGGTAGGGCTGCTGTGGAGGGACTTAGCAGGGAAAGAGCCTAGGGAAGGCAGGTGAGAGGGAAACATTGGTCCACATTGCCCATCGGGCCGCCTGCCAGCCCCCAGCAGGCAGCCACGAGGGTCCAGGGAGTGGTGGCCTTGTGGGGCACTCACTGGATCTGGCATTTTTTTCCAGACCAGTGGGGTACCTAATGTGTTAGGCACCCTTAGTAAATCATTTTTAACACCTCCCATATTATCAAATTATCACCATGATGATGAATAACAAGTAAATAATAATGGCCAGAAAAGTCAGACAGTGTAACTGTTCTTTTATTCAACTCTGTATAATTGTATCAGGAAATAAACAAATACTACAGTACAAAAAGACAAAAGCAACTGATACTTGAAAATTATATTAATTTTGGGGGGTGGGGAGTAGGGGGAAGAAACACATGAAGAAAGACTCCCAAGTTTGCCGTGAGCCAAGATTGTGTCACTGCATTCCAGCCTGGGTGACAGAGCCAGACCCTGTCTCAAAAACAAAAACAAAAACAAAACAAAACAAAAGAATAACAACAAAAAGGAAAGCCTCCCAAAAGAGTAAACTGCAAGTTTCAGAGAATGATTTGCATGGAGAATAACAGAATTGAAGTAGCTTGAGTCTGTTACTTTGTCTTTGCAATCACTGTGCATCATTGTTGATTTTGAATCTACTGTTTAAAGGCAGGGATGTGCAGAACTATAGGATTTGAGACACAAACTGTGGCTGAAGCCAGCTCTAATGAATTTGAATTTAAACTTAATCTCAAAATGAAGAGTGTAGCTGAGTCCTGTGTATTCTGGGCTGACTATATACATGAGAGTCCTTCAAATTAACTATCAGGTAGTGTACAATCTTTACTAAAGGATAAGTAATAGAAATGTGCTAATTTGAAACTCAACAGTCACCACAGTAATTGCTTAGAACATAGCACAACAGACGAGTTTTTTTTTTTTTTTTACTTCAGGGAGGAGTATTTTATTACTGACACAAAATGGCTGGCGCATGGTGATAACAGAAAAAGCACATGACTTTTAGTAGATTTTATTATTGTTTTAAAATTCCCTACAGACAACAAACTTTTTCATTGCCTGCTCCTGCAGACACCCCCCCTACACCCCTGTTCTCCACTGGGGTTTGCGTATTTGCAGCCCCATATTCCAGAAACTTTCATTCCAAGCCCTTCCTATTCCAGGCAAGTTAAGAAAACAGAACAGAGGCAAATAGCAATGCATTCTAGTCAGGATTGTTGTTGTTACTTACTAAATGTAAAGGACATCTATTAGTCATCCTTCTAGTTCAAGCACTGCCTCCTCTGAGAAGCTCTCCTAGACTACTCCCAGCCTGCTTTAGGAGTTCTGCTCAGAGCTCCCCTAACATTCTGTGCTGCTTCTGACATGGCATCTACATCTCTGTCTCTAAGCCTGTCATTGTTTTCTTTTGAAGGCAGTGGCCCTGACTTACTTATTTCTGTGTCTAGCATACGAGTTGATATGGAAATTTTTCTTTGAATTAGACTTACTTGCCAGACTGGAGACACCTGGCTCTGGATCTTACAGGGACCCAGTTGAGACCAGCAGTTCTCAACTGGGAGCAGTTTGTTTCCCTCCTCACCAGGGACACTTGGCAATTTCTGGAGGCATTTTTGGTTATAACAACTGGGGAAGGGGTGGGTGGGTGTGCCACCAGTATATAATGGGTAGAGGCCAAGAATGCTGCTAAACATCCTATAACGCACAGGACGGCCCCTACAATAAAGATGTATCCAGGCCAAGCTTGAGAAATCCTGCTCTAGAAGCCAGCTTGGTCATGAGATACCCTGGATGCCCACTTTGCTTTTCCAAGTCCTTAAGACATGACAGGAGGCATTGCATGGCTACCCCCAAATGGTCCTGCCTCCACGGGCCCAAGCACCCCAAAATCAGGGTGATTAGTGAATTCACTACAAATCCCCAAATGAAGCTGGCTGCCAGGCCTCCTCTTCTGTGGAATGGGAAAGAGGGTAGGGTTCTAGGGAGAGCTTATCTTTCCTGCCTGGCCTTGCTTCTCACCAGGTCCATGCTCTAACTCCCTGCAGCTCAGTTTCCTATCTCTAAGGGAGGAGGTAATAATACTGATTCCACAGGCTCTAGTGAGGTCCAGCCAAGGTAATGGCCACGAGGGTAATTGTGGTCTTGACTATTATGGGATCAGAAATGTGGGACTCGGGTTGAAGCATGCAGGCCTAAACACTCCCGTTCCTCTTCCCTCCAAAAGAAGATGTAGTTTGTGTTGGTGTGGGGGGTGGGGATTGGGGCGGATAGACCCTCTCTCTCCTCCCCACTCCACCCTTGCTCGCAGGGAAAGGGAGGGAGGAACGGGGAGTCCCACCGGAGTCCCGGGCCTGTGGGTCTCCGCGAGCAGTCGGCAGGAGAGGGCAGGGTCTAGGAGGCCCTCGGGGGCGAGTGGCGGGCCCTGTCCCACCGGGGCCTGGAAGCCACCTCCCCAGACAGTAGCAATTATCGCAATCAAACAGTTGACACCAATTACGCGCCGGGCCGAGAGGCGAAGGCGGCTGCGCGGGCGCCTCGGCTTTGCATATCTTAATGCGGACTGACAGACGCTGACCCACGGGGGCGCCGGCCTTGCCAGCTCTCAGCTGTTCCTGTGGCACCAATTTTCAGAGCCAAATTACTGCCAGGGCCTGCTTGTTTGCAGAATGGAACTGCGTCCCAAAGGCAGAGCCGTTTGCGCCTCCAGAGTTCCCGGAATCTGCAGCGAAGAGCGCGCAGGGACGGCTGGAAAGGTCCTTCCCGGGAGGGCTGAGGGTGCACAGCGGGCCAGGCTCTGTGGATCTGTGGAAGGCGCCCAGCGGGTCCCCGGGCCCCGCTCGGGGGACCCATGGCGCATTGCTGCTGGGAAGCCCAGGTTCACTCCATCCGCTCAGCACGTGCGAGGTCTCACTCTTCCTCCTCCAACCCCAGTAGCGTGAGAGGCCAGCAGGAGGGATCTTGCCAGATGAAAAGCTCTCTCCAAATGAAAGACAGCCCTCTCTGGACGCTTTCTTCTCTTTGGGAATTCAGCAATGTGTGTTTGCTGCGCGCAGGAGCGCTAGTTATTCACTCAGCTAGAGACTCTCGGGCTGGAGGCGGCGGCCGCCAAGACACCGAGCCTGAAGGGTGGAAGTGTGAGGATGGACTGGGCCTACCTTCATGATATGGCACAGGACAGCTCAGGGACCCATGGAGCCGTAGCTTCCTGACCTGCAAGGCCTTCTAATTTTAGGGCAAAAATCACTAAAGCAGTCCTGATAAGGTCATGAGTAAGTCCAGGTCCGGCATAGGCAGGATTGGAACCAAGGTCTTTAGGCAGTGAGATAACCAGGTGCTTGGCCGCTCCCTTCACTAAACTTCAGCCCAGCTCCTCTGCCAAGGCTGCAAACTCCCGGAGGATCCAGTTTGTCCTTCTACCCCTAGCATAATGCCAGGCACCCTGAAAGCCTGCTGGGTGGGTGAAGGAGGAATGGAACCAGCTCAGGAACTGGTTCAAGTCCCTTGCTTTCATGCAACCACCAAGTCCTTGGTTTACCATGACCTACCCACCACCTCCACCCCAAGTCCCAGGGCGTTTGAGAGGAGCAAGGCCAAAAGGCTCTGAAGTGGCCGTGCCCTGGGCTCTGTGAGACCTCCTCGCCTGGCGGCCTCTCAGGCCTCCTCTTTGCTCCTAGACAGTCCCTGACACTGGTGCAGTGTGGAGTCGCAGAGGACTGCAGTGAGGAGGCTCCCCTGGGGAGCTGGTAGACTAGCCATCTGTGCTGGTGGCCTCTGAGCCTGGCAGGAAGGAGGAGACGGATCACCTTACAAGAGGCTCTCCTAGACGAAGAGTTTCCCTAACTCGACTGTGTCTCTGCACACACACACACACACACACACACACACACACACACACACACGCCTTGAGCTTCCCATTACCCACTCCAGACGGCCCGCCAAATCCTCATCTCTCAGACGCGCCTCCATCCTATTTTCCAAGCTTGTGAAAAAGAACGCTTTTTGGAAAACTGCTCATTCCTCCCTCCCTCCCCTAAAAGGTGTTCAGGCCTCCCCATTATTCAAATGAAAAGACAGACTCAGTAGGGGAGGGAGTTCCCAGAGGAGCTGAAACTGGGGCTGGGATTCGCTGAGGCCATAAAGTTCTGCGCCACTGATGGGATAACTCCAACTCTGCCTGCCTGGTAGGGCTCCGTCCTGGGGATGCCAATCCTCCCGCCTAGTCAGAGCAGTACCGGGGTAACTACCCCACTTTCGAGAGGTGGCCTGGGGATCCCATTTAACTTTCAGCCCCACTCCTGGCCTGGGCGTCTCCACCGCAAAGAAAGCACAGTTTCTGCGCGGATATCCGGCTCCTATCTCTGACCGCGGCTCTTCTGAGTCTGGGTTCAGACCTTGCGGCCCAGGAATCCGAATTCTAGGCCTCCTTCTTTAAGACGCCAGGGCTGTGCTGCTGGTTTATTAGGGCTTCGTCCTGAGGTCAAGAAAGCGGGCACGAAGCGCTGGGGGCAGAAGCGTTGCAGGCGTCCCCTTAGGCCCTGGGTTGCCACGTGCGCGTTCCGTCCCTGTCCCCCTGGAGCAACTGCGTTAGGCACTGTCCTTGCCACGTGTGGCGCCCGGCCAAGACGGCCGAGGCAGACACTGGACCTGGGTGCCAAGCGGAAGTGCTTGAGATTCCGCCGTGAGGGCGTCGCTGTGAGCCCTGGCAGAGAGGAGGCCCGGGCCCCTTGGTTGGGCCGCGGGACAACCGAGGCCCAAGCCTGTTTCCCGCCGCGCCGCGCCGCGCTCTGGTGCGCTCGGTTGGCGCGCCACGTCCCAGCGCCGCTCCTCGCCCGCCCCCAAGCCTAGGGCGACTTTAACCCAGTTTGTAACGATTCCCTGCTCGGCCTAGAGGGCGAGAGACGCCCCCGACATAGGCGGCGAATGTATGTCGTGTCAGCAAGTGCATGGGCCCTAAAAGGCCGAGCGGGATTCCTGGGGATTAAAGATCAGACACAGGGAGCCCTGTTCTCTCCTTCTCCGCCCTCTTCCCCACCCCAGGAACAAGAAAAAGAAAAATCTGTTGGAAACGCACTTTTCCCCCATACCAGCCCCCTACCCCCAACCTCCTTCTGCTTCTGCTTTCACCGACTTAAAAGAAAAATAAAATACATTCCAGGAACCAGGACGGCTGCAGAGCAAACTCAAACCAGAAAATGCTTAAAGATGTTTTAATGACTTAAACACAGGGGCCAGTTTGTGTCTAAAAGTTTCCACATTAAAAAAAAAAAAAACCCAGCAAATTAAATATTAAATATCGTCCCGGCCCCCTCCTCCAGCCGCGTGCCCGCCCCTCCGGTTCCTGTAGCCTTCTGCGCGCTGCACCTCCCGGGTTTCCTCTGAGCCTCTGCTTTCAGCTGTGGGTTATTAGCACCCGGTGTGAACAGAGACCAGGCCCCTCCATAAAGTTTATATTCACATTCCAAAAACGTAAAAACAAGGAAAAGGGAGAAAAACAACACCCTAGGTACAAGCCCAACTGCTCCTGCAAACAGAGGCCACCCCCCACCCCCACCCTCAAGCCCAGGGCCAGAGGAACTGTTAACTAGCAGCTGACAGATTTTTACAGCAGGAATTAGGCCCTCATTTGGCTCCGGATTAGCCCAAATCTTCCATCTCATTACAGCCCTGCCTTGTTGGAGCCCCCCCTTTCTTGGAGTTGGGGAGTTGCAGATAGGTCTTTGGGGTCCCAGCCAGCATTCTCACTCTCTAAACTGGGGTAGGATGGAGCAAGGAGACAGGGTGGACACAAGTAACTGGTGAGATATGGGGTCCTGGGCAGGGCTGGCAGTGGCCAGCTGGAGGGCCTGCAGGAGTTCTCTGAGGCCCTCAGTTTCTCTGTTTCTCTGAGGCCTCAGTTTCTCTGAGGCCCTCAGTTTTTCAGGTGGTGTGAACTGGACATCTACCTCTATGGTGAAGATGAGGTCATGTGGTGGAGAGGCAGGTGCTGGTTTAGAAATTGGTCTTCTTATGAGTCCAGGGAAATCCCAAACCTTAGGAATAAAAATAACAATTGTAGCACTTACTGAGCAGCCTCGTATGTAACACTCTATATTGAGCCCTTTTATATTTAATCCCCATAGAAAAACCATGGCATGGGCACTATTGTTACCATCATCTCATTTTACAAATGAGGATGCCAAGGCTTAGAGAGTGTAGATATCTTACCCAAAGATGCAGCTGGCAACTAGGAGAGCCGGAATTCAAACTAGGGCTGAGGGGCTCTAGGGCTCTGTGCCTCCAGGTCATACTGCCTCTCCTGCCAAGACTGCAGCAGGTGCCCACTCTATAAACATCTGTCCCTAAGCTCTTGGTCCTCATTTCACCCAGTGCTATGGTGTGAATGTGGGAGTGCCCCCCAAATTTGTATGTTGGAATTTAATCCACAATTGGGGCCTTTAGGAGGTGATTAGGGTCATGAGGGTGGGGCTCTCCTAAATGAGATTAGTGCCCTTATAAAGTGACTTGTGGGAGACTGCCTGCCCCTCCCACTCCTTCAGCCATGTGAGAATGCAGCAAGAAGGCAGCATCTTTGGAGGAGAGAACAAGTCCCCCCTCCCCATAGATACCGAATCTGCTGGTGCCTTGATCTTAGACTTTCCAGCTTCCAGAACTGCGAGCAATACATTTTTGTTCATAAATTACCCAGTCTAAAGTATTTTGTTATAGCAGCCAGGATGAACTAAGATGCCCACTAACTGATTATCAGAAACTTTAAGCCCAAATTCCTGCTGACGTAGTTCTGACCCTTTTCTGTTTTCTGTTCTGAGACAAAGACCAGTGCTTCACCCTGTCTTGGGCAGGATGCACCCCTCTGGATTTAACAGCTGTTATGCTAGGACACTGGTAGGGCAACTGGCTTCTCTCCTGTGCTTCCTTGACCCAACGAAGCACTTTAGTGGGTGTGATCACCCCAGAATGCAGTTAGGCATTTGCTAAGAGATCTGGGGAAAAAGGGATGTTAAGGTCCCTAAAACGGAGAAGGGCTGGAGGAACTGGAGCTCTTGGCAGCTGCCCAGATGTTTGGCCTCCTGGGAGCTTTGCTCTGCAGAGGCAACTCCAGCTGTTTATGGCATCTTCTTCTTGGGAAGTTCAGTGTGGTGTGGGAGGCGGTGATGGTGATGGAAGGGCTTGTGCCTGGACACAAAAGACTCGGTGAGGCCCTAGCCTTCTCCACTCAGGAGTGCTTTTCATGGAACAGGCTGCTGCATGGTCACACATTGCCACTTGAGAGTCAGGCTAGAGTAGGAAAATGTCTGGGAATTCTGGAGTTCTTCAAAATCCCTTTTTTTAAAAGTGGAAATTTAAGGAAATTTTGAAGCATGTGTCATACTTAGACTTCAAGTGCCCTTTACACAGTTAAATCACTTTGTCAGTGTAGGAATGTAAAAATGTTTTATGTATAACTTGGTTTGCTCATAAAATCCTCATTTGAGTATATTTAGAAATGTGAGGCCAGAGAAAGGGAAGTTGAAATTTGAGGGAAAATCTCCAACCCCTGGACTTAGAGCGAGAAAACAAATACAAGGTGCTGTATTTATTACGTATGTATTTATTTATTTTTTTGGTCTCCTCATGTGGTTAGGCACATGCGTGATTCTGGAGTTTGGGTGTCAGAAGCTGCCCTCCTCTAGGAAAGGAGCTGCCTGGGGATCAGGGCAGGGAGTGGGAGAAACAAACTGAAAGAAACACCAAGGGCAGGCAGAGCCAGCGAGGTGAGTTTCCCTAGGGATTTGGAAGGAGCAGGAGCACGGCTGGTATAATGGGTAGGCCATTTTCCTCATGGCAAAGTCATCCCATCAGCAGCTGAAATCAAAGTTTCAGTGCCTCCTTATTACATTAATGAGTCCCCTAATGTAACAGGGGAACGGAGAGTCTCCCTGAAGTTGCCCAAGAACTCCTAAACTCAGTTCATTTCTTTTTTCTTTTTCTTTTTCTCTTTTTTTTGAGATGTAGTCTCGCTCTGTCGCCCAGGCTGGAGTACAGTGGCATGATATCGGCTCACTGCAACCTCTACCTCCCGGGTTGAAGCAATTCTCCTGCCTCAGCCTCCCAAGTAGCTGGGATTATAGACGTGTGCCACCACACTCAGCTAATTTTTGCATTTTTAGTAGAGATGGGGTTTCACCATGTTGGCCAGGCTGGTGTCGAACTCCCGACCTCTGGTGATCCACCTGCCTCGGCCTCCCAAAGTGCTGGGACTACAAGCGTCAGCCCCTGTGCCTGGCCAACTCAGTTCATTTCAACCAACACTTATTAGGAGCCTCCAGGGATACCCATGTGAATTAGATCCAGCCTTTGCCCTTGCAAGAGCCAGATACAGACGACATCTGAGGACGACAACTACTACTTACGGGGAATGGTCTGTGTGCCAGGCACCGTATCAAATTATATATGTATTATATTAATGTTAACACAGTTAATCCTCACTACAACCTCACTAGATGAGTCCTATTTAATATATTTTACAGGTGGGGAAACTGAGGCATAGCTTGATTAAGCAACTTGCCCAAGTTCAGCTGGGATCTGAACCTAGGCATTCTGTGCCCCAAGTCTGTGCCCTTAACCATTCCAGTATTCAGGATGCTCGGTGAGCATCGGGGAGGGCATTGTCCCTGGCCTGGGATGTCTAGTCGTTCCTTCAGGGATGACCCCTGAGTGGCGACTACAATCACGAGTGAGACCTGGAGAGGCAGAGGCAATGGGGGAGAACATTGCAGGCTGAGACAATGGCTCAGAGCAAGGTGTCACCATACAGACCTTAGCACTGCACATCAGGAGATACAAGTGTTTGGGAATTTCTAGAATATAAATAAAGTGTGAGGTCAGAGGGGGTAGGAGAGGAGGCTGGGGAAAGGTAGGGGGAGGGCCAGACCATAGTGTGCCTGTACCATGCTTGGGGCTGAAGGTATCTCCTGCAAGTGATGAAGGGCCATTAAAGGGGTTTATGCCAGGGAATGATCCAAGACATTTTGCATTGTGGATAGAATTCTCTGTGGGAGGGGAGCACAGTGGAGAAATGACTGGATAGAGGTCAGAGGAGAGGCAAGCACACCGGTCGTGAGCTAAATGGGGAACCTGAGTGGGTTACTTGATGTTGGGAAAGAAGAAATGATTTGAAT
The DNA here is from genome assembly GCF_000001405.40 of Homo sapiens. Classification (NCBI taxonomy): domain Eukaryota; kingdom Metazoa; phylum Chordata; class Mammalia; order Primates; family Hominidae; genus Homo; species Homo sapiens. Next base: position 41,402,596 of record NC_000006.12, on the reverse strand, counting down.
TAGACAAAAAAGAGATTGTTTTTCATTTTTACTTTGTATGTCTATTTGTAGTCTGCCTTATTCCATTGGAAATTTTCAGCTGGATCTCTTTGACTTGCTGAATTCTTCCTTGAATGTTTACTTATTTTTTCCCCACTAGATGCTCACCATTGGGAAACATAACCCAGTTCACATCACTCAGTTTCTTTTCTGAAAACTGGCATATTTATTATAGCTGGTGACCATGCAAGCAGATTTACTGGGTTCAGTCCTGATTATACCTGTTATGTAATTATTAATAGCATCCCCTTTCACTCTACAAAGTGTCCTGGTTTGAATGATGAATTATATGGTCAACGTAATTACAGCACATATATGAAAAACTATTGCAGCAGAGCCTTGACTCTATATGGTGCCAAATTACATCTAGGTACATTAAAATGATCTTACTTGCTCCAAACGATAATCCTGAGAAATAGGCAAAATGAAGGTTCTTGGCACTCCTCTTTTCTTTCTTTTACTTTGTTTGTCTGTTTGTTTAACAATGAAGAAAAGGACATTTAAGTAAGTTAAATGACATGCTGAAGGCACACATCTAGTAAGAAGTAGAGGAGGGATATGACTTGAGTCTTCTGCTATCTAGACCAGTAACCGTCTGCTACACCCTAGACTCTTGTCCTATGCTATGGTCGATTAAAGATGGCCACATGTTCTCTGCCCCTCCTCCCATCGAAAGGTGAAGTCTAATCATTTTCTTTGAATCGGGTTGGTTTTAGTGATTTGCTTAGCCAATAGAATGTGAGAGAAGTGACATTCTGGGACATCTGGGAATAGGTAATAAGTGAAGTAGTTTCTGATTAGATTCTTTGGGACACTCGGTCTGGGAAAGTTCCAGCCACCCTGTAAGAAGCCTAACTACCCTGAAACTGCCATGTTGTAAGGAAGCCCAAGTTAGCCATGTGATGGAGAGAGAGAGAGATGCCTGGCCAACAGTGGTGTGCTGGTAAACCTACTCTGTGAATGAAAACTGCCCTGATTTATAGTGTTTGTTGATTTCTGACTGTAATTAGTCTCACCAGGGCCAATTTAAAGTTACCAATAGTATAACAACTGCTTGTAAAAAATTTCTGAATATTTAACAATTGGCTTTTGCAAGCTGGTACAAGCCAGCTTAATGCACCATGGCTTCCCAGTGTCCAGCCATATGAAACATCCTAGCTGAAACCCCAGATATTGTGAAGCAGAGAGGAGTTGTTCTTGTTGAACCTCACCTAAATTGCAGGGTCATGAGCAAAACAGATGATTATTGTTGTTTTAAGCTGCTAAGTTTTAGGGTAGTTTGTTACTCAGCAATAGCTAGCTATAGGATGTGGAAAGACAGGTATGAACGTCCTTGAAGAAATGAAAGTACTCTTGGCAAGGTGTGGTGGCTCATGCCTATAATCCCATCAATTTGGGAGGCCAAGGTGGGAGGATTGCTTGAGCCTAGGAGTTCCAGACCAGCCTGAGCAATATAGTGAGACCCCATCTCCACAAAAAATAAACAGAATTATCCAGGTGTGGCTGCACGTGCCTGTGGTCCCAGCTACTTGGGGGGCTGAGGTGGGAGGATTGCTTGGGCCTGGGAGGTCAAGGTTGCAGTGAGCCATGATTGTGCCATTTCACTACAGCCTGGGTGACAGAATGAGACCCTGTCTCAAAAAGAAAGAAATAGAAGTACTCTTGAAAATTTAGAGAACCATTTCTCTCCCTGTTTTCTTTGCTGCCATTGAACTGGTAAAATATTTGAGGTGGGCTGGGTGTGGTGGCTCACGCCTGTAATCCTAGAATTTTGGGAGGCCGAGGCGGGTGGATTGACTGAGCTCAGAAGTTCGAGACTAGCCTGGGCAACATGGTGAAACCCCTGTCTCTACTAAAATACAAAAAAAAAAAAAAAAAAAATCTGGGTGTGGCGGCATGTGCCTGTAATTGCAGCTACTTGAGGGGCTGAGACAGGAGAATTGCTTGAACCTGGGAGGCGGAGGTTGCAGTGAGTGAGATCGCACCATTGCACTCCAGCCTGGGCAACAGAGCAAGACTCCATCTCAAAAAAGAAAAAAAAAATTGGGGAGTGAAATCTGCAGTTCAGTTCTTGTCTGATTTTTTAAATCAAATTTAAAAAATTTGATTGCTTTCAGTTTGGACACGTACGCTCCAAATCTGCAGTTTTTGAAGTTGGAGATGGAGGTTGTGTATGCCCTAGGTGGATGGTGGTGTCTTTCTGAGGCATGGAGACTTTTGGGGGAAAAGCTGGGCTGAGAATTGGATGGATTAAGGTTGCAGCGACATTGGAGCATCTGAGTTAAGGTGTCCAGCAGAAAGGCTGAATTAGGTGCACCTGAGTTATGATTTTTAATATAGCTCAGCACCTAGTTTCTAACAATTAATTTACTTATTATAATTTCAGTGTTGGTTTGTTGCAAATTATAAAGCCAGCAAAGCTTGTCTTCAGCCCATGTAACAACCACCTCCTTCCCAGTTTCTCCTAACTTTCGGTGCCCACTTGAGATCTTTTTCTTTCCCTGGGGAATGTGGATTTAAGTCTTATCTGTTATTGTGGAATGGGAAGTTTGTTTCTTAATGTATTTATTATCTATTGCTGTGTAACAAATTACTCCCAAATTTAGCAGCTTAAAATAACAAATAGTTATTATATCACAGTTTCAGTGGGTCAGGAATTTGAGAATGACTTAGCTGGGTCATTCTGGTTGAGAGTTTCTCACTAGGTTGCAAGCAAGATGTTGGTTAGGGCTATAGGCTTGGTAGAGGCTGGAGGATCCATTTCCAAGATGGCTCCCTCACAGGGAGTGTTGGCAGGAGGCCTCCGTTTCTCCCATGTGGGCCTTTCCACAGGGTTACTTTAAGTCCTCACCTCGTGGCAGCTGGTTTCTGTGAGCGAGCGAGTGAGTGAGAAAGAGAGAAAGAGAGAGGAGGAAGAGGAGGAGGAGGAGGAAGAAGAAGAGGAGGAGGAGGAGGAGGAGGAGGAGGAGGAGGCGGTGGAGGCAGCCACAATGCCTTTTATGACTTGGTCTTACAAGTCACATACTTGTGACTTCCAACATAATTTATCTGTTAAAGGCAAGTCACTAAGTCCAACCCACACACAAGGGGAGGGGAATCAGGTCTTATGTTTTGAAGAAAGGAGTACTGAATAATTCCTGGACATATCTGAACACTACCACACCTTTTAAAGACATTTCAGATAGTAAATCAGGCATAGGTTAGGGGCTGGGGGTGGGGTGGGCAAGAGACCTATGTCCTGAATTCACACCATATCTACTTATAGTACTTTTAAGATGGGCCCTGTTCACATAAATGATTATATTGTAGAACGCTACAATGGAAAGGGACCTCAGAGGGCTTTCCAGGGGCCACAAACTGGTGATCATGGGTTTAATTTGTCCAGCAGATCTCTTTTGTTTGGTGAAATCTTAATTTAAAAAATTTGATTGCTTTCAGTTTGGACACGTACGCTCCAATTTCCCTATCACTCCCTATTGTCTTATACTGGCCAATTTGCTCGTTTGAGTGATCCACCTGACCCCTGGGGGTTCCTGAGTCCTCGAACCCCTGGTTCTTATCCTTGCTCTCATTTCAGACATAGGGAAACTGAGGCCCACAGAAGAGAAGTTGACTTGCCCAAGGTCGAAAGTTGAGTGAGTGACAGAGTTGGGTCCTGAACCCAGGTCTCCTGATCCTAGTTCAAAGCTCCTTTCACCTTATCAGCTTGCCTTCCGACCTCTTGTCAAAAGTGGCATCACAGTCTTCCCCCTTGTCCTGGAGAGCATCCCCTCAGCTCAGCTCACCATTAATACCATTAATGACATCCCCCTCTAGCCCCTCTAGCATCAGACATGAGTGAGGAGAGAGATATCTTTTATCCATATACAAAGATCTAAAGATGGAAAAAGTTTAAGTACCATAGCCCTAGAGAAAAAGAGTCAGGGAGTGAATGCTGGGAAAACATGGGGGGAAGCAGTGTGGTGTGAGAGGGAGACCCTGGAGGATATTTCAGTAGGTTAATAACCTAAGCTGTTGCCAAGTTGAAATTAGAAAGAGGAAGGCTCTGCCTGCTGAATGTGGAGGAGGGGGCTAATCCTGTCCTTTGATAAATGGATGACATTCTAGCAAAATGAGACGCTCCGCCCCAGTGGCTGCAGGGGGACATTGGGCTGGGAGGCGGGGTGGGTAGGGGGCCTCTGGAGCCCCAGCAATGAGGTTAAGATGCAGAACTGCGAGGCATCAGTACATTAGCAATGAAATTGCAGTAACTTTGGCAGCTCTTTATTAAATAATCTGTGATAGATACAAATGGGCAGCAGTGTCTTAGTTTGGAGTGCTCTCCTGACCCAGCTTTTCCCGAGACCTGTCCCTTCTCCTGTCTTTGGGGTCTTTGCTAACCAATTCCCCAGCCCTACTATTTTTCCCCTTATTGCTCCTTCTCCTTGGTTCTAACCCAGACTTCTGTGGTTCTTAGCAGCTGCAGCTTTTATCACCCCATGAGTGGGTAATGCTTTTCAGGCTGACCATGGTGGGTGCAGGGACTCTCTCCTCCCCACCTCGCCCATCCTGGTGTCCTTCATCTCTGAGGAAGACCTGGAGTGAAGAAGCCACCAGCTTTTTGTATATTTTATGGGGAGGAGCAGTCCTCCCCGAGTCTCCCCAAAGAGGGGTACATGGCTTGGCCTTCCGAGAGCTCCTCGGTGTGCTACCACTCCCAGCCCCAGAGATGTCTTTTTTCGGTCTCTTAAATTCACAGATTTTTATGCCTGTAGAGGTTTCAGAGCTAAGGACTAGGCCTGAGCAAGCTTAAAACAAGCTCTGTCCCCTACCCCCCACCAATGCAGTCCCTCTCAGCTCTACCCTCAAGTCTTCTAAATGTTGAGCAGAAGGCCAGATATGACTTGATGGAGTGACATTCTGAAAGGGAAGACAGTCTAGGAGGCTGGGCAGAGCTCTTGAAGCCTGACTCATAGGATGCAATGCAGGCTTCTCCCAGTTCTCTCCTTCTTTCACTAGGGAAAAAGTGGAGATTTTTGTTTTCCATGCTGGGCAAAGTCCTAGGCACTGGGGGTTTAGAAAGAAAGGGGATATGGCCTTGTTCCTCCAATTGCTCAGTTTGGCAGTGTAGAATAATGATAATAATAACAGCTTATCAGAGCTACTCTAAGCACTTCATATGCATCACAACATATGTGTAGATATCACTTAATTCTCACAATAATCTTATGAGACAATGACCATTACTATTTCCCATTAAATAGGGAGGCTTAGTAACTTGCTCAAGGTCAGGTAGCTAGTAAGCGGTTGAGATGGGATTTGAACCCAGGCAATTCAGCTCTAGCTTCAGAATCTGTGCTCTTAAAAATTAAATTCCAGCTGGGTGTAGTGGCTCACACCTGTAATCCCAGCACTTTGGGAGGCTAAGGTGAGTGGATCACTTGAGCCCAGGAGTTCAAGACCAGCTTGGGCAATACTGTGAAACCCCGTCTCTACAAAAAAATACAAAAATTAGCTGAGTGTGGTGGTGCATGCCTGTAGTCCCAGCTACTTGGGAGGCTGACATGGGGGGATTGATTGAGCCCAGGAGGTTGGGGCTGCAATGAGCCATGATCGCATCACTGGACTCCAGCCTGGGTGACAGAGTAAGTCCCTGTCTCAAACAAACAAACAAACATTCATTCCAATTCAGTGTAATTTTGTGGTGGGGGTGGGAGGGAGCAGTATGAGACCTGAAAGAGATGTTAAAGATAATTCAGACCAATCCTAATGCATCAGCTGAAAAATTGAGGTTCTGAGAAGCGGAGTAAATTTCCCAATGTTAGAATCACTAAGAGAGTGTTGAACTCACTGTCCATTTTAATGGACCCCTTTCCCTTACCCCACAGCTGCTGGGAGTTTGGGGAGGCTTCTGGATCTGAGAGACGCATCCAGCAGGGAGAGGACGGGCATTCCAGGCAGGGAGCCCCGCAGGAGCCAAAATAGAGGCCCGAGATTCCTGGTGGCTGGCGCACAGGGAGCCTGGGGCAGGCAGCCAGGTGGGTGGAAAGTGGGTAGGGAGGGGTTGTAAAGGGCCTAGCTTATTTTGCTAAGGAGACAAAGGAGAGTTATCAAGGACACCATGATGACAGGCACATCATTGAAACTCTCTCTGGCCATTGTGTGTGGAAGAGGGGCAGGAGGAAGACTGGCATAGCAAGATTCCCAGAATTCTCTGATGTTCAAAGGACATTTATAAACCTTGGTGAGAAGAGTGCGTAACAAGGACACAAAGGAGGAAACCAAGTGCCCGCAGGTCAGATCCCTACCTTAACTAAAGTTTTCAAAAAAAAGTTAAAGAGAAGAAAGTGTCAGAACGAGTTGAAAAGCCTCAGACCGATGGGGTTTTACGAATAGCTAATAGGGAGAACGGAAGTTTTCAACTGGTGTTTTGCATTTGTCTTCACAAGGAGAAGACTCTTTGCATTGAGGCATGTAAGGTAAACATTAGTATGAGAGAATCGAGAAGGGCAAGAGGCTGTAAGACAACGCCTAGTTGCTCTAAGCAAATTCAAGTCTCTGGAATAATGAGCAGTGAGAGACCCTGGGAAAGAGCTTGACCAAGTAGCCCAGGGAGGGTGGGAATTCTGGAAACTGCTGACTGGTCGTCTAAGGTTGACCTCAATTATGATCCCAGATGGGGTTACTGGGGGTATGTTTGTGATAGTCTTCCTACTTCCAGTTTTTATTTTTCAAGTAACTTAAAAAATAAGTTATATAAAACTTAATAAAAACAATACATGCAGATAGTTTCAAAAGTGAAATGATGCTAAAAGAGTTTACAGCAAAACCCAGTGGTCTCCTGTTCCCTGGCCTGCTTCACTCCCCATGCTGGTTACTTGCCAGGCTCACCAGAAACATTTTCAACATTTTTCACTTTTTTCTTTTAGCTTTTCAACATGTTCTGGTACTTACTTCCATATTTTAAAAGAATGTGTATATAATGCTGTCTCTTGATTTATTCATTTTAGGTGATTTTATAAACTTCCCTTGGCAAATATTACCAGTCTTCCTCCCCTTCAGAGCACATGGAAGACTGTACTGTCAAGCCCCTGCCTGTTCAACAGGAACATATGACTGTTTTTGGCAAGTGAAATTATAAGAGGAGAGATGGTAAAAACTCATGCATCCTTCTCCATTCTCTGTGTCCTGCCATGGGACCAAGGATGCCATGTGTTCCAGAGGGTATTGCTACAAGCTGGTGGAGCTGCTGACTGAATCCCTGAATGATCACATGGAGCAAAGCCCCTGAGCATCCATGTGAGCAGTGTTGTGTAAGACAAAAGCATATTTTGCCATTTAGATTTTGGACTTCTTACTATTGAATAACTTAGCCCATCCTGACTAATATATATCTTATTATGAAGAGTTTAGCTATTTACACTCCTTATCTAAACCTCTTTTAATTACATCTCAATTTTTGGTTAAGCCCATCATCACTGTTTTCAATTTAATGATCATGTAAAGATTGTTCACTGCTGAGCTACACAGTATTTTATGATTAAATCTCGTTTATTATAAAATTATTTATTTTGCTAGATTTAGTAATTATCTCATTTTATGACTAAATTAGTTTTCTTTGATATTCTGACTAAAATCTTCTCATTCTTCAACAACTTTATACAAAACACACCTTATTACAATTTTCCACTCTGTTATATTGTCATGTAAGTTATCAGTTCTACTTTTCTTTTTTTCCCGGAGAAAGCTCCAAACTTCTCTCCAAACTTCTGCCCTAATATGGACTGAAGGCTCTCTGGGCCTACACGATTGTTGTTCCCTGTTTTCTGTTCTGCATGTTGTCTTCTTTTTTGCCTCAATTCCTCTTTTGGGTGTAGCCCATCCTCTAATAGCTTTCTGAGAAAGGGTTAATGGAAGATATATTTTTTAGATTTTACATGTCTGAAAATGTCTTTTGACCATGCTTATATGTGATTGATAAATTGGCTGGGTATAAAATTCTAGGTTGAAAATAACCATGCAGATGGTACCAGCTGTCCACCAAAATCTTGGGCACACAGTCAGACTATACTTCCCAGCTTCCTTTGCAATAAAACTTAGCCATGTGATCAAGTTTCGTTTAATGGAAATTTTAAAACTCCAGACTTAGCCCATTCAAAACTTCCTGAGTTTTTCCTCCATGCTTTCCCCCTTCTGGCAATACAAATGGAGACAATAAAAATGAAGTTCTAGGGATTTGTAGAGCCATGAGATGCAAGGAGCATCAGTTCTTGAATGATCACACATGGAACAGCCCACCCAGTAATTTATGTGGGCTAAAAATAAGCAACTGTTGTTTTAAGCCACTGAAATTTTGAGGTCTATTTGTTAGCAGCCTAACTGTACTCTAGCACAGAAATTGATTCTAGAAGTAGGGTGATGCCATTACAAAAATTAAAATAAATGGCATTGGCTGGGAAAAGGTGGTGAGAAAACAGATATAAACAGATAGGCCTGATGAGCTAGGAGGAAAGCATTTAGATACCTGAGAACATTTAATCTCCTACTGGGTCTCTACCTATAGTGAAAGAGGTTGGAGAAAGGTGGGTGGGGTTTGTTGCCAGTTATTTAATTCACTTAGCAGGTTGTCAGTAGGAAAAAAAGAGCTCAAGAAAGAACTGGGCTATTTGTAAGCAGAGATCAAGGGTTGAAGAAACAGTTTCCAGACCCCACAGAGGAGGTGGTAACACTGAATAAGTATTTGAGCCATAAAGACCAACGAAGTCTTCTCAGTTAAACCAAAGGACTTATTCCTGCAGCAAAGATCAGGTTAAGGATATTGTCTCTCTAATAATCCTCTTGCTACAGATGGCCTTACAGTAGCTGATATTTAACAAATGGGGATTGGCATGGAGCTAAAAAAGCAAAAAAGAACTCAAACAGATTTAAGAACCATGTATAGGGAATTTTGGAAGTGGTAAGTGGTGCATGTAACCAATGGGAAGCAAATAGATCAGAAATCTTTTTGCAGGAAGAAATTGCATTTCTCAAGAAATCACAAAGATGGTCTTTAAAAAGTTCAGAAAAACACGTGGACCCTCAAGCTTCCATGAACCAAAAGTGCTACAAAAGCAGTGGGAACTCCCAAAAGGGGGATACTACTAATAACTCCTTCAGATCTGGCCACAGGAGATAATAGACAAGGGAGAATTTCCCAGAGGGCAGAGCAGGGGCCATGGAAGGCAAGGAGACTCCTCCCAGAGAAAGGATACAGGGTCTAATGCAGTAACCCCCTCTATTGCCAGGGCAGAGGGTCTTCACAATGCTTGTCTGGCAGGGTTCCATCATTGTTATGGACAAGGCACTGCCTGTGTCTCCCAATCTTAATTGCAATTATCCTATATTTTGGGTGTGTGCAGGGGTGGGGAGTAGAGCACAGTTCGTAAGTCTGTGGACCAAGAGAAATTCCATCAGACTTGTTGGAAAGGACTGTACATCACCTAGAAGTTCTGGACACTGAGCTGAATGCAGAGGCTAGATGGGGTTTTGCTTTGACTCCCTTGGAAAGGGACTGGATGTCTTCTACATGTGGCAAGAAGGCTACACACACCACTGACCGTGGAAGAGAGACTGCTGGCTGGGCATCCAAATCTGTTATTTCTTCTTCCTCAGCATGAAAGTAAGGTTATATTTCTCAGCTTTCCTTGCAGGGAGGTGTAGCCACAGGGCTAAACTTTCCCCAGTGGAATGTGAGTGGAAATGATATGTGTCAATTTCAGGACAGGTCCATAAAGACTTCATCTGTGCAGTTTTCTGTGCTCTTTCCTGTTTTACTGGCTGGCTGCAGATATGACAAGAAGACTCCAGAGGAAACATCATAACCTGTGGTCCACAGACCCTAAATTCAGGGAAATCTATGAACTTGGATGGGAAAAGTACATCTTTATTTTTCCTGACCTTAAACTAGTTGAGCATTTCTTTCTATTATAAATGTAGACAATAAACCACAGTGGTGTTAGCAGTATCTGTGACTTTGTCACCAGTAGAAATCACAGATATTTTCATATCACATTACAGTTGTTGCAGATAGCTCAAAATATCATTACATTCATCACTACTTAGAAACCGCGGCAGTTATTAGACCTGCCACTAGACTGCACATAATTGCAGTCTTCCTGTTGATAGACAGCTGTGCCACACAACTGGCCGATGCTGAGCAGGGGAGGCATTCCACCACCAAATGTGGAAGTCACATTTGCTCGCAATCTATGTTGCTTTCCATAGTCCTTGCCTCCAATTGTTGGTCAATTAATATGTGGAGGTAGATGCATTGTTTGTTAGAGGTTTGCAAAACTGGATGATTCAAATAAGAATTATTTATTTATTTATTTTCGGAGATGGAATCTTGCTCTGTCACCCAGGCTGGAGTGCAATGGTGCGATCTTGGCTCACTGCAACCTCTGCCTCCTGGGTTCACGCAATTCTCCTGCCTCAGCCTCCCGAGTAGCTGAGATTACAGGTATGCGCCACCATGCCTGGCTAATTTTTGTATTTTTAGTAGAGATGGGGTTTTGCCATGTTGGCCAGGCTGGTCTCGAACTCCTGACCTCATGATCCACCTGCCTTGGCCTCCTACAGTGCTAAGATTACAGGCATGAGCCACCGTACCAGGCCGTCAGATAAGAATTCTTAGCCCTCTTCAATACTGAGAGGTGTGCAGGCCACAAGTGTAGTCAGTCTTCACAATGATATATCTTTAAAAAATAAACGTAGCTTAAACGCACTTATGTTTTAAATGTTTTGTCTTACTATTTATTCAATTAATACAGAAACACATTTATTACTATATCACAATGGTTTTTATTTATTTTGATAGTTATATGTCCATATAATTGTTTTGCTTTATACTACTATGTGTTTTGTTTTATGGATTTAAAAATGTTATCAGAAAGGGTCTGCCAGATAGTTAAAGGGGTCCAGGGCCCCAAAAAGGTTAGGAGGGGGCCTGTGGTATGGCTGCGCCTCAAGGTGGAAGAAGCTTGGGTCTCACAGAGGAGTGCCTGCCTATTACATGAACATCCATCCAGGACTACTATGTGAGCAGAAATAAACTTCTGTTGTGTTAACTTGGGAGCATATCCTCCCGAATGCAAAGATTGATCCATTGAATTTTTTTTCTTTTTTTTTTTTTGTGGTGATGGTGACTCACTATGTTGCCCATGCTGATTTTGAACTCCTGGCCGCCAGTTATCAGCTTCCCAAAGCGCTGGGATTGCAGGCATGAGCCACTGTGCCCAGCCCCTACTGTTAGTTTTGAGAAGTCCAGTGCCATACTAATTATTAATCTTCTGTATCATTTCCCTGCTTTCTGTAACTCTCACCCTCTCACCAATGTCTTTTCTTTTCTTTTCCTTCCTTTATTTCCCTCCCTCCCTCCCTCCCTCCCTTCCTTCCTTCCTTCCCTCCCTCCCTCCCTCTCTCCCTCTCTCTCTCTCTCTTTCTTTTTCTTTCTTTTGGATTTTTACTTTCTCCCTTTGTTCTGAAATTTCACATGTGCTCTAGAGTAGGTCTTTTCTCCACGAATTATGCCAGGCTCTCTCAGTGGGTCTTTTTAGTCTGGGGACTCATATCTTTCAATCTGGGAAGTTCTGTTATCTCTTAGGCAATATTCTGGTTAGCTATTGCTAACATTGTAGCAAATCACCCCCAACTTAAGTGACTTAAAACTATAACCGTCACTTTATAACCTCTCATGGATGTTGGAAAATCTTTGCTAGGTGGTTCTCTGTCATGAGATCATAGTGAGATGACATCTGGATCTGGAACCGTGGGGACTGGAGCAGCTGGGGTCTTATTGGACATCTCTCTCTTCTCAGGGCATCCTATGTGATCTCTCCACAAGGCCTCTTTTGGGCTTCCTCACAGTATGGCGGCCTTTTTCCATAGTGACAGCCAGCTTCCGTAGTGACTCAGGACTCTAGGGCAATTCTTCCTGCAAGCACGGCAGAAAAAATGTTGCCTTTGATGGCTACCTTCCTATCATACAGTCTCCCTTCTACCGTGCTGGTGAATATACAGTCACAAAAGCCTCTGAGGATTCAAGGGCAAAGGAATTGCAAAACTGGATGATTCAGATAAGAATTCTTAATTCTCCTTAATATTAAGAGGTGTGCAGGCCACAAATGTAGTCAGTCTTCATACTGATATGACTTTAAAAAGTAATGTAGCTTTAACTCACCTATTTTTTTTTTTTTTTTTTGAGACAGAGTTTTGCTCTTATTGCCCAGGCTAGAGAGCAATGGTGTGATCTCGACTCACTGCAACCTCTGCCTCCTGGCTTCAAGCAATTCTCCTGCCTCAGCCTCCTGAGTAGCTGGGATTATAGACATGCTCCACCACGCCCTGCTAAGTTTGTATTTTTAGTAGAGATGGAGTTTCTCCATGTTGGTCAGGCTGGTCTCAAACTCCTGACCTCAGGTGATCTGCCCGCCTCGGCCTCCCAAAGTGCTGGGATTACGGGCGTGAGCCACTGAACCCTGCAACTCACCTATGTTTTAAATGTATTGTCCTACTATCCATTACAACCACCTCTTGATGGGGGCATGGCAAGATTCTAGAAAAGTATGTGGGATAGGGGATATTGTGACAGCCATCTTTGGAAAATACAATTTGCTACAATTTCCTCTTCCTTTCAGTTCTTTCTTTATATTTCTCCTAATAGTCAGTTTTGATCCTCTGGACTAATCCTCTAATTTTCTTATCTATTCTCTGTTATTATCCCTCACTTTATCCTTTTGTTTTACTTTCTAGGAGATTTCATTGACTTCAGCACCAATTCTACTACCGACTTTTACATTTTGACTATCATATAAAATTTGTTCTTTGTTCCTCTTTATTTTTTAAAGTATTGCATTCTTTTTTTATTTCATGAATGTAATATCTTCTGTTATCTTTCTGAAGCTATTCATTGTAATTTCTTTGAATTGTTTTGCTTTCTACAATTGCTACTTTTCTCCATGAGTTCTTTTTCTCTCTCCTTGTTCATTTTTTTCCCTATTATCTTTGAGGTTTTTCTTGAATACTTGATTATTCTTGGGTATTTCTCATTGGAAGTGCATGGGTGGGCTTGTGAGCTGGGGTATCTTGAAAAAGTGGCCAGCCAGCTACTTCTATTGAGATTACCAAATGCCAGTATTTGTTGGTCTTTTCTCTGGGGTCATTTGGTCTCTCCTGAGACGGCTTCTCCCATCTCCTGTGGGGAGCCCAGCTGCTGGTGTCTGGGGCTGAGTGGGGAAGGGTTTGATTTTCCTGTGCCATTTGATGGTCCCATTTTGGAGCTTCCCTGGTTCACTTATTTCATAATTCTGTAACTCCAGAACAAACTCCTGGGCCCCTGAAAGACTGGGGAGGTATGATGGCCTTATTGAGGAAGGAGAAGGTGGGTCCCTAGAGTGGTCTCACTACTCCTCACACAGCAATAATCCCAGCGCAAGACCCTCTGCCTTGCTTTTGCTTTCTGCAATATCTGGTGTCTCCCATTAGTGATTTTTTCCCAGGTTTTCTGTAGCCAATAGGTTTTCCTTTCCTTGATACCACCTGCAGCCACAGGGATTTGACTTTACTCCTCCTTGCTAGCTCATATACCATGTGTCATCTGTTTTCTGTGTCTTATTGTGCTTCAGGGGTTTAGGCATCTTCTAGCTCCACTGAAGATGGAGTCGTATTTCTGTTTTTTTCTTTCTTTGGTACATTGGGTGATATTCAAGAGGAGAAGGGGGCAAAATCTGTAAGAACTTTCTTCTTGAGCCCCAGTGAAGGGGACACCTCAACCAGACCCCTAAGCCTCCTGTGCAGGGTTAGAGTTATCTTCTGAATATCTTATGGGGCTGGTTTAGGTGTCCCCTTATCTGGGGCTCAAGAAGAAAGCCCCCTGTGCATAGAGCACACACTGTTTACCTGACCGTTTTTCTATTAGATTAGGAAAGCCTGCAGAGTACAGACTACTTCTTATCTAACCTTATTTTCCTAGAGCCCAGGAGGGTGTTTGGCACACAGGAAGCCCTCAATACATGTGAATTGATAATGAATGAATAGAAGAAAGCAATTCCAAAAACATGAGCAGTATCAAGAAAAGAAACCTCTGAGAGAAGTTATTTGGTTATTTAGAATTATCTTAAGGCTGGGGCTGAATGGCATAACCCTTAGCAAGTCCCTAAATGTGTCAGCAGAAGCAGTCCAGGCCTTTGCAATTTTAAATTCAGATTGTTAAGTTGGCAGAGGACAGTGCAATGAGGAGAATGGTAGAAGATGAGGTCAGAGGCTCTGTAGTTGGTGACAGTGGATGATGGCTTGGATTAGAAAGGTGGGGATGGAGGTGGTTAGAAGTAGCTAGATTTTGAATATAGTTGGAAAGTAGAGCCAAAGTGATGTGCTGATAAATTGTATTTGGGATGTAGAAAAAAAGGGAAATCAAGGATACCTCCAGAATTTTTGGTCTGAGCAACTGGTTGCAAAGTGCTGCCATTTAAGGAGAAAGGGAAGGACCAAGGTTTCAGAACAAGAGTTCATTCTTAACATGGTAGATGTGGGACATGTGAATGGAGGTGTGGAGAAGGCATGAGACAACAGACAGGAAGACAGAAGCCATGTTTGGGTTGAAGGTATGCATTTGAAAGTCAATAATATAGGGATGGTTTTTAAAACCAGGAGACCAGATAACATCACTGTACTGGGTTGAATAGTGTCTCCTCCAAAATTTATGTCTTATTTGGAAATAGGGTTTTTGCAGGTGTAGTCAAGTTGAGGTCATGCTGGATTGGAATGTGCCCCAATCCAATGACTGTTGTTCTTATAAGAGGAAAGAAATTTAGGCTGGGCATGGTGATTCACACCTGTAATCCCAGCATTTTGGGAGGCCAGGGCGGGAGGATTGCCTGAGCCCAGGAGTTGAAGACCAGCCTGGACAACATAGCAATACTCTGCCTCTACAAAATTTTTAAAAAATAAATTAGTCAGACCTGCTTGCATATCGCTGTAGTCCCAGCTACTCAAGAGGCTGATGGGGGAGGATCATTTGAGCTCAGGATTTTGAGGTTACAGTGAGCTATGACTGTGTCACTGCACTCCAGCCTGGATTACAGAAAAGAGAAGGAGATGGAGAAAGAGAAGGAGGAGAAGGAGTAGGAGGAGGAGAAGAAGAAGGAGGAGAAGAAGAAGAAAAAGGAGAAAGAATTTGGACACAGACACACACAGAAGGAAGATGTAAAAATAGAGGCAAAGGTTGGAGTTACGCTACCACAGACATAAGTGCGAACGATTACCAGCAACCACCAGCAGCTAGAAGAGCTAACAGGAAATTCTTCCCTAGGGCCTTTGGAGGGAGTATGTTGACTTGATTTCAGACTTCTGGCCTCTGGAACTGTGAGAGAATATATTTCTGTTATTTTAAGCCACTCAATGTGGTACTTCATTACAGTAGTCCTAGGAAACTGCTATAGTCACCAAGCCCATGGTATAGATGGTGGGGAGATGAGTGCCAAGGATGCAGCCCTCGTAAACTCCATCCTTTAGAGGTCAGGAAGAAGAGGCAGGTCCTGCAAAAGAGACAGAAAAGGCACAGCCAAGGAGGTAGAAAGAAAACCAAGAGAGTCAGATGCTCTGGAGCCAACATGGACAAAGTATTTCGAGAAGAAAAAAAGCTTAAGGCACTTCAGGTGAGTTGGTTACAATGAGGACTGAGAACTGGTCCTTGGACTTGGCCATGTGGAGGTCACTGGTGACTTTAACTAGCCCAGTTTCAGTGGAATGATTGACATGCATTAGAGAATGGGAGGTGAGGAGGTGCGAAGAGGAAGTAGACAATAACTACTATTGTCCTTGATTTTATAGTTGGCAAAGAGCAAAAATGACTTTTCTGGTATAGCAACTTTGTAAAACAGCCATTACTATTTACAGAAAGATAAACTGAGGCTCAGAAGCATTAAAAGATCTGTCCAAGGCCCCTGGCAGACAGGAACTATAGAAACCTAGATCTTCAGAAACAAAAGTCCATGCTTTTTCCATGTTTCCAAATGGCAGTTGGGATCTGATGAATAAACCTTGGAGAGGGTCGGCACAAAACTTGTTCTTGCCTGCACTCAGATAGCATCAGGGCCTTCCTAGGAAACAACTCCATTTAAAGAAGTATTTCCTCAGCCCTTCCCCTGGGCCAGTCACTCACCCCACCTTGCCCAGTGGGTAAAGGTGCCTCCCTCCTCCTCCCAGGTGAGGGGAGTGAGGGGGTGCACAGGGATGGGGAACCACATGCTAAGTGGCTAGCAAGTCACCTTCTTCTTCTCCATTCTATATCCTCAAGTAGGGGTTGAAAATTCAAATGTCTACTGGGGCTGGGCAGGTAATATACATGAATAAAATGGGCCTGGGATGGGTCAGTGGGAAATGAGTGAGTCTGTGGGTGAACTGGGCATGAAGGTCCCACCTAGGCTGGGTGTGGTGGCTCACATCTCTAATCCCAGCACCTTAAGAGGCTGAGGCAGCCTCCTGTCAACAGAGTGAGATCCTGTCTCTGCAAAAAAATTTAAAAAGAAAAAAAAATAGCCAGGTGTGGTGGTGTGTGCCTGTAGTCCCAGCTACTCAGGAGGCTAAGACAGGAAGATTCCTTAAATCCAGGAGTTGAAAATGCAGTGAGCTATGATTGCACCACTGTACCCTAGCCTAGGTGATAGAGCGAGACCCTGTGTCTAAAAAAAAAAAAAAGGAAAACAAGGCAAGTCCCCACCTAAAGGTGTCAAATTCATGTTTTAAAAACTGGATGTGACACCAAATGCTGGCAAAGGTGTGGAACAACATGAACTCACATCCATTGCTGGTAGGAATACAAAATGGTATAGCCACTTTGGAAGAGCTTGGTAGTTTCTTACAGCACTAAACATGCTCTTACCATACCATCCAGTAATCATGCTTCTTGGTATTAATATAAATGAGTTGAAAACCGATGTCCACACAAAAACCTGCACTCAGATGTTTATAGCAGCTTTATTCATAATTGCCAAAACTTGGAAGCAACCAAGATGTTCTTCAGTAGGCAAATGGATAAACTGTGATGCATCCAGACAATGGAATATTATTCAGTGCTAAAAATAATTGAACTATTGAGCCACGAAGAGCCACGGAGGAAACTTGAAGGCATATTACCAAGTGAAAGAAGCCAGTCTGGAAAAGCTAGATACTGTATGATTCCAACTATATGACATTCTGGAAAAGGCAAAGACATGGAGACAATAAAAAGATCAGTGGTTGCCAGGGATTGGGGTGGAGGGATGAATAGACAGAGTACAGAGGATTTTTAGGGCAGTGAAGCTACTCTATATGATACTATAATGGTGGGTAACATGGCATTATACATTTGTCCAAACCCGTAAAATATTCACCACCAAGAATGAACCCTAACGTAAACTATGGGCTCTGGGTGATAATGACGTGTCACGTAGGTTAGCTGATTGCAACAAATGTGCCACTCCAGTGCAGGATGTTGACAGTGGGGAGGCTGTGTGTATGTGGGGAAGGGGGTAAATGGGAACTCACTGTACTTTCTGCTCAGTTTTGCTGTGAACCTAAAGCTGCTCGAAAAAATAAAGTCCGTTAAAAAAATACCCCAAACCCCAAAAATCTGTGTGTCTGCCAACGAACGTGACCATGATTAAATTTGGTCCTGGCCAGTGTGTGAACTCAGATGCCTTGAGCAACCCCATCAGACCTCCTTTCCAAGGAGATGGGGCTCATTCTGTTACCTTCAGGATGCCCTGACCTGGCATAGATGGGCCCCTGGAGCCTGCCCACATAGCTGAGGTCTAAAAAAGAGCAGGCCCGAGGGCAGAGGAGACACTGTCACCCTACAGCCCTGTCCAGATGTCCACCCTACCCAAGATCTCCACCTGGCTCCTCTTGGCACGTCTTGCCATCAGCCCCTACTGCCATTGTGTCACTGTCATCTACTTGCCTCTCCAGAAGCCCTTTTTTGGCTACCTCAGGAGGGTGATCTGTGTGGGCTGCACCAGTGGCCTCTCTGCACTCTGGCTGAAGACGTAAGAGTGGAGGAGAGTGAGTGAGGGAAGGGGGCTTGGTGCTCTCATTCCTTCCCCACAGGGTTGATTCGGGCGCCACCAAAGATCACAGCTCTCTCAAGGTGGACTTCTGTACCTCCTTCTGGTTCCTTCTCCACACCCTGAAGATAAAGGGGTTGGCTCCAGTTCTCTGCTTTTATAGCCCTGGACACCACAGTATCCTTTGGAGTTTCCCCACACCTGTCCACACCTTTGTAAATAGTCCCTTTTAATAGCATTCCCCCCAAAAATTCATGTCCACCCAGAACCTCAGAATGATACCTTATTTAGAAAGAGCATCTTTGCAGATGTAATTAGTTAAGATGAGGTCATATTGACTTAGGGTGGGCCCTAAATCCAATGACTGTGTCATTAGAAGAGGCTACCTGAAGACACAGGGCCATATGACAATGGAGGCAGAGGTTGGAGTGATGCAGCTACAAGCCAAGGAAGGGCAAGGGTTGTTGGCAGCCACCAGGTGCAAGGAGAGAGGTGTAGGATGGTTTCAGAAGGAACCGACCCTGCTGACACCTTGGTTGTGGATTGCTGGCTTCCTGAAGTCAGAGAGGAATAAATTGCTGTTGTTTTAAGACACATGGTTTGTGGTGATTTGTTACAGCAGCTCCAGGAAACGAATACGCCCTTTATCAAGCTTTCTTCCAGTTCTCCAAACTTGAGTGTGGACACGCCATGTGTTTCCTGTGGGGACCCTGACTGCTATAATTTTCAAGCTTCTCTCAGCTCCCAGGGCTTTCAATTACTCCCCCGTAAGCCCCAAATCCCTGATGCTGATGACCCTCCCTCCTCTGGTCCACACTGCCTTTCCAGCCCTCACACTGCCTGGTTCCCACAAACATGAACCAATGGCCTTAGCCCTGGTTTCTGGTCCTGCTTTGCATTTTTCCCAATAACCTTCGTCTGGTCTCTCCACCCAAATCTCCCTTCCTAAGCTGACCTCTATCTACCCTTTCTCCTCCATCAGGAAGCTTCTGGACTTTCCAGACTGCAGGGAAGGCCCTTGTTAGCACTTGGTGTCAACACACTCCAGCCACCATGTGGGGAGGCGCCCTGGTGGTATTCACACTGGTGTTGGGCTTGTGCTTCTCCCCACCTAGAATGCAAGCCCTGTGAGGACAGGGAGGGTGCCATATTCTTTATTTCAGGTCTCACCATGCTGGGCACACAGGAATGAGTATAAAGAAACAGGTTGACATATTTCTGGAACTCATGCTCTTGGTAGACCACCAGGGAAGAAAGAAGCAAGACCTTCTAGGCTCCTGGGAGAACCTGGAGTCCTCAACTCTGTGACTCAACACAGGGGCCCATGGGGCTTATTAGCACCCACCCATCTGTGACATCATAGGAGGGACAGGAGCCCTAGGCAATATGTATTAAGTAGACTTTCATGAACTCAACGAGATACTGCAAGAGGTGGGAAAAGTGTCCTCTCTCTTTCCAGCTACATCTGTCCTCTCTTCCCTCCCCTTACATGTCAGTTCCCAGCACAGACTGTGTAGAAGAGTGAGTCTAACTAGCTCTCCTACTTGAGGTGTGTGCTGGAAAAAAAGGATGTTGGAGAGCTCTGTTCTCCAGCCTGAGGAAATCAGACGTCTCCTTGCTCTTCAACCTCCCCTGCCTTCCCTGTGGACTCCTCTGGCTCCCTGATATTCCTAGCCATCATCTGCTCTTCTCTATGTCTCAGTTTCCCCACTTCTCTTCTCTTTTTATTTTCTTTTTTAAATTTTTATTTATTTATTTCTTGAGACAGAGTCTCACTCTGTTGCCCAGGCTGGAGTGCAATGGTGTGATCTCGGCTCACTGCAACCTCCACCTCCTGGGTTCAAGCAATTCTCCTGCCTCAACCTCCTGAGTAGTTGGGATGACAGGCATGTGCCACCACACCCAGCTAATTTTTGTAATTTTAGTAGAGATGGGGTTTCACCATGTTGGTCAGGCTGGTCTCGAACTCCTGACCTCAGGTGATCTGCCCACCTGGGCCTCCCAAAGTGCTGGGATTATAGGTGTGAGCCACCACGCCCGGCCTCTTTTTATTTTATTTTATTTATTTATTTTGAAACGGAGTCTTGCTCTGTCACCAGGCTGGAGTGCAGTGGCAGGATCTCGGCTCACTGCAACCTCTGCCTTCTGGGTTCAAGTGATTCTCCTGCCTCAGCCTCTTGAGTAGCTGGGACAATTTACGTGAGCCACCATGCCCAGCTAATTTTTGTATTTTTTGTAGAGGCGGGGTTTCACCATGTTGGCCAGGATGGTCTTGATCTCTTGACCTCGTGATCTGCCTGCCTTGGCCTCTCAAAGTGCTGGGATTATAGGCATGAGCCACTGCGCCCGGCCTCTTCTCTTTTTAGATAAAATAATGAGATGCTACGTCATAGGATCTGTCTCTGAGTCCACATTGTGGGAGAAAAGACCATTCTTCGGAAAGATGCAGAGTGAGTGAGTGTGATATTGAGGTGGGAAGTGCTTCCCCTGCATCTCTTGTTTCTCTTCTTCTGAGTCCCTTGTCATCTGATCTGAATTTTCTCCCTTTTTAGGGAAGCCCCGTACCTCAAGGGATTGAGATGGGAGACTGAGGGAATCCTGGGGTCTCTGCCCTCTCCCTCACTGGGAAACAAGCTCTGTTTCTTCATGTGCTGGAGCCCTGCCTCTGTGGGTGCAGCCTGAGGACAAAGGCAGTGCTGCATCCCCTGATCCCCTGCCCCCTACAACCTCCTGCCCAGCCTCTTGGGTGCTCCTCAGCTTGTCGTCAGGGAGGAAGCAGCCATCTCCTCCGATGACTGACTTCAAGCCTCAACTCTCCCACAGCTTCTCAAAAGCCAAGGCTGAGGCCAAGTCCTAGCTGCTGCCTTGGGACAGGTCAAGGGCCTCCTGCAATCTCATGCACAAACTGGTACCCATGAGCATGTGGCCTAAGAGATTTATTGACCCCTCTCCAAGTCCTTGCCAGAGGAATCCTGCACACCTATATCCACAATGAAGGGAGCCATATCCCCAGCTGGGTAGCCATATCCCTAATGATATCACTTATGAAAGGTGACAAGTCCTTTCTACCACTCTTATTTAAGTGAAAATATATTTAGTCAATTATGGTCTTTCTCTTGTGTCTACTGAAAGCATGGTAAGAGTCTGTTTTAACTGAGAATATTTTTTATCTCCTCATTCTACTCCCAAATGAGTTTTTCAGGGTCCCGTGGTCTTGATGGTCTTTCAACTATAGCTGCCTATAAACCCTGTACATAGGGGACACTATGACCCTTGGATCTTTTTCTATAATGTCCATGTTCCAGTGAGCCATAGAGCCAGATCCACTTGAATTCAATTTCCAAAAACAAACCTGCTGGGATTTTGATTGGAATTGTATTGAATCTATGCATTCGTTTTGAGAACTGACATCATTATAATATGAGCCTTCCCATTTGTGAACATGGTATAACCCTACATTTATTTAGGTCTTTAAGTTCCCTCAATAATGCTTTGTAGTTCAGTGTAGAGGTCTTGCACATTTTTCATTTGATTTATTCCTAGGCATTTGATGGGCTTTGCTGCTATTGTAAATTGTATTTTTAGAAGGGATTTTCATAAGCACTAGTGATTGGTAGTGTAGGAAGGAGAACCCCAGCAATACCTGCCCTTCATCTTTAAAGAAATCCAAGCTTATGGAGATATAATTCATATTCCATACAATTCACCCATTTAAAGTATACACTTCAATGGTTTTTAGAATATTTGTAGGTATGTGTAACCATCACCACTGTCAATTTTAAAACATTTTCATCACCTTAAAAAGTAACCTCATGCCCTTTAGCTATTACCCACCTATTGCATCTGTTACAGTCTGAATACGTCTCCCCTCTAAATTCATATGTTGAAATCCTAACCCTCAAGGTGATGGCATTAGGAGGTGGGGCCTTTTAGGAGGCGATTAGGTCATGATAGCAGAGTTCTTGTGAATGGGATTAGTGCCCTTATAAAAAAGGCCCAGAGAGTTACTTTACCTCTTCTAGCAAGTGAGGACACAGTGAGAAGTCTCCACCTGGAGAAAGTGGGCCCTCACCAGACACCAAATCTGCTGCTGCCTTCATGCTGGACTTCCCAGCCTCCAGAACTATGAGAAATAAATTCCTGCTGCCTATAAGCCACCCAGTCTATGGTATTTTGTTACAGCAGCCCAAATGAACTAAGACAGCATTTAAAAAGAATAATTTCATTTTCTAATTTTTGTTGCTGTTATAGATAAATATAATTTATCTTAATGCATCAATCTTGTATTAAAAAAACTTGTATTTAGGCTGGGCACAGTGGCTCATGTCTGCAATCCCAGCACTTTGGGAGGCCGAGGTGGGCAGATCATCTGAGGTCAGGAGTTCAAGGCCAGCCTGGCCAACAAGGTGAAACCCCATCTCTACAAAAATACAAAAATTAGCCAGGCATGATGATGGATGCATGTAATCCCAGCTACTCAGGAGACTGAGGTGGGAGAATTGCTTGAACCCAGGAGGCGGAGGTTGAAATGAGCTGAGATCACGCCATTGCACTCCAGCCTGGGCAACAGAGCAAGACTCTGTCTCAAAAAAAAAAGCAAACAAACAAAAACAACAATAACAACAACAAAAATCTTATTATTTAGTGACTTGGCTAAATTCACCATTAATTCCAGTAGTTTGCAGATTATTTTGAATTTTCTATTTATATAATCATATCATCTATGAATAATATTTCTCCTTTCCCTCTACCAATCCTTAAATCTTTTATTTCATTTTCTTGTCTTATTGTCCGGGCTAGGATATCTAATACAATGTTAAATAGAAGTGTTGATACTGGATATTGTATCTTCTCCTGATAGAAAGGAGGAAACTTTCACTATTTCATCATTAAGCATAATTATTGCTGTAGGAGTTTGTAGATAGTCTTTATCAGATTGAGGAAGTTCCCTCTAAGTGTACTATGTTTATCATGAATGGCCTACTAAGTTCAAATCCTGAATCTGACACTTATTAGTCATTCTACTTTAGGGAAGTCACTTGCCTTCTCTGAACTTCAGTTTCTCCATCTTAAACTGCAGATTTCTATCTTAAAAGTTCTTGTGAAACTGAGGACATTTATAAGGGACACCCAACCCATAGTAGGTGCTCAGTTAAATGCCTGGCATTACATTGTTTTATTTATCATCCTTCTCCCCCAGTATATATGCCCCATGAGGGTTCGCTTTGCCTCTGTTGTTCATTACTGTATCCCTAGTATTTAGAACAGTGCCTGACAAATAGAATTTGCTTCTGGAAAAAAATGTGATTAACCAATGTAAATTTCCTTTTTTCTGGAATGCTATGTCTATTAGGCATGATTTTAGAACCAAGAATTATACTTACCCCTAGACAATCACATTGTTCTATTGAACACTTCCAAAGTTCGGTGCTGACTTTCCTTTTTGACTATTAACATGTGTCATATTTTCCGCTTCTAGATCATTTAATCCAGATTTGCAATCCCTTCTCCCCTAACTTTCTGTACACCAAGAACAGAGCTCAAGGGTAGAGTCTCAGCACTCCCAGCTGCACTGCATGACAGTAGACAAGTCCCTTCCCCTTCTGAGCCTCTGGGAGAGGGTCAGATGCCTCCAACTTAGGGGTTTCCTCCAATTGTGGTTCCAAGGCACACGCGATGCTGTGGCCTTGTAAATCTCCTGAGAATCTGCCTTGCTTTTTCCAAGTATCTCTTGAGAACAGGAAATAAACCACCCCCCACAAATTCTGAAATCAGGGAGGTGAATGAGGAGCTTGCAGCCTGAGGGATGAAGACTAGAACAGGGACTCCTCTGGTCACTTCCAATGCTACCTACCCTCAGTTCACATCAGAAATTCCAGAGCACATCTTTCTCCCCTCCTGGGGAATGTTCTCCCTTTGCCACCGAATCCCTTCTGTCCTCCACATCAAGGGTTCTTAACCTTGGCATCACTGGCATTTTGGGCTGGAAAATTTCTTTGTTGTGGAAGCTGCTCTGTGCATTATAGGATACACACTCACCCCAACTCATACTCACCATCCTCTTGTCTGAACTCTGAGCAGCCCAAACCAGACTTACCACCATACCAGGTGGAAATAGTGGCTAACATTTATGGGCACTACTCTCATGAGAAGGTTCCGTCTGTGAGAAAGTGGGTCCTCACCAGACACCAAATCTTCTGGTGTCTTGATGCTGGACTTTCCAGGCTCTAGAACTGTAAGAAATAAATTTCTGCTGCCTACAAGCCATCCAGTCTATGGTATTTTGTTACAGCAACCCAAATGAACTAATACAGCATTTAAAAGGAACAATTTCATTTTCCATTTTTTGTTGCTGTTATAGAGAAATATATTTATCTGGTGTAATCCTCACAACATCCCCGTGAGTAAATATTAGCATTTTCCTCTCCATACTCCAGATAAGGATACTGAGGCTCAGAGATGTGAAGTCACTTGTCCAAGATTACATAGATAGTAAGTGGTGGAGCTGGGATTTGGCCCCAGCTGTCAGGTTCACCTGACAGAGGCATAAACCACTACTCATTCTATTCCATTAGATATCTCCTCCGTGATTTCCTGGGTGTCTATCTGCCTCCCAAACTTGATTGCAAATCTTTGAAGGCAGGGGCTAAAATATATTCACAGATACTTTACAGTGTTGAACACAGGGGAAGAGGGCCAAACATGATTCATTGATTGATTTCCTGCTACTGTAGAGTTTGCAGCATTAGAATATGTGAGCGTATGAATGAGATTGAGGACTAGGGAGAAGAAATTTCCAATTTCAGGCTTTAATAATTATAAATTCACAAAATGCACTTAATATAGGTACCCATCTCAATGAATTTGCATAATCTGAACACACTTGTGTAACTACATCAAGAATCAGAAGACCACCATTGGCCCAGAAACCTCCTTCATAATCCCTTTTAGCCATGCCTTCTCTAAGTAACCATGATTCTGCTTTCTAATAGCATACATAGATTTATTTTGCCTGTTTTTGTACTTTAAATAAATGGAACCACAGAGAATGTACTTTCGGGTCTGATTTCTTTTTCTTTTCCTTCTTCTTTTCTCTTCTTTCTTTCTTTTTCTTAAAGACAAGGTCTCACTCTGTTGCTCAGGCTGGAATGCAGTGGGTGCCATGACAGTTCACTGCAGCCTCGACCTCCTGGGCTCAAGTGATCCTCCCATCTCAGCCTCCCCAGTGGCTGGGACTACAGATGCTCTAATTTTTGTACTTTTGTAGAGACAGGTCTTGAATTCCTGGGCTCAAGCGATCTGCCCGCCTCTGCCTCCCAAAGTGCTGGGATTATAGTTGTGAGCCATTGAGCCAGGCCAGGTCCAGTTTCTTTTGCTCAGCATGAGAGTCATCTATGTGGTTACATGTAGCATAGCTCATTCTTTCTCTTTTCTATATAGTATTCCAGTGTGTAACTATATCACAGCTAATTTCATAGCTAATGGACATTTGGTAGTTTGCAGTTTGGGGCTATTGTGAAGAGTACTGTGTAAACATTTTTTTGTACATGTCCTTTGGTGAGCATAGGACAGCATTTCTGTTGGGACAATGCCTGCCAGTGGAACTGCTGGGTCATAGGGTATGCATGCTTCAGTTTTAGTAGACACCACCAAAGTTTCTCAGTTTTTATATTTGGAGGCTTTTAAAGCCAACATTGATTTCTACCCCTCCTCAGGCTGCTTTCCTGAAGAGCAGTGGTATGGCCTCTCTGGAATCTTCCAGATGACCACATCTGGCAAGAACCTTCTTTACAGAAAAAATGATGTGAGATTAAAGGGAACGCATATATCTCAAGTCCAAGGCTTTCATTATGCACAAGGAGAAACAGAGGCTCAGAGACAAGAGCTGACTGGTCCAAGGTGGTGTGGTTCTACCTGGCCTAGAAGCCAAGCTTCTGGACTCCGGATCTTCATAATGCTTTTTTGAGTACCTGAAGAGAGATACTCATTGCAAAGACGATGGGGTGGAACTAGAGGCTGGTCGGACCCACCAGGATTGTAAGTGAAATATGAGGGTCCGGGGTGGGGGAGGTGGGGCTGGTGGCTGTCTTGTTCCCTATATTTTCCTTGAGTCTGGGCTAAAGCCAAGAAAAACACAAGCCTGGCTCCGCCTCCCACTAGGGGAAGTCAAAGTGAGGGGCTTTAAAATTAAAGTCTGGAAAATCTTCCACCTCACATCCTTCCTCCAGTCCAGGGAGAGGAGGGGGTGGTCTGTTGGCAGTAGGGACAGGGGTTCCAGGGTCTGGAAACAAGATGGGCTCTCCACTCAAGGGGCTCACAATCTTTGGTAAAACCAGACAGGCCTTGGGCGTAGAGAAAAACCCCATTTATTGCGTTCTGAAATTCCATCCGCCAGGAGCCTGGCGCGAGCCTTAAGCCAACCTCCAGCGGAAGAAGTTAATCCCGAGCCACTCCCAGCTCCAGCCTCGGTCCTTACCTAGTACCCCAGACCCAACCCTATTCTGTAGCCCTCAGATTTCCGCAGCCTGGCCTCCGCCTCGGCGTCCACGTTCGCCTTGTCTGAAAGTCGCGTTCCATTTTCAAAGAAGCGGTTTAAGCCGACCAGGTCCCAAGGGGATAAAAGACATCTCACCACTCTGCCCCAACTTCCCTCATCTCACACCCCCTCCCCAGGCCTGGAGGCCCTCGCCAGGTAAATGAGACCTAGGAGCGAGATAAAAGAGGGGTTGCATTTCTTTGCAAACTCTTCTGGCTTCCCCCCCGACCTCCCCCTCGTCGCTCCCCAACCAGCTGCCTTCCCGCCCCGGCTCCCGCTCCGGGCTGGGGCGCCAACTAAATCTGATCAAAATGCAATTGCCAAGTCGTTAAGGTATTTGAATTAAAAAAAAAAAAAACTCCCGAGAAAGAAAGTATTTGATGGCTAATAATCTCATTTCAATATAATGGGACCTTCTTCTGCAGAGAGCAAGACAGGTTAAGAGATATAATTATGACTTTGCAAACTCTCTCCCAAGCGCGTGAGACGCGCTGACAGGTCTGCGCGCGGCTGCGCCTGGCTCCGCTCGCTCCAAGGGGAGACGCTTTGTCTGCAGGGCCCGTTAAAGAGACATGGTCCCTTTTCCCCCCCTCGGCCTACACTGCAATTTAACTGTCAGCCGCATTCTCGCTCCGGGATCAGTGTCTGAGTCCCACGCGAGAGTGGGGGTTGGGGTGAAAGAGGGGGACCGGACTTGGAGGAGGGGGATAGGAGGACAGCGAGGGGCTGACCTGTCAAACACTGTCCATGGAACCCGGAGCTGGGCTTTCAAATCTGTTCCCTCGGGAACTCCTTGAGGTCCCGTCTACACAGCAGGGTCTAGGAGGGGCAGTGATGAGGAGCGAGGGGTTGGGAGTAGGGGAACGACTCAGGCAGCGCAGATTTATCACCGTCTCCAAAGTGGCGCTTTTTGAAGGACCCAAGAGGAAAGGATTCCTTCCTGCCATAATTGCTGGGTTTCAGCTGGCAAAAAGGAACCGATTTAGGAAGCTGGGAAGAGATGGTGGCGGTGGTGTTCATGTCTACTTTTTTTCTACTTTTAAAGAAAACTTCTTTAAAAAGAAAACTACAATGGGGGAAAAAATCCCCATATGACGCCCGGGTAGGGAATCTTTGAGGAAAGTGGAATTCTCCCGAGCTTACATCTTGCCCCTTCACGAAAGTGCGAGAAGGGAATCTCTAATGCGGTGTATACGTGTGTGCAGCGGGAGGAGTGGAGGCCAGCGAGCGGCCCCGTACTGAGCTGGTATTGATTGCAGCTCGGGTGGACAGACTGCGGGAAAGTCAGGGCCTGGAGCTCCAGAGGTGTTGGAGCCCCGGCAGCAGAAGAGCTGCGCAGTGCCGCCGCGCAGAGGGACCCGGAGAGCGGGCTGGGAAGTCTAGGCGAGTGCGCACGGGTGTGAGCATCGCTCCAGGGAGAGCGCTCGGCTCCCAATCCCGCGAAGTAATTGGGAGCTGGAAAGCTCAGGCAGGGACGCAGGGAGACTGCACTTAAGCCGTCAGACACGCTTATCCCGCGAAAAAGAGCTGGGAATAAAGAGGACAGGAAGCCCGCGTGGTCCGCGTCTTCGCCTGCCCCCGACTCTCTCGAAGCCAATCGGAGCTTTACGCCTGGCACATCCTACCGCCTTCGGTGCGGCCCAGCGTTGCGATGCAGGAATTCGGAGGAAGCGGGTGCGCCGCCGCTCCTCCCAACACTCTGGGCACCGAGGCTCGAGCACCCTCATCCCCAGTGGTGGCCTGGAGGACGCTGGCCACGTGTCCTAGAAGAGGGGTGAGGCCATGGAAAGTCCCGAGGCCCCTGCAACTGGCTAGGCGCCCCCTACCACCCCTCCCCCAGCCACACGGCGTAGCTACCCCATCTCCAGTGGTGAGGCCCTCTTGCCGAGGTCCCAGGATTTCTTCGCTCTGCGCCCGGGACTGTTTCTGACTCCTTCCCGCTTTGCGCACGCACGTGCAGCCACCGCGACTCTCTCGAGTCATTCGCGCAGCCGTACAAACGAGGGTGGCGCTGTCGCGTCCTGCGTGGACTGCGCGCAGGGCTGCGTTTTCTCGAAGTGAAGTTTGGACGCGAATGGGGTCAACTGCATCCGCCGGTCGGCTCACTCTGCTGGTCCCGGACGCAGGCTTCTCTGCCGCGGAAGATCCAGGGAAAACTAGCTCCCGCACCAGGAGCGAGGCTCGCCTGGTCTGTCCAGGTGGACACCCCCACTCAGCATAAGCTACCCCTTCACCCTCTGTGGGCCCACGGTGGCCACACCGTGCCGGATCAGGTCAGGCCTTCCGCAGTGGCGCCCGTAGTTGTCCCGGCCGCACCCTGCAGGGTGAGCAGGGGTCCTATCTGGAAGCAGCCCCCCACGCCCGATCCACTAGAGGATAGTTCGCTAAGGCAGGTTTCTGTCGTTCCCAGTGCATTTTTTTTTTCTTGGTGTTGAGTGATCCCAGCGCGCGGTCGCCGCAGGGAAGCGTTGCTCGCAGGAGCCCGGTGGCCTCGAGGGCGCAGGAGGGCTGGGGATCCCAGGGTGGCGGTTCGGGATGGGGCCGAGACCGCTGGGGGGAGGGGGCAGGAAGGGCGCCGAGGACCGCTGGCGGAGGTCCCGGCCCGGTGGGGGGCGCTGGGGATGGCGGGCGCAGGCCCAGCGCGCCGACTGCGGGGTCAGGGGCGAAGGGGCAGGCGGAGGGCAGCGCGCGGGGAGCCGGCGCGGCGGCTCGGGTTACCGCGGCCCGACCCTGCCACCCGCAGCTCCGGCGCGGGGGCTGGGGCGGACTCCGGCCGTACCCCGCTGTTTGCATTTCTCTGGCAGGCGGCGGAGCTTGGGTTGAAAGGAATCGCCTTCATTTGGAACGTTGTTTATTTTTCTTAACTAGCCAGCGCCGACGGACGACCCCGCGAGCACGGAGGCCGGACCCGGCCGATCCAGCGCTAGAAAGGGGTCAGGACTGGGGGCGGCCAGGCGAGGTGGTGCTGCGAGCGCCCGCACTGGGAATGTGCCCCGGTGCCCCAGCGGCCGGGATGGGGGAAGGGTCGTGGCGGGCCCAAGGACTTTCTACCACGTAGGAAAACAGACTTTCTCCTGCCAGAGTTATCATACCTTAGCTTTGACCTTGCCTGAGCCGGGGCAGCGAAGCGGTTAAGCTCTTTGGGTTTGGTGTTTGGTCGCCTTGGGTTTCAGTTTCTCCTCCTCGGTTTTTAGCTCCACGACCTTGGTCAAGTCACCTTTGTGACTCAGTTTCCTCGACTCTCAAATGGGTATAGTATAGTGCTTTGCTCCTTGAGTTGCTGTCAGGATTAGATGAGACAATGCACCCTAGCGCAGGAGATGGAACTTGCCAAGTGCTTAGGAGACGTCAATTCATTTTGTGGGGGCTGTGGCGCAGGGTAGGTGGGGTGGGGGTAGCCAGCAAGCGTGGGGCCCACAGAGAAGGGGCTTGAGCTGGAAACCCATGACTCCCAAGCTCTGGGGAAGGTGCGGGCTGGGGAGAGTTCTGAGCGTTTTGACATGAAATGAATAAAATGCAAATGATATTCAAAGCAAGATGCTAATGAGGATCTATTCTTTGAGCGTCCACAGCCCCGGCAGTGCCCATAATAGTGGCGGGGCTGGTGTGAACTCGAGGATGGGCAGGGCCCTGCAGTGTCTCGAGTGTGTGTGTGTGTGTGTGTGCGTGTCAGCGCGCGCCTCCTCCGGAATGTGCGTAGCCGGCTCCGGGTGTGCTCGCGCCGACATGAAAATGAGGTCAGGGAAGGTCGTTCCACTCTGCAGCATAAATCAAGGAGGAGAGGAGAATGGATGTGAGAGACAGTCCCCGGAGACCGCCCCGAGAGAGGCAGAGCGAGGGAAGAAGGAGGAGAGAAAAGTTCTGCGTAGAATAGGCGAGAAGCGGGCCCAGGCGCTCTCCCTCCCCGAGCTTCCCGCCCCGATGGCTGAGCCGCGGCAACACCGCGTCCTTAAGCCCCATCCTCCTCCCCCATCTCCTAAACCTTTAACTCTTTTTTCTTTCTTTGCCCCCAAACTTAAATGTTCCTCCTCTAAGCGCTCTTTGTGTGAACAGTGAAGCTCCTGCCCCCAGCCTCCCCGGGAACGTGTAAGTGCCCACGCGCACACACCAGTCGCACGCGCAATCGCACACTTGTTACACGACTGCTCAAGCCGGGGCTCGCGGGGGAGTCCTGCGGGGATCAGAATAAAATGTTCCAGAGAGGGCTGCTTTCCGCCGTCCCCCTGCCCGGCTACTGCGGCCCGGGTGCGTGCTTTCTCCACGCAGTCCGCGTCTGTGGCCTCCCCAACACTCTGCTACCGTCGTCCCCCGGGCTCTTCCTGCTCTTCGCCCTCCGCCGGCCGCCCAAGGAACACGCAGCTCCAAGCCAGTACTTCCCTGTGCGCTGTCCTGAGACTCCTCTGGGGATATCGGGAGGTTCCGGCTGCCCTAGGCCGGAACACAGGCACAAGTCCGGGGCGATCGCTCTCTGGGGAAGCAGGGCCAGCGTCCCAGAGCCCAGGGTGAGAGAGGGAGAGGGATGTCGGTCTAACTACCCAGCATCTTCAAGACACCAGGACACTAGGACCAGAGGGAAGGATGCAGGGAGCAGGGCTGGGGAAGAGGAAGCAGTGCATAGAGGAGGCTGTCCCGTCTCTCTCTCTCTTTCTCTCTCTCTCTCTCTCTCTCTCTGTGTGTGTATGTGTGTGTGTGTGGGGGGGGGGTGGGGGTTCCTACTGCCACTCCAAGAATGGGGAGAAAGCAATGAAGAGATGAGCTGCGCCTACGGTCTGTGCTCTGGGCCCAGATCAGACTTACCTGCTGCCGTATTCTCTTCACCACAATGAATAGCAGCAACAAGATGATGCTGAATGCCACACAGTAGGCACAAAATAAGCGCACAATACATATTGAATTAAATTTACCAACAGCTGTCACTATCACGATCCTTCCTGAGTCTCCACAGCTTGTAGATTAATTAAGTCATTCACTCATTCCACAAATACTTAGCAAGTACCTATTAAATGACTGAGCAACAGGAAGACAAGATCCCATCCCTCAGGGCGCTTATACATTCCTGGGTCAGAAAGACAGGAAACAGATAAACACAGTCACACAACATGGTATCAGGCAGGACAGCCCTTTGTGC
Source organism: Homo sapiens (assembly GCF_000001405.40). Classification (NCBI taxonomy): domain Eukaryota; kingdom Metazoa; phylum Chordata; class Mammalia; order Primates; family Hominidae; genus Homo; species Homo sapiens. The sequence continues at coordinate 41,370,834 of NC_000006.12, read as the reverse complement.
TGTGAAGGAAAGATGAAGTGGGCCAGAGAGGAACTTGGGGAGGAGACAGAGACCCAGAAGAGAATGAGCCATGCAGACTTCTGAAAGGGCAGGGTCCCCGCGGAGGGAACTGCAAATGCAGTGGCCTAAGATGTGGAAAGTGCCTGGAATGGAGCTCAAAAAGGAGGAGAGAGGGTGGAGGTGAAAGGGAGGGTCAATGGAAAGTCAGGAGGGTCAGATTCTGTAGCGTTTTGTAGGCCATGATGAGGGAGAGAGTGTCTTGAATTATATACTAGGTGTGATGGGAAGCCAGTGGATTTTTTTTTTTTTTTTTAGATGGAGTCTCACTGTCTCCCAGGCTGGAGTGCAGTGGGGCAGTCTCGGCTTGCTGCAGCCTCCACCTCCTGGGTTCAAGTGATTATCCTGCCTCAGCCTTCCCAAGTAGTTGGGATTACAGGCACCCGCCACCAGGCCCGGCATTTTTTTAACAAAAATTTTTTTCAGTAGAGACGGATTTCACCATCTTGGCCAAGCTGGTCTCAAACTGCTGACCTCAAGGGATCCTCCCATCTCAGCCTACCAAAGTGCTGGGATTAGAGGCATGAGCCACCGTGCCGGGCTGGAATATTTTTTTAAAAAGAGAACGATGTGGGTCAAGTGTGGTGGTTCATGCCTGTAAACCCAGCACTTTGGGTGGCCGAGGTGGGAGGATCACCAGCCTGGGCAATCTAAGGAAATCCCATCTTTACAAAAACTAAAAGGTTAGCAGTCATGGTGGTGCGCATCTGTAGTCCTAGCTATACTGAGGAGGCTCAGGTGGGAGGATCGCTTGAGCCCAGGAGGTCAAGGCTGCAGTGACCTGTGATTGTGCCACTGCATTCAGCCTGGGCAATGGTAAAACCCTGTCAAAAAATGCAATTTTTGTTTTCAAAAACGATAAACAAAGACTAGAGAATTTAATTTATCCATGGGTTTCAGGTTTGAGTATATATATTTTTTTATTTTTGAGACGGAGTCTTGCTCTGTCGCCCAGGCTGGAGTGCAGTGGCACAATCTCGGCTCCCTGCAACCTCCGCCTTCCGGGTTCAAGCGATTCTCCTGCCTCAGCCTCCCGAGTAGCTGGGACTACAGGCACCCACCACCACGGTGGGCTGATTTTTGTATTTTTAGTAGAGACAGGGTTTCACCATGTTGTCCAAGCTGGTCTTGTACTCCTGACCTCAGGTGATCCGCCCGCCTGGGCCTCCCAAAGTGCTGGGATTTACAGGCGTGAGCCACCGCGCCCGGCCCAGGTTTGAGTATTTCTTAATCAATGATCTCCAAATGTTTCCCAGTCCAATGCGTTAAATATGAACGCTTAGGCAAGATTGCTCCGGAAGGCCCGGGAAATACTTGACCGGCTTATGCCCCTCCCACCCCTACTTTTGAGGAAGGTGCCCGGAATGGGACATGGATAGGGTCCCGGAATTGGCCTTCTCCGGAATCGGAATCTGAGCGAGGACTCCGGGATCCCCAGCCTGAGGACCTCCGGCGTTTCCACTCCCTGGCTCCCCGTCCCACCTGTTGCCTTTGCTATGCCTACCCTGGTTCTTTTTCGTGCTATGGAGACAGCGTGGGCAACTCCAGCGCAAGAAGGTAAGATCCGGTGTCTCTCTGGCGCTCCAATTCTGGCGCTCCAATTCCGCTGCTCCTTAGGCGGAGGAATTCTCTCCTTTCCCCCAGTGAGTCTAGTTGTGGGCAAAGCAGGCTCCGTGGTCCCACACCGCCTCCTGGTGGTTATGAAGGATACTGCAGCCGGGGTTGATACAAGATACAGAACTTTTCCAGCGCCGACAGGGGGCGCAGGAAAAGGCTTACGGATTGCCTGGCAGGTGCCAGGTGTTTTGCACGGCGTCTCACTTACTTTATTTAATCAATAGAGTAACTCCAGAAGAGAGAACTGTCATTTCCCATACTATCCAGATAAGGAAATTGGGGCTAAGAGAGGCAATGCACTTCGATTAAGAACATAGAGCTAGTAAAATTGCAGAGTGATTCTCTCACATTCACACCATCTCTTGGTGCACAGAGTGTGAGAAGAGTAAAATATTGGCTTCCATCCTAGGCCAGGAGCTCTCCCTCTCCTTGGCTCTGAAGAATCATCTAGAAAATACCTTTAGCTGATGTACTGAGCTCCCAAATTAGTCTCTGGGAATGTTCCAAGGTCCTTTCTCATTCTCCATTTGAGCCCATTTCAGATGGGTTCATGGGCCTGCAGGTTGAGACCGGTTCAGGGACAGCTGGGAAACTCTATCATGCATGTTGCATGGATGGGGAGTTAGAGGTCTCTGTCCTTTCTCTGGGATTCAGGCTCCTTGAGCAATCTTATCCCTGAAGGTGAAGAACAAGGTGCTTTGTTCTGAGTGGGGCACTCCTGCGACCTCAGATACTCAGACAGAACAAACGAAGAGCATGGAATGGGTGACCACACTGAGTCGACCTCAGTTCTTCTCCATCTTTAATCCCAAGGTCAGGAGACCTCTGCTTGGCATAGGGCTCTTTCCTTCGTGTTTCATTTTCATTAATTAATTTAGAGGAGTGCAGTGACACAATCATGGCTCATTGAAGCCTCAAACTCCTGGGTTCAAGTGATGGTCCCACCTCATCCTTCTAAGTAGGACTACAGGTGTGCACCACCATACCCAGCTAATTTTCAAAATCTCTGTAGAGATGGAATCTCGCTATGTTGCTTGGGCTGGTCTTGAATCCTAATTCCTGGCCTTAAGCAATTCTCCAGTCTCAGCCTCCCAAAGTGCCAGGATTAGTGGCTTGAGCCACTGAGCCCAGCTGGGCTCCCTCTTTATCAGGCATTGGAAATGCTCAAGCTGCTTTTGCACCTGCAGTGGTCAGGCTGGGGAAAGGTCTCTGGGCAGAGCCCCTCCCCTTCTCCTGCCTGAGATTCCACCCACTCCAGTGCAGAGCTGAGAACCATTCTCCATCCTCTGCTGCTCCCTAGTGGGCTGGGATGCAGCTGTCACTGGTCTCCTTCCCACTAGGCTGCGGCCACTTTCTGCCTTCTCTCCTTCCTTCTCCAGAGGGATGCTCCTTCTAGAGACAGCAGGTGTCCTGGAAGAGAGATGTGAAACTTCGGGAAAGATCTGGCTGCAGAACATCCTGGAATTGTGTCCGCATAAACCCAGGGTCATTGCCCCCACCAAACGCTGAATGCCCTGTGAGGAGCCAGAGGAGCCCCCATTTAGCGTGATGGATTCATATTTTAAAAGTAAAAAAGACAGACACAAAATGACTTTGACAATCAATTTTTAAAGCTGTTAACTTTTAAATAATTATAGATTCATAGTGTCCCAATCCATTTGGTGTTGCTGTAAAGGAATACGTGGGACTGGGTACTTTATAAAGAAAAAAGATTTATTTGGCTCACAATTCTGCTGGCTGGAAGATTGGGCATCTGGTGAAAGCCTTAGGCTGCTTCCATTCATGGCAGAAGGCAAAGGGGAGCCAGTGTTTCCAGAGATCACATGGTGAGAGGGGAAGCAAGACAAGGAGGGAGGTGCTGGACTCTTTTAACAATCGGCGCTTTCGGGGACTAATAGAGTTAAGTACTCACTCCTCCAAGGGCATGCATGTATTAATGAAGAATCCATGAATCAAAGGACCCCCATGACCCAAACACCCCCCAATAGGTTCCAACTCCCAACACCATCACACTGGGGATTAAATTTCAACATGAGATTAGGAGGAAACAAACATTGAAACTATAGCATATAGGAAGTTCAAGGGTAGTACAGAGAGGTCCCAGGTAACTTTCACCCACGTGTGGACTCTTGTAGCCCCCGCAGTAATCAAGACACAGAACCATTTCATCACCCCAAAGACCTCTTCCCTGCCATCCCTTGGTGGTCATGCCCAGTCCTCCCTCTCTCAACATTCTTAGCCCCAGGCCACCGTTAATGTGTTTCCCATTTCTGTGATTTTGTCATTTTGAGAATGTGATATAGAAGAAATCACAGAGTATGGCTTTTTTTGTTTTTGTTTTTTTTTTTTTTTGAGATGGAGTTTTGCTCTTGTCACCCAGGCTGGGGTGCAATGGTGTGATCTTGGCTCAGTGCAACCTCCATCTCCCGGGTTCAAGCGATTCTCCTGTCTCAGCCCCCCAAGTAGCTGGGGTTACAGGCACACGCCACCACACCTGGCTAATTTTTGTATTTTTAGTAGAGATGGGGTTCACCATGTTGGCCAGGCTGGTCTCAATCTCTTGACCTCGTGATCCGCCCCCCTTGGTCTCCCAAAGTGCTGGGATTACAGGTGTAAGCTGCCGCACCCGGCCTTGTATGTCATCTTTTAAGACTTTTTCATGCAGCACAAATTCCTTAAGATCCATTCAGGTTATTGCATGTATCAATTGTTCATTCTCTTTTATTGCCATGTAGTCTATGGATGTACTGCAGTTTAACTGTTTATCTGTTGAGAGACATCTGGGTTGTTTCCAGATTTTGGCTGTTATAAATAAAGCTGCTATGAACGTTCATTTACAGGTTTTTACGTGTACATAAGTTTTTATTTCTCTGGGATAAATGCCCAGGAGAGCAATTGGTGTTTCTTATGGTAAGCGTAAGTTTAGTTTGTTTTTTTAAAGTAACTGCCAAACTTACGGATGTAAAAAATACGAAACTCTTATACACTGTTGGTAGTAATGTAAATTGGTATAGCCGTTATGGAAAACAGTATGGAGGTGCCTCAAAAAGTTAAAGATAGAATTACCATGTGATCCAGCAATATCTCTTCATGCTATATACCCACAGGAAATGAAATCAGTATGTTGAAGAGATATGTACGTCTCCATGTTTATTACAACACTATTTATCATAGCCAAGATATGGAATCAACCTAAATATCCACCAACAGATGAATGGATAAAGAAAATGTACATATACACAATGGAATCATAGTTACCCTTTAAAAAGAAGGAAATCCTGTTATTTGCAAAAACATGAATAAACTTGGAGGACATTATGCCAAATGAAATAAGCCAGGCACAGAAAGACCACTACTGCATGATCTCACTTATATGTCGAATGTGAAAAAGCCAAATTCATAGAAGCAAGAGGAGAATGGTGGTTATCAGGCATGGGGAGTGGGGAGAAATGGGAAGATGTTGGTCAAAGGGTACAAAGTTTGTTAGGTAGGATGAATAAATTCCAGAAATCTAATGTACAGAAGGGGAACTATATTTAAAAATACTGTATTTTATATCTGAAATTTGCCAAGAGAGTAGCTTTTAAGCATTCTCATCACACACATGTGAAAACGATAACTATGTAAGGTAATGAAAATATTCATTAGCTTGATTGTAGTAATCAGTTTTACTATGTATATCAAGCCATCATGTTATACACCTTAAATATACACAATTTTTATTAAAAAATAAATTCTTAAACTATTTTCCAGAGTGGCTTACCATGTACACTCCCACCAGTAGTGTGTGAGTGATCCAGTTGCTCTTCATTGTCACCAGCATTTAGTCTCATCACTATTTTTTATTTTAGCCATTCTGACAGATATGTGCTAATATCTCATCATGGTCCTACTTTGCATTTCCCTAATGGCTAGTAGTATGGATATCTTTCCATGTACTTATTTGCCATTGGTGAAAAGTCTTTTCATGTCATTTGCCTATTTTCTAATTGGATTATTTGTTTTTTTTTACTGTTGGGTTTTGAGAGTCATTTTTATATTGGGAATTTGAGTCCTTTGTGAGATCTGCATTGTGCAAATATTTTCTCCCAGTCTATAGCTTCTCCTTTCATCCTCTTAATAGGGATTTTTGCAAAGTAAAAGTTTTAAACTTTGATTAAGTCCAATTTATTGATTTTTTTCCTTTGATGGATCTGCCTTTGGTGTTGTGTCTAAGAGCTTATCACGAAACACCAGGTCCTAAATATTTTCTCCTATGTTACCTTCTAAACTTTTATAGTTTTATGTTTTACATTTAAATCTATATTCCATTTTGAGTTAATTTTTATATAAGGTGTGAGATTTAAATCATAGGTTTTTTTTTTTTCTTATGGATATTCAATTGCTCCAGCATTGTTGAAAAGGCTATCCTTCCTCCACTGAATTGCTTTTGCATGTTTGCCAAAAATGAGTTGGCCACACTTGTATGGGTCTATTTTTGGGTTCTCTATTCTGTTCCATTTCCCTCCATCAATACTACACAGCTTTGATTCCTGCTGGTATGTGATATAGGTCTTGAAACTGGGTAGATTGATACCTCTCACTCTAATTCTCCTTTTTCAGAATTGTTTTATCTTTTCTTTTATCTTTTTCCTTTGCCTTTCCATGTAAGTTAAAGAATAATCTTGTCTATGTCTGCAAACAAATCTTGCAGGGATTTGATAGGAATGTCATCAAACCTGGCCGGGCACAGTGGCTCATGCCTGTAATCCCAGCACTTTGGGAGCCGAGGCGGGTGGATCACTTGAGGTCAGGAGTTCAAGACCAGCCTGACCAATGAGGTGAAACCCTTCTCTACTAAAAATACAAAAAAATTAGTCGGGCATGATGGTGCATGCCTGTAGTCCCAGATACTCAGGAGGCTGAGGCAGGAGAATCACTTGAATCCAGGAGGCGGAGGTTGCAGTGAGTCGAGATCATGCCACTGCACTCCAGCCTGGGCCACAGAGTGAGACTCCATCTCAAAAAAAAAAAGGGAATTGCATCAAACCTGTATATCAATTCGGGGAGAACTGACATCTTTACTATGTTAAGTCTTCCAATCCATGAGTGCTCCATTTATTTAAATCTTCTTTAATTTCTTTCATTAGCATTCTGTAATTTTCACATGCTATATATTTGTTGTTAGATTTATACCTAAGTGGCTCATCTTTTGTGACTGATTGTAAATAGGATTGTATTTTAAGTTTTGGTTTCATGTGCTTATTGCTAGTATGTAGAAATATAATTGATTTTTATATGTTCATCTTATAGTCTATGGCCTTGCTGAACGCACTTATTAGTTTTAGAAGGTCTTTTTTTGTAGATTCCTTGAGATTTTTTACATTGAACATCATGTCACCTGCAAATAGGGACATTTAATTTCTTCTTTTCTAATGTGTATGCCTTTTATTTCCTTTTCTTGCTTAATTGCACTGGCTAGAACTTCCAGTGTTATGGTTGAATAGTAGTGATAAGAATGAACAACGTTGGCCAGGTGTGGTGGGTCACGCCTGTAATCCCAGCACTTTGGGAGGCTGAGGCGAGCAGATCACTTTGAGGCCAGGAGTTCAAGACAAGCCTGGCCAACATGGTGAAACCCCATCTCTACTAAAAATACAAAAATTAGCTGGATGTGGTGGCAGGTGCTCATAATCCCAGCTACTTGGGAGGCTGAGGCAGGAGAATCGCTTGAACCCAAGACTCAGAGGTTGCGGTGAGCTGAGATGGCACCACTGCACTCCAGCCTGGACAACAGAGTGAGACTCCATCTAAAAAGGAAGAAGAATGGACAACCTTGACTTGTTCCTGATCTTAGTGAGAAACATTCAGTTTTTCCCTAAGTATGTTAGTTGTAGATTTTTTACAGATGTTCTATGTCAATTTGAGGAAATTCCCCTTTATTTCTAGTTTTCTGAGAGTATCATAAATGAGTATTGAATTTGCCAAATGCTTTTTTCTGTACCAATTGATATGATCATGTGATTTTTCTTCTTTACCCTGTTAATATAGTGGATTACACTGATAGCTTTTCAAATATTGAACCAGCTTTGAATCCAGAATTAACTCTACTTGGTCATAGTATATAACTATTTCTACATATTGTCGAATTATATTTGTTAATATTCAATTAAGAGTGCTTGTATCCATATTTATGAGGAATATGAGTCTGTAGTTTTCTTTTGTTATACTGTCTTTGGTCTTGGTATCAACGCACTACTGACTTTTTTCTTCTATTTTCTGGAAGAGACTGTGTAGAATTGGTGTTATTTTTATTTATTTATTTAATTTTTTGCTTTGAGACAGGGTCTCACTCTGTCGCCCAGGCTGGAGTGCAGTGGAGCAATCATAGCTAACTGCAGCCTTGACTTCCAGGCTCAAGCGATCTTCCCACCTCAGCCTTCTGAGTACTGGGATTACAGGCATGTGCCACCATGCTTGGCTAATTTTTGTATTTTTTGTAGAGACAGGGGTTCACCATGTTGCCCAGGCTGGTCTCAAACTCCTGGTCTCAAGGGATCCTCCTGCCTTGGCCTCCCAAGGAGTTGGTATTACAGGCATGAGCCACTGCACCTGGCCTGTTGTTAATTCCTTTTTAAAAGTTTGGTACAATTCTCAAGTAAAACCACCTGGGCCTGGAGATTTCTTTTTAATTACATATTTAATTTTCCAAGTAGTTATAGGAGTATTCAAATTATCTACTTCATATTGGGTGAGTTGTAGTGGGCTATGCTTTTTGAGGGATTAGATTGTATTTTCTCTAAATTTTCAAATTTAGGGTTAGGTTGTTCATAGTATTCCCTTATTATCCTTTTGATGTCTGCAGGGACTGTCATGATATCCCTGCCTTTGTTCCTGATATTAGGAAGTTGTGTATTTTCTCTTTTTTTCTACGTCAGAGGCTTGTCAATTTTATCGTCTTTTAAAAGAACCAGCTTTTCATTTCATTTATTTTCTATATTGTTTTTCCTATTTTCAGTTTCATTGATTTCTGCTTTTATCTTTATTATTTTCTTCTTTCTGCTTGCTCTGGGTTTATTTTGCTTTTCTTTCCTCTATGTTTGACTTAGACTGGGGTACAAGCCTATATTATTGACTTGAAAGTTTTATTTTTAGAAAATGAAAGCATTTTGGTGCTATAAATTTCCCTCTCAGTACGGCTTTAACTGCTTCCCACACATTTTGACATGTTATGTTTTAATTTTCATTTGCTTCAAAGTATTTTTAAATTTCCCTTGGAACTTTCTTTTTCACCCATGGCTTATTTAAAGTGTATTATTTAGTTTCCAAGTATTTGAAGATTTTATGGTCACATTTCTGTTATTGGTTTTTAATTTAATTCCACTGTGGTCAGAAAACATACATTATACGGTTGCAATTTTTTAAAAATTTGTTACAGTTTTACTTTATGGCCCAGGGTATGGCCAATCTTGGTATATGTTCTGCAAATGCTTGAAAAGTTGTGTATTCTGCTATAATTGGGTGGAGTGTTCTATAAAAATTGGTTGATGTTGTTCTTGAATTCTTCTATAGCCTTGATGGTTTTCTGTCTAGTTGTTCTATCAGTTTTTGACAGAGAGTATTGAAGTTTCCAACTATAATTAGTGATTCATTGTTTTCTGTTGTCAGTTCCATCAATTTTTGCTTCATGTATTTTTCAGTTCTGTGTTTTTGGTGCATACACATTATGGATTGCTATGTCTTCTTGGTAGATTGACCCTTTTATGATTATATAAATGTATTAGTCCATTCTTGCATTGCTATAAAGAAATACCTGAGACTGGGTAATTTATAAAGAAAGGAGATTTAATTGGCTCACAGTTCTGCAGGTTGTACAGGAAGCATGGCAGCGTCTGCTTCTGGGGAGGCCTCGGGGAGCTTTTACTCATTACAGAAGGCAAAGCAGGAGCAGGACCAAAAGAGAGCAAGGTGGGAGGTGCTACACACTTTTAAACAAACAGGTCTTGTGAGAACTCTATCATGAGAACAACACCAAGATAATGGTGCTAAACCATTCATGAGAACTCCTTCCCCATGATCCAGTCACCTCCCACCAGGCCCCATCTTCAACACTAGAGATTGTGATTTGATTTAAGATTAGGTGTGGACACAGATTCAAACTATATCATTCCACCCCTGACCCTTCCAAATTTCATGTCCTTCTCACATTACAAAATGCAATCATCCCTCTCAACAGTCCCCCAAAGTCTTAACTCATTCCAGCATTAACTCAAAAGTGTGAAGTCCGAAGTTTCATTTGAGACAAGGCAAGTCCCTTTCATCTGTGAGCCTGTAAAATAAAAAATAAGTTAGTTATTCCCAAGATATAATGGAATATAGGCATTGGGTAATCATTGCCATCCTCCCCCCAGAAAAGGAAAGAAATTGGCCAAAAGAAAGGGGCTATGGGTTCCATACAAGTCTGAAACCCAGCAGGATAGTCATTAAATCTTAAAGCTCCAAAATAATCTCATTTGACTCCATGTCTCACATCCAGGCCACACTGATGAAAAGGGTGGGATCCCAAGGCCTTGGGCAACTCTGCCCCTGTGGCTCAGCAGGGTTCAGCCCCCTTGGCTGCTCCCAAGGGCCGACATTGAGTGCCTGTGGCTTTTCCAGGTGCAAGGTGTAAGCTGTCGGTGAATCTACCATTCTGGGGTCTGGAGAACAGTGGCCTTCTTCTCACAGCTCCATAAAGCAGTGTCCCAGTGGGGACTCTGTGTAGAGGTTCCAACCCCATATTTGCCCTCCACACTGACCTGGAAGAGGTCTCCATGAGGGCTCCACTCCTGCATCAGGCTTTGTGCCTACACATCCAGGCTTTTCCATACATCCTCTGAAATCTAGGTAGAGGCTCCCAAGCCTAAACTCTTGCACTCTGTGCACCCACACGATTAACACCAAGTGGAAGCCACCAAGGCTTATGGCTTGCACCCTCTGAAGCAGCAGCCCAAGCTTTACAAGCGCTCCTTTGAGCCAAGGCTGGAGCTGGAGTGGCCAGGTTGCAGGGAGTAGTGTCCTGAGGCTGTGCAGGGCAGCAGGGTCCTGGGTCTGGCCCATGAAACCATTCTGTCTTTCTAGGCTTCTGGGCCTGTGATGGGAGGGATTGTGGTGAAGGTCTCTGAAATGCCTTCAAGGTCTTTTCCCCACTGTCTTGGCTATTAGCAATTGGCTTTTCTTTACTTATGCAAATTTCTGCACCCTGTTTGAATTTCTCCCCTGAAAATGAGCATTTCTTTTCTACCACATGGCTGGGCTGCAGATTTTTCAAACTTTTACACTCCGCTTTCCCTTTAAATATAAGTTCCAGTTTTATGTCATTTCTTTGCTCACGTATATGAGCATAGGTTGTTAGAAGCAGCCAGGCCATTTCTTGAACACTTTGCTGCTTAGAAATTTCTCTTGCCCAATACCCTAAATTGTCACTCTCAAGTTCAATGTTCCACAGATCCCTATGGCAGGGGCATAGTGCCTCCAACCTCTTTGGTGATGCATAAGAAAAGTGACCTTTGCTCCAGTGCCCAATAAGTTTTTTTAAAAAGTGGGTCTGCTGATAACAAATTAGTTTTTCTCTTCATCTGAAGATGTCTTTATTTTCCCCTCATACCTGGAGGAATTTCTAAAACTAAATTTTGGGTTGATAGTTCTTTTCTTTTAGCACTTGAAAAGTGTTGTGTTTTTGATATAGCTTAAGATGGATTTTTGTTTGTTTGTTTGTTTTATCCTGTTTGGGATTTATACACCTTCTAGAATCTGAAGGTTTGTGTCTTTCACCCAATGTTTCTCTGAATACTTTTTCAGCCCCAACCTCTTCCCCCTCTCCTGTGTCTCTAGTGACATAAATATTGGATTTTTTGTTATAGTCCCACATGGTTCTGTTCATGTTTTTTTTTTCCATTTATTTTCTCTCCATGGTTCAGTTTAGGTAACTTCTATTGCACCATATTTAAGTTTACTGATTCTTTTCTCTGTTTTCTCCATTCTGCTGATGAGCCCATCCATTGAATTCATCTCAACTATTGTACACTTTAGAGTTTCCATTTTGTTCTTTTTTGTATCTTTTATTTCTTTTCTGAGACCTTCTTTTTTTTTTGGCTGAGACTTTCTATTTTTTAAAATTTGTTTCTAATGTGTTTCTAATTATTTGTTGAAGCATTATAATATGTATGCATCCCAGCATTGGTGTCTGTTGAGTATCTTTCCTCATTCATTTTGAGATCTTTCTGGGTTTTGGTATGATGAGTAATTTTCTTATTTGATACCTGGACATTTCAGTATTGTGTTATAACTGTGGATCTTATTTAAATCATGTGTGGTAGCAAGCCTTCTCTGGCACAGATCTTGTGGGTAAAAGTGGGATGACACCTTGTTACTGCCAGGCAGGGGTCCAGGTTGTCCTCCTGGTCTCTGTTGATGCCTATGGGGGCGGGCGGGGGGTGGGGGGATTGCCGAGAAGGTGCTCCTTGTAACTGCTGAATGGAAGTGGCGGTCAGGCCTTCACTGATTCCACCCTGGCTGGAAGGGGAAGGGGTGCTTCTACTGCAACTGCTGGGTGGGGTGGCCTTGTTAAAAACTGAACAGTGATGGCCGGGCGCCATGGCTCACACCTGTAATCCCAGCACTTTGGGAGGCTGAGGCGGGTGGATCATGAGGTCAGGAGATTGAGACCATCCTGGCTAACACAGTGAAACCCCGTCTCTATTAAAAATACAAAAAATTAGCTGGGCATGGTGGCGGGCACCTGTAGTCCCAGCTACTCGGGAGGCTGAGGCAGGAGAATGGCGTGAACCCGGGAGGCAGAGCTTTCAGTGAGCAGAGATTGTGCTACTGCACTCCAGCCTGGGCGACAGAGCGAGACTCCATCTCAAAAAAAAAAAAACAAAAAACTGAACAGTGATGAAAGTTTTGATGCTCTGCCAGTCCTCCTTTGACACCACCCCAGTGGGGATGGTGAGGGGCACCCTCTGACTGCTGGTAGGGGTGGAGTCCAGGCTTCCTGTGTGGTCTCTGCTGACCCTGGGTGATTGAAAGTCCTGGCCTCCCACTTGGCCTTCTGTGGCTCCACTCCAGCGTGGGAGTGGGAGTGCCTTACTACAGCCTGGGGTAGAAGTCTGGGCTCCCTACTCAGCCTTTGCTGGTGTAGGTGAGGTGAGGCTGCAGTTTTTTTCTGTTGTGTTGGCTAGAGTAGAGCAATTGTATCTAAAAGTTTTCTGTCTTGCCCTGCCTGCTTCTTTCCTGGTCCTTTGGTTAGAGAAAGCGGGCATTTCTTAGGGCTTTTTTTTTTTTTTTTACTGTGTCGGTTGGTGTTTCCGGGTTGTAGTTTTTCTAGTATCCAGTCTAGGATATACAAGGTAAAAAGAAAATCCAGGGAACTCACTGCAGTGTTGTTCCTTGTTGGTCCTCTTTCTTCTCTCCACCTTTCAGAGTTGTCTCATGTTTAATATATATATATAATATATATATATTATATATATATAATATATATATATAATATATATATTATATATATAATATATATATTATATATATAATATATATATTATATATATATATAGTACATAGTAAGAAGAATAGGAAAAAGGACATCTACTCCATCTTCCCAGAAGTAGAAGCTCTCCTACAATTATTTCTTTTTAATTTAATTTTGAATAACTTTATTATTTTCAAAATAAAAACACATCCAGAAAGTGAAAATGTCTATCCCACTTTTCCCCATCTACCTTTTGCTTATCCCAGCAACCATTGTTATTAGTTTATTGTTTTCTCCAGAATTTAAAAAATGCATATCAATATTAATCAATTTTCATATTTCTTAAAGCACAAAAGTTAGCATATTATAGACAGAAATCCGTACCTTACAAAATACAAGATGTCTTGCTGATCGGCACATATCAGTACATAGGGAGCTTCTTCATCCTGTGAAAATGCAAAGTATTCTATTGAATGGATGTTCAATAGCTTGGTCATTTAGGTTGTTTTCAGTCTTTTGAAATTACAAACAATGCTGTAACAAATATCAATCTACAGATGTTATTGCACATGTGTGTTTGTATCTGTAAGATAAATTCCTAGAAGTGCGATTCCCAAACACTGAAGACACATTCGTGCTCTGAGAAAGTTGCACAAGAGGCTGAAAGGTGAACCTTATTAAGGCGGTGGCTATAGCATGGCAAAGCTGACAGTTAATCTGGAAAAACTAGTCCCCTCTACTGGACACATGGCCTCATGAACCTGTTCTGGACAAGAAGGTATAAAAAAGGATACAGGGGCAGGTGTTGGAAAGGACATGTTATCTCCCAAGTCTGTTGCTATGTTGTTACCCCATGACCAGACTGCAGATTTAGACGACTCTAGAGTGCTCAGAATAAGCTGTTCACCGTGATGGCCCCTCTTAGCCTACCCTGGAATGGTCTCTGAAAGCAGCATGGAGGATGATTAGGAGCACAGAACATGGATGTGGACAGGGAGCCCCTTTCCTCTCAGGCCTCAATTTCTTCATCTGTTGAATGAAAGCATGGGGACAAACTTCTGTTGAAAGAGGACCCTTACCCTTCTTCATCAAGAACAGTGTCACTTGAACAGGCACATCTACAAGGCATGTATAGGATTCCATTTGAAGGAGCTTTCCACTGCTGAAGAGCAAAGAGGAAGCAGAAGAGGAAAGAAGGAATAAAGATGGGAAGAACAGAAGTAAGGAAGGCACTGGCTTGAACAACCTCTGGGTCCAGATCAGATCCCACAGGTGGAGTGGACAGAGATGGTTACAGTTGCATAACCATCAACACAATCCAGACACAGAACCATCTTATCACCACCCCAGATCCCCCCAGTCCCTGAAAACCACTGATCAGTGGTTTCTGTGCTGACAGTTTTGCCTATTCCAGAATGTCATACATATGTAATCATGCAGTGTGCAGCCTTCTGAGTCTCGCTTCTTTCCTAATGCATTTGAGATTTATCAGGTGTGTCGTGTGTGTGGGTACTTTGTTCTTTTGCATTGCTGAGTCACGTTCTGTTGCATGGATGTACCACAGTCTGTTGATCCTTTCACCAGTTGAAGGACCTGTGGGTTGTTTCTGGTTGGTGGTGATTATGAGTAAGGGCACTGTAAACATTTGTGTATGGGCTTTTGTGGGGGACATAAACGTATTTGCTGGGCTGGTATGGTAAGTGGGAAGCCAGGGGCAGGACATGGAGTAGGGCTTCATTGGTAGTGTTAGGTTTGCTAGACTATTGAGAGGACAGAACAAGGGAGTAAAGTGTAATGAAGCCAGACAGCACACACCACACAGAAGCTGAGTCTCCAGTGAGGACACTGAAAGTAGCCTATCCCCAGGGGACTTGATCAGGATGACACGCACACACCCTTCAATGGCTGTCCCAGGGGCAGGGCTGCTGTGACCTCTGACTTCCATATTCTTCACTCACTTCAACAGTCATTAAAACATGTCTACTTTTTAAAACACCCAAGTACATTTTATTGTAAAAACATTCAAACAATATGGTAGAATACAGGGTAAAATGCGAAAGCCCCCCTTCACACTCCCTGTTCCATCCCAGTCACCTGCCCCTACCCAGACATTACCCATGGTAGCATCTTGAGGCAATTCTTGCACACATTCTTTCCTGTTATTACACACACACATTCACACACATGCATGCATACACACACATGCATACATGCACACATACATTGTGTCTAGGTATATTAGTCCATTCTTGCGTTGCTATAAATACCAGAGACTGGGTAATTTAAAAAGAGGTTTAATTGGCTCATGATTCTGCAGGCTGTACAGGAAGCATAGCAGCTTCTACTTCTGGGGAGGCCTCAGGAAATTTCCAATCAGGGCAGAAGACAAAGGGGGACTGAATTCTTTTCTTTTTAATTATACTTTAAGTTCTAGGGTACATGTGCACAATGTGCAGGTTTGTTACACATGTACACATGTGTCATGTTGGTGTGCTGCACCCATTAACTCATCATTTACATTAGGTATATCTCCTAATGCTATCCCTCCCCCGTCCCCTGACCCCATGACAGGCCCCGGTGTGTGATGTTCCCCACCCTGTGTCCAGGTGTTCTTATTGTTCAATTCCCACCTATGAGTGAGAACAAATGGTTTTAAACAACCAGATCTCATGAGAACTCACTCACTATCTCGAGGACAGTACCAAGAGGACGGTGCTAAACTGTTCACGAGAAATTCACCCCCATGATCCACTCACGTACCACCAAGCCCCACCGCCAACACTGGGGACTACAATTAGACATGAGATTTGGTGAGGACACAGATCCAAACCGTATCACTGGGGATATAGCTTTATCTTCAATTTTGCTGATATAAATGAGGTACTGTGATGTGTGTCACTCAGCAGCTTGATTTTTTTGAGCTAAATTGTTTAGTCAATCTGCTCTGTGCATTTAGAACACACATATCTGCCTCCTTTCTAACCTGCTGTTTAGTGCCCTAGGCTAGAGATGTAGCCTCATTTATTTCCTTCCTTTCCTATTTGTAGCCATTTGATTTGTTTCTAAGTTTCACTATTATATAAAATGTTGCAGCAAATAACCTTTTACATATGCCTCTTTGTGCACACATGATTTATTCTCTCATGCAGACACTAAAAATGGAATTGTCTGTGGAAAGTGGATATACATCTAATATTTTGATAAATCTGGACTAATTGATTTCCTAAAAGGATAGACTAATTTATATTCCCACCGACATCCTTTGAGATGCCAATTTTCTCACAACATCGTCACTGCTGGGAATAACCAATCTTTTAAATTTGTATTAATTTAATAGGTGAAAAATGATCCCTCCATTGTTGTTTTAATTTGCATTTTCCCACTTACTGATAAAATTGATCTTGCCTTCCATGTATTAATTTTCCATGGGGCGTTTCTTTGGATTGCAATTCTATCCTTTTCTGTTTCTTCTATTGAGTTGTTGCCCTTTGCTTATTGATTTCACAAGTTCCTTTTATAGTTTGGATATTAATCTTTGTATAACATATATATTATTTTTAAAATCTCGCTTTACTTTTTTGTCTTTTTTTTTGAGATGGAGTCCCACTCTATCACCAGGCTGGAGAGCAGTGGCATGATCTCAGCTCATTGCAACCTCCGCCTCCCAGGTTCAAGCAAGTCTCTTGCCTCAGCCTCCCAAGTAGCTGGGATTACAGGCATGCACCACCACGCCCAGCTAATTTTTGTATTTTTAGTAGAGACAGGGTTTCACTATGTTGGCCAGGCTGGTCTTGAACTCCTGACCTCATGATCCGCCCCTCTTGGCCTCCCAAAGTGCTGGGATTACAGGCGTGAGCCACTGCGCCTGGCCTCCGTTTACATTTTAAAAAACATTGTTTGTAGTATCTTTCGTCATACACAGGATTGTGTTTTAGGCAGAAAAATCAGTCAGTCCTCCTTCCTGGCTCTGTATGGGGGAGCTGTTTATATGGAGGGCCCGTCCTTCTCTAGGGGGCAGGTGATGGCATTTCTCCCAGAAGCTTGGGGAGGCCATTTCCTCAGGGGAGGAGCTCACCTGGGGACACTTGGTGACAACTTTGGAAATACTGACAGCTGCAGGGAACACTGTTTCCCACCACTGTGCCTGAGCTCCTTTCTTGCAGCCCAGTTTGGGGAGGGCAGCAAAGCCAGACGAAAGGGTGTTGTCCCAGGTCAAATATGGGAAGGACATAGTTAAGCTTTGTGCCTGGTCAGGTAACTGGCAGGTCACGGTGATTGGCTGAGATGCTCTCCCTTCCCCACAGAGGCCCTTCCTGTTCCCTTCCCTCAGTTCCTCAGGCTCAGATTTTTCTCCTCAGGAGCATCAGATCTGGGAGCCCTGGAGGGCTGGGGAAGGGGAAGCGGCCACATGTATACCCACCCCTGGGATCAGCCTCCTGCTGGTCCTCTGGCTGCAAGGTCACTTCTTCCTGCCCCACTTCCCTCTCCAGCCTTCTTTCTTGTCCTCCTCCCCAGTCCCCCATCTGAAGCTGAGGGCACCTGCAAACTAGGTGCAGGTGCCATTAGCAGCAAGAGGCAGAGGAGAGGGTCCTCCCAACCAAGCCGCTTCTCCTTGAGCTCTTGGGGTGGTGACCGAGGAATCCTCAGAGAGGGTGCTGGGAGGGAATAGGATTTGTTCAGGAGGAGGGGAGTCAGGAGGAGGAGAGAGGAAAGCCTCAGCCCTGGAAGCATGGCTGGACCACTTGCTCCTGCTCTCTTACCTACTAATGCTTGAGAAAGGTTGGTTGGGGAAAAAATAGTAGATACAAGAATCTAACATATTTCCCTTTATTGAATGTCGGGATTCTTAGAATTGGAAAAATGATGTTTACATATAATGTACAAAGAAAAGAGAAAAACACCAGGAAAGCTGGTGTGGTGTGTGCAACTCTAGGTGCAGCTGTTGTGGAGATCTGCTGACCAATGTCAAGTTCAGGGCTGCACCAAGATTTGAGCACCTCGCTGAGACTGTGGACTCTGCTTCGATGGTGGCTGTGTTGGCTGTTATCCCATAACCACAGGAAGTCCCTGGGTGTTTGGGCCAGCAGGGTTGGAATTCTACCAGGTATTGGCTAGGGTGCATTTTTGTAATCAGTAGGCCCGGGGCTGGGGGTGGGGGTGTGTGTGCCTTTTTGTGATCTCTCTGCAAGATGGGTCATTTGTCTAATTTCCATGGAGGAACAGGATGGGCCTATAGCAGGCCCTGTCATCATCAGAGCTCAGGGGCCAGGTGCTCCACTCCACTTCTGTATTTTTAACTCACGGTATTTTTTTTTATGTGGAAGTATTTTTAAATAAATTGCAGATATCCTGACATTCCACCCTTAAATAATTTATCATACATTTCTAAAACAAGAGCTCTTGCTGCTTAGCAAATTAATATGATCACAGCCAATGCAATTAAAAATAGTTTCTTAATAGACTCTACTACTCAGTGCATATTCACATTTAGACCCAACAAGTTCAGCACTTCAACCATAAGCAGAAACTCTGGTCTGTCTGAAACCTTGGCTGTCGCCAGACTTTCTTTTTTCTTTTTTTGAGACAGAGTTTCTCTCTTGTTTCCCAGGCTGGAGTGCAATGGCGCGATCTCGGCTCACTGCAACCTCCACCTCCCAGGTTCAAGCAATTCTGCTGCCTCAGCCTCCCTAGTAGCTGGGATTACAGGCATGTGCCACCACGCCCGGCTAATTTTGCATTTTTAGTAGAGACAGGGTTTCTCCATGTTGGTCAGGCTGGTCTCGAACGCCCAACCTCAGGTGATCTGCCTGCCTCGGCCTCCCAAAGTGCTGGGATTACAGGCATGAGCCACCACGCCCGGCCGGCTGTCCGCAGACTTTCTAGCCTTTGGCAGGGTATGGAGCCTGGTA
The DNA here is from genome assembly GCF_000001405.40 of Homo sapiens. Lineage (NCBI taxonomy): Eukaryota > Metazoa > Chordata > Mammalia > Primates > Hominidae > Homo > Homo sapiens. The sequence continues at coordinate 41,351,763 of NC_000006.12, read as the reverse complement.
CCCAGAGGAGCCCAGGAAGGAAGGCGAAACTGGAAACAGGAAGCCGGAGACTGGGGTTTCCAAGAAAAAGACCGCAGACCCTGGGAGCCTAAATTTTCCCTGGATACCAGGAAGCTCCCAGAACCTTAGGGGTGAGTAGAGATGGGGCAGGGTTTCGCCTCCTTCCTGGGACTGTGTGCCCTCTTTCGGGCTCATGGAAGGTCATGGCATCCTGACTAACATGACTTCACAGCAAAGTTCCTCATCCTTGTTGGGCTCCTTCCCCCACTGTCTGGTACCCACTAGTGTCCTGCTTTTCTATCCCTCTCCAGCCACATATTTTCAGCTTTGCTCCCCCTCCACTGTCCCCTTCCCTCAGCCTGTGCTGGAATCTTGCACAGGGGCCCCGCCACCTATGGACTCACAACTGTGTTCCCAGGCTGGCTCCTTTTGTTTGTGTCCTGTGGTGCTTGGTCCCTGAGCTGGGCACAGGCAGGTGTTGAGTTCATGCTTATTGACTTATCCTCATGGGGAAGGGGTTTCAGAACTCATCTCCACCCCCTTCATTTTCTAGAGAAAGAAACGGACGTTCAGAGAGGGGCAGTGACCTATCTGTCCGAGTTCATACAGGGCTGAGCTGAGAAAACAAACCCAGGTCTTGTTTCCAAGCCTTGCTCGCCCACAGCCTTTCTACTCACTGGGCTTGTGTACAGTGCCCTTCCCTGATTATAACAGCATCTAAGGCAGCTCCCAGACGTACAGGGGACATCAGGTGAACTGAAGATAAGAAAGGGTTATGATGGAGGAAAGAGGGCAAACTAGAGAAGCTGGTCCCCTAGAGATCAAATGTGCGGATGCAGACAGAGTTTGAAGGAAACTTAGGAAACAACAGGAATAAAACATTCAGATAATTTTATTATTCACAAAGTGTGTTCATCATCATCATCGCTTATCTTAGTCCTTGCAACAGTGTGATATAATATTTCTCTCTCTACAGGTGAGGAAACTGAGGTCCAGGGAAGGTCCGTGACCTGTTGAAGGTGGCAGGTGGCTTTTTGGGTATCCAGGCTCCTGAGCTCCATCATGGTTTTCCACCATATGTCCCCCCTGCAATCAGAGCAGGAAACCAGGAAGGTGGTCAGAGACTGCCACATAATTGCACATAGGTGCAGAGGCAACCCCTTCCCCATCCCACTACTCGCAGGGTTGGTTGCCATACCCACCTCACAAGGATGAAGTCTGCTCCTGGCCACTGCTGCCAGAAAAGTGTCAGTGAGCATGCATGGATTTTGAGCCCAGTTTGGTCAGTTTCCTCACCCTGATTTTTTCCTTTATTTTCCTCTACTGTCCACCAAGAAGAGGGGCCTGTTTCCTTCAAGTCTCCAGGTTCACCCTCTGCCCACACACTATTATCTGTCTTTTCAGCTGCAGTAAGCTCTGGAAAGGCAGATGGTCTCTGCTGTGTCACAGTTGAGTCTGCTTTCTTCTACACCTCACTCCCTCTAAAACTCAGCCTTTGTTGGGTGTTCTCCTTTTGTCTGGTGCTTTTTGAATACATCACCCTACTTAGAAATCCAAATAGCTTGGTAATATGTGTGTTATCAGTTCTGTTTTTACCAATAAGAAGACTCGGGGTAGAGACCTTAAGAAACTTTTCCAGCATCATTTAGTTGGTAAAAAGGAAGGGGGTTCTTTGTTACACAATGGCAGAAAGTTTAGCAACACTGTCATCTGCAGTAATGTGGAAAGTAGAAAATGTCCCTCATGAGCTGGGTTGTACAGCTAGGATTTCCAGGCAAACTCTTGAAAGTGCTACCTGGTTTCTTCTTGTGGCTCATTGTGAAATGAGAGAGGTGAGAGGTAAACTCTAGGCAGGATTATTCAACATGAGGGAGCTGGGACTTGATGACTTAAAAAATTCTCAGCCTCCAGACAGTAAATGATGCTAAAATCAAATCCAGGGCACGTTCAGGAATATGTGGTCTAAAGATGAAACCAAGGCTATGCTGTAAAATCCTTTGTTAAGACCTCAGAAAGTTGTGTGTTTAGTAGGAAAAACCAAATTGTTTTCAGGTATGGAAGGGCTGGAGGGCAGGAGCTTCTGGTCTCTGTGGAGCTGGGGTGCACCATACCTCCCAGCACATGAATGTGTTCACCAACTCAGAAGCTCCTGAACCTTACTTTTGTGATTTTTACAGAGACTTCATCATGTCAGCTTGATTGATGATTAATGCAGTCTTCAGCCCCCTCCCCTCCCTGGGGTATGGGAGGTGGGGTGAAAGTTCCAAGCTTTCAATCATGGATTGATCCTTCTGGTGACCAGCCCCCATCCAAGAGCACACTAAGAGTCACCTCTTTAGAGGAAAAGATGCCAGGAAATTCCAAGGGAGGTAGGACCTCTGTGTTAGACACTCCTATCACTCAGGAGATTAGAAAGGTCTTAGGAGCTCTGTGTCAGGAGCAGAGGTCAAAGACCAAATATGAGAACAAAAGATTATCTTAGCACTCCCATTTATAAGGGTCTCAGGAGCTCTGTGTCAGGAACTAGGGTCAAAGAAATATATATATATATGAAAATTATATACATGATAATATATGCATAATATATAAAATTATAATTTATTTAAAATTATTAATAAAAATTAATATAAAATATATAAATAAAATATAAAAAATAAAAATATAAAAAATTTATAAAATATATTAAAAATATAATAAACTATAATAATTTATATAAAATTATAATGATTTCAATAATGTATAATAATTATTATTTCACATAGTGTCTCAGGCAAAAGGCCCTTTCATGAATTTAAGGGTGCGTGCTTCATAGATTTTTCAGTCGAACATTAGATCTTCTAAGAAGTATAAAGACATTATCCTCACTTTCTTGTCAGAAGCACATGGTGTGGAAGAGATCTTCTCTTGGAGAAATTTGTGGGTATGGTCTTTGTCTAATGGAGTGAGTCACAATAAGTTTTACAGGAGATCCACATTTTTTTTAAGAGAATGACAGTCACAAAACACTGCCAGATTGGACTGAAAGGAACAGAAATAGCATAAAATCTGGGATCTCACTTTGTATCCCCCAAATTAAACTGGCAGGAAGCAGCCTGAGGAAGTTACGAAGCTGTAAATATGGGCTGCCTTTCATGGAAAGAGAAGGGTGGCTCAGAAGACATACTCGAGCACAGAGGAAGGAGCCACGACCACTGAGAATTATTTCTAGGTAGGAGTTGAGCAGTGTCTGAATCAAGGAATTTCCAACATTTTCCCAGCTAAAGTTCTGATTTTCTAAGGACCAGTGACTTTTTTTTTTGTCTCCCCCTTCCACCTCTTTTGAACAAAAATATCTGTAGTGGTTTTCCTATGACTGTACTGCATTGGACATTGGGGTTGTGTGTGTGGCAGATAACTTGTCTCTAGCTCACAGGTCTTCATACTGAGAATTGTATTTGAGGAATTACACCTGAGGAATTTCCTCCACACCTGGACCTGGTTTAAATGATGAGTTCCTGGACCTCATCCTGACGCCATAATGGGATGAGACTTTGGGAGACCTTTGGTGGGACTGAGTGTATTTTTGCATGTGGGAGGAATGTAAATAATTTGTGGCCAGAGCAAGTACTGTGGTGGTTTTAAAATACAGGCACGAATTCTTTAATATACCTTCCTTCAAGGGTTGGAGGCGAATCCCATTGGGCTGGACCCAATGACTGGCTTCCGATGAGTAGAATATGGCAGAAGCAACGGTTTGTGATTTCAGAGACTAGGTTATTAATGGCACTATGACTTCCTCCTTCCGCACCCTCTCTTGGATCAGTCACACTTGGGAAGTTAGTTCCCTTGCCGTGAAGAAAGGCTCACATGGCAAAGCACTGAGGCCTGTGCGAGCAACCACATGAGGATGCACCGTCTTGGGCACGGCCCTCCATCAAGCCTCCCTACCACCGCACTTCTTGCTGACATCCTGACTGCGACACCAGAGAGGTTCTGAGCCAGGAACACCCAACTAAGTTGTTCCCAAATTTCTGATCACACCCCCATCCCCCCAAAAAACCTGTGACCTAATGAATATGTATCATTTGTTGTTTTAAGCTACTACGTTTTGGGGCTAATTTATTATGCAACATCAAATGAGTCAGGAGAAAGTCACAAGAGTTCTTTTTTCCTGGAAGCCCTGGAAGAAAGCATCTCAAGAAGGCAGAAGTGGGAGGCCATGCCTAGGGTGCTCCTCTTCCCAGGGTGAGGAGATTTCAGCATTGGCTGCTGGATTTCACAGTGCACAACTCACTGGAGGTGTTTCAAGGAGTGGCATAGTCAAAGGCCTGACTGGAGTGGCTTCAAGAGAGAAGAAAAGAGAATTTTGGAGGCTGATGGTGCAGCCAGTCCTTTCATGGGCCCTTGCTGCAGAGGACAATAAGATAATGGAGCAGTAGCTGGAGGGCTGTAGGTGGGGAGGGTTTAATATATTAGAGCCCATTTAGATTCTGATGGTCATGACATACAACCCGGGAAGATGATGCAGGAGAGAGGGGTGGCTCCTGGATGAATATTCCTTTTTCTATTTTAGACAGGGTCTTGCTCTGTCACCTAGGCTGGAGTGCAGTGGCACGATCATAGTTCACTGCAGCCTCCACCTCTCAGGCTCAAGCAATCCTCCTGCCTCAGCCTCCCAAGTAGCTGGGACCACAAGTACGCACCTCCATGCTCGGCTGGAATATTCTTGTGTAGACAAGAGAAGATGGTATTTGGAGCTGAAGGAAAGTGATTGGCTTGAGATAAGAGTAGGGAGAGTGAGAGGAAGAAGAGAGGCAGATGATTGGTAGGTGTGGTGGGATCAAGTGGACTTTCTTTTTTCTCCTTCCTTCCCTCCCTCCCTTTTCCTTCTTTCCTTCTTCCCTCCTCTTTTTCTCTTCCTCTCATTCTGTCCCTCCCTCCCTCCCTCCCTCCCTCTCTTTCTCTCTTTCCCCCTCTTTCTCTCTCTTTTCAGTGAGTTAGGATGTGGGCACACCAGCTGAGCATGTGGAGAGGGAGGACAGAGAATGATGTGGGTCTAGAATGGAGCAGAGCCACTCCACTCTCAAGGTCACGTGCTGACAGTGAGACATTTCGGGATGATAGATTGTATTTTGTCAGCCACAGCCACATTCATCTTGGCTGGACACAGGCACAGAGTAAGCAGGAAGCTAGGTTCAACCAGGGTTACAGTTTTCCCAGAGGAGTTCAATAAAAGGGGAGAGGAGCACAGAAGGGGAGGCTGTGTGCCAAAGACTGATTTGAGGTTGGATCATGGAATCTAAGGGAAAGGAAAGCATGGGTGAGATGGCGGAAAGGGGCGGGTGGCAGGATCAATGGATCATGGGTCCCTGTGGTGTTGAAGCAATACTGGGATCAGGTTAGCAGGACTGAGGTAGGGGGTGGTGGGAATGAGATTAAGAGGGGGGCTATTGGCGCTTACTGACCATCTGCAATGGTGGCTGAAATAGGGAAGAGGACGAGACCACTGGGGATAGGAGGCCAAGGAACTGTGATGCCAGAGATTTGGAAGAATCATTCATGTAGATCTTGTCTACGTGGGCCCAAGATCACAAAGAATTATGGCGGGAGCAGTCAGAGTGACGCTGAGCCTGGGGTTGAGACCCATGAGGAATAAAGAGCCGTGCCCCAGATTGTACAGAATCTGCAGTGATGATGGGTGGTCACCCACAGTGATACAGCCTAATGGCAGAAAGCTACTTGTGGAGTGCTTTAGGGAGGATCAGAAGATAGGAAGGGGCTGTGAGGGGCACAGAGGACACTGACCCCACCCTTGGGCTCAGGAGCATGAGGCAAAGGAGAACAAACCGCCTCCCTCCCCCCGCAAGAGAACTGCGGAGAAAGCATTGTCCTCGGAGAACAGGCAGATGTCAGGGAGAGTACCGCGGTGACGTTCAGAGAAGCTGAGCATACAGGAGCTTGTGCTGATGACTGCGCACTTCAGGTGCAGGGTGGAAAGGTTATGGGATTTGGGACGAGTGGGAATTGGGGCTAATGTCATGGATTTACAAGGTCTTACTGAGTTGGGATTCTGGGTGATGAGGGAGGACCAGGGCATCCTGGGCATCTTATGGCAACTAGAGTGAACAGGGATATAATAAGGCACCAAGAGGCTGTACTGGAGTCTGAGTGCTGACCTTGGGGGAAGGGGAGGGGGCCAGGAGTCTTTACAGGAGCAAGTGGAGACCTGGGATCTCACTTGCTCCTGCCCTTGGTGGCGGGTGCTGGGGAGGGGTGTTTTGATGGAAAATCTGGGGTCCCTCCTCACTCTTGCCAAGAAGGTGAAAGCAGCAATAACTGGATAAAAATGGCATAAACCCATCCTCAAAGATAAACAGAGAGCTCCATACATGTTTTGAAGGTGGGTAAAATCAGATGACTTCACAGATCAGAGAGAGCTGGTGGGAGTGGGGGAATAAGAGGGAAGTCATTTTTACCTTGGAACCCCAGAAAGTTGGAGAAATGGGAGGTGCAGGTATCTCTTAAGGCAGGGTTGAAGTGGGTGCTGGAAACCAGAGAACAGGTTGGAACTTTAAGAATCACTTAGACTCCTAGATTCTCTGGCTTCCGTGAGACTGAGAGTAGGTTAGCTGCCCACATCCTCTGTCTTTCCTCTCTCTCAACAGCTGCAGAGAGCTTGAGGTAAGTCTCTGATGAGGGTGACACAGAGATGCTCTGCTCAGGGCACAGGGCGCCACAGAGAGAGAGTGTGCAGTGGGGGCCTGGGTGGGAACAGACATTGGGCAGCGAGACCCCTTTGCTCTGTTCCAGTTGGTGCCTAGAACCCTGGGTCTAGACTTACACTCCCAGGAAGGACAGCTAAGAGTCCTTTCTAGAGAAACAGAGCTGTGAAAGAGAAAAAATGGAGCCATACTCCCGCCCAATCCGCCTGGAGCCCACAGCACCCCGCGGCCCGCATGGGGCTTCTAAGCAAGTGGGTGGCCGAGAAGCGGCAAAGGTTTCCAGAAAGCTCTGAAGAAAGACAGAGGTCAATGAAAGGAGAAAATAAAAGATATGATGGGCACTTGGAGGACATAGAAAATATGGAAAGCTTCGGAAAAGTTCAAAAGTTAAAACTTTAATATTTCCAGAGAAAATGTGGCTTGCCAAAATAAAACATGCTGTGCTATAAAAAGGAACATTCGGAGAACAAATGGACCGTTTAGAAATGAAAAATGTGATCGTGTACATTGAAAACATTTGAATAGAATGTAACCTTGGGGAACTTTCTCAGAAAGTAGGAATAAAGAAAAATAGATGACAAACAGGAGAGAAAAGATAATCACGTCAGTCTCAGTCTGGTAGGTCCAACATCGGGATTGTAAGCGTCAGAAAGAGACAACAGCACTGTGGGGGTGACAGGCCTGGGGCAAGGCACGGAGTGATCTTGAATGTGGCGAGTTGAGGCGCCTCTTGACCAGCTTGTGCAGGAAAAAAGAAAGGTTCACTTCCTTGTGGAGGCTGCAGCCATGTTGGTGGTGGTAAGGACAGCACAGTGGGGTGCTGTGCTACAGGGGTGGCTGATCTAGGCAAAGCATTATTGGGACCCCAGTAACGACACTGGACTTCAATTCCTGGGTGGCAGAAATGCACAGAGGTATTGTTGGGAAGGGACATATCAGGGGAACAATCTAGGAGGCGGGGACTGAAGACAGGACCCCCTGTTAGGTGGCTGACACAGTGGTCCGAGTGCCAGTGTGAGGTGAAGGGGCTTGGAAAGGGGGAGGAGGCACAATAGGAGAGGCCTTGGCAGAGTGTGGCTGAGCAAGGGCAGAGGGAGAGGGAAACGTTGGGGTGACCCAGGCGTCTGGATTTGGGGTGTTAAATCAGAGTAATAAGAGGCCATTGATTTAGACTGAGCTCCTGCACTAGGCCCAACAGCCCAAACCAAAATGGGGTCACTGGTGCTAAGGTTCCACACCACCAAGCCAAAACCAAGTTGTTTATCTCACCTTCCGAGAAATTAGGAGAGAGAGGTAACAGCCAAATCCCTGAACAGGTCAGTTTTAGCCGGTATGGTAGGGAAATCCCCTCTGCTTTAACCTTTTACCAAGAAGGTAACTTTGAAATGACCAATTTCTTTTTGTTCCTTGTTTCCGCTTTCTTCAGTCTTTTTTTCTCTCTACAACTGCCCAGGTTGCAGAGCAGAGTTCTCTAAACCTCTTCTGGTTCTGAGGGCTGCCCAATTTGCAAATCGTTCTTTGCTCAGATAAACTCTGTTAAATTTATTTTGTCTAAAGTGTTTCTTTTCTTCTTTTCTGTTTTAGAGACAAGGTCTCACTCCGTGGCTCAGGCTGGAGTGCAGTGGCGTGATCATGGCTCACTGCAACTGGGAACTCTTGGCTTCAAGCCATCCTTTAGCCTTGGCCTCCCACAGTGGTGGTATTACAGGTGTCAGCCACCAGCGTTCCAGGCCTCACGTTTTTCTTTTATCAGGGGCTATAGATAGGAGGAGGAGGCAGGGAAGAGGGAATGTCATCAGTGACTCAGGTTTGGTAGAAAGATGCTGCAGGCGCTGGGCTTTGCTCCCACAACGGGGTGCTGGCCGCAGTGCAAACTGAGGGTGAGCAAGTAGAGGGCCTGGGTTCTGCAGCTCTGCAGGGAGAGCGTGGCTAAAGGCCTTGGATCAAGTCCTGGCCTTTTCTTTGCGGATAACAGCAGAGGTCAGAAGTCAGGGAGGAGCTGCTGGGAGCCCAGCCTTGTTGGAGACTGGCCGCCCACCTGGTGCCCTGTGGCTCAGTGGGAAGTGTCTATGGGCCTGGGGCCTGGGCTGAGCTGGGTGCAGCAGAGACCTCCCTTGATGCTGCATGTGCCGATTCCTTAAAACCCTTGAGATGAGGGGAGAAATACATGAAGTGACTTGAATCCGTTCTCACACCCTGTCCCTTTCCCCAAGCCTGCCCCTCCTCCAGCAAGCCGGCTCCTGGCCTGACTGAGTTGTCCCTGCACCTTTCACTCAGCCCCACCTATGGTTTTTTCCCATGTGTCCCCTTCTCCCTGGGGGCTGTTTCCCTCCTGTGTCTACCCTCTCTCCCTCAGGACTAGAATGAGGCAGAGTCCTGGGATGGTGGCTTTAGGGAGTCCCTGGACTTGGGCTTGCCTGGAAGGGCAGGTAGTGGGAGGGACTTTCCAGCTGTGTAGGTCTGTGTTTCTGATGGAGGGATGGGGGAGTGGAAGGACAGGGGAGAGGGAAGGAGAGAAGGAGAAAGGTAGAGGGAAGAAGAGGAGAGGAGGGAGGGGTAGAGAGACAGGGAGAGAGGAAGGGGGTGGAATGGGAAAGAGGGAGGGGGAGGAATGGAGAGAGAAAGGGAGGAAAAGGGAGCAGGGGGAAGAAAGAGAGAGAGAGGGAGAGAGAGAGGAGAAAACACAGAGACAGAGAAACATGGATGAGATTCCTGCAAGTTTGCAGCTGAAGGACAAAGGTGAGCCTGTGTGACATGTCAGATGGATGGACTCCATGAGGGCTTTAATTTGGAGAGCTCTGCCGATTATAATTTCCACCTCTGTTCTCTGGCCGATTCCCCTCTGACCCTCTATCCTGGGCAGAAGCTGTTCCCTGTTCCATTTTCCCCGAGTTCAACCCACACCACACTCACCACCAGACGAGCAGGGCTGACAGCACCAGGCTCTTGGCTACGAGGAGTCCACAGAACACAGGCACCAGGGCAATGGGGGCTGCAGGGCCAGGGCGGAGCGTGGAGTTCTGTGGCCTGGAAGGCAGAGGGACAGGAAGGGGAGAGGACGGGCTGGGGAGGCAAGTCTCCATCTGCCAGCCCCCGCCCAGGCCTGTGTGGCTACGGGCACCCCGAAACTCACTGTGAAGGGACAGGGATGGTAGATGGAGACTCAGGGGCTTGTCTGGCTCCTGCAGTGGGAGGCACACAGCTCTGGGTCTGGGTCTGTGAAGAGACCAGGTCGCGGGGAGTCCAGGAGGTCTGTGTGGAGGCAGAGGCTGCCAGGGAGGAGAAAGAGCGTGGTTAGTGAGTGGGAGACCTCACTTGTGCCTGCCGGCAGGAGAGCTGGATGGGGGAGTTGGACCAGACTGGGAACAGAGCCCATGCGCCCAGAGAAGAAAACTAATTTGAGGGGTGGGGACTGAACTGTGAAGTCCTCTGGCTCAGAATTAGACACACCTGTGGCCTGGGCTCTACTGGGCCCCTGCAGTTGTATCCTTGAGTCTAGGAGGAGCACTGGAAGAGGACTCAGGAGGCACTCGAGTCTTTGGATGGGCACCCATCCGAGCCTCCTAAGGGTGGACATGGCCATGATGCTTCGGGCCCCTTCGGCTCTCTGCCCTCCATTCTCTTTCTCATGCCTCTGGGACTTGGGAAGGGAGCCTCTTGTGGGGAATTTGAAGGGTAGTTTTCAGATCCCTGCCCCTCCCAGTTCTGCTGCACAGCCCTGGACCCCAAGTCTCAGCAGCCTAGGGAATGCCTTTCACAGCCCCTCTTGACTCTGGGACTCTGTGAACCGGCTGCGCACCACTCCTGCTGTTCACCTTCCCAGGAAGATCCAGACCCACCTGTGCTTAGAGCCCTTGGTGGAGGTGGGGAATGGCTGTCTCTGGAAAAGTGATGGGGACTGTTGAGGTCGAAAAGGCATTGGCTGTTGGCGGGTGGTGGGGTGGCGAAGGAAAAGAAAGTAGGGTTGGAACCAAGGCTGGGAGAGGAAGTGGGGATTATCAGTGTCTCGACCTAGCAGACTAGGTCTACATACCTAACTGGAGTCCAGGAGGTGGGGAGAAGGGGAAAGAAGGGGAAAGGGCTGGGAGGGGCCTGGAGGAGAGGGTGCCTGAGGCTGAGTCATTCCTCGTCCCAGAGACTGCCCTGGAAGGTCCTCCCTGGAGAGAGTCACAGGCCTATGGACCTGTGGGCACGATCCTGTCCCATAGAACACTCTCTGAGGCTGTCTAGGATGCTGGCCAGGATAACCCTGTGCTCAGCCTGGGAGAGGTGTTTGGGACACTCTGGTAAAATCCTAGACATGTGCTATTGAATGTGTCATCTATGGCCTGGTGCTGGTCTACAAATTGTCTGTAACCCTTCCACAACAAGGGAAGTATAAAAATTGGGAGTAGGGGTTTCAAAACGTTTATATCAATTTGATACTGCCTCAAGATCCAAGCCCGTGATTAGTTAACTCGTCTCATCTCATTGAACAGGATATAGACCAGCTTGGGTGTTGTCAAATTAGCATGGAGGGTCGAATATGGAGTGAGCTGTGTGCTAGTAACCTATGCCAGAGCCATGTTACAGTGTGTGATACTTTAAAATTACTTGTTAGCGGCCAGGCGTGGTGGCTCACGCCTGTAATCCCGGCAGTTTTGGAGGCCGAGGCAGGTGGATCACTTGAGGTCAGGAGTTTGAGACCAGCCTGGCCAACATGGTGAGACCACGTCTCTACTAAAATACAAAAAATTAGCCAGGCGTGGTAGCAGGCGCCTGTAATCCCAGCTACTTGGGAGGCTGAGGCATGGGAATGGGTTGAACCTGGGAGGTGGAGGTTGCAGTGAGCCGAGATCGCGCCACCGCACTCCAGCCTGGGTGACAGAGTGAGACTCTGTCTCACAATAAATAAATAAATAAATAAATAAATAAAGTTGTTAGCTATAGCCCAAAAGTGTATAAACATCTCGAAAGATGTATAATTTTATGATTTATTATTTTTACAATCATTTTAATTTTTAATCAAACTTTTTTTAAACAAAATTTAGAGTGTAACATGATTAGCTAAGTTAGAGTAGAATAGTGATTACCTAATTAGCATTCTAATGAACAGATAGCAAAACAAAAATCACTGAAAAAAAACATCTTTCCTGAATGTGGCAGTGACAGTAAGCCAGATGAAGATGGTAGAACTGATTCTAAATAAATTTTTTCCTTCTGCAGTTATTCCAAAGAGTTTGTGCTGGTTTTGTTTGAAAGTAGAATCTCTCATTGTGGTAGGCAGAATACGGGTACCCCAAAATGTCTACTCCCTAATCCCAGGTACCTGTGAGGACATTGCCTTCCATGGCAAAGGGAAATTTGCAGATGTGATTAAGGTTGAAGACCTTGAGTTGGGTCAGGTGCAGTGGCTCACGCCTGTAATCCCAGCACTTTGGGAGGCCGAGGAGGGCGGATCATGAGGTCAGGAGATCGAGACCATCCTGGCTAACATGGTGAAACCCCATCTCTAGTAAAAATATAAAAAAATTAGCCGGGCATGGTGGCGGGCACCTGTAGTCCCAGCTACTTGGGAGGCTGAGGCAGGAGAAGGTGTGAACCCAGGAGGCGGAGCTTGCAGTGAGCCGAGATCACACCACTGCACTGCAGCCTGGGTGACTGAGTGAGACTCTGTCTCAAAACAACAACAATAACAACAACAACAAAAACAAGTGGCATAGTCTGGGCATGGTGGCTCAAGCCTGTAATCCCAGCACTTTGGGAGGCCGAGTCAGGCGGATCACCTGAGGTCACGAGTTCAAGACCAGGCTGACCAATATGGTGAAACCCCATCTCTACTAAAAATACAAAAATTAGCCGGGTGTGGTGGCAGGCGCCTGTAGTCCCAGCTACACCGGAGGCTGAGGCAGGAGAATCGCTTGAACCCTGGAGGTGGAGGTTGCAGTGAGCCGAGATTGCACCACTGCACTCCAGACAGAGCGAGACTCCGCCTCAAAACGAAATAAAACAAAACAAAAAAACAAGTGGCATATACATATAAAACGGAAAAACACAAGTTCACAACAAACTGTTTTTAGGAGAAAAAAGAGTATTGGATTGAAAAGCTCTTGAAAGGAATCCATACTTCACATATAAGCTCTAGACTTTGTGGCTTCTTGTAAAGTAACATTTTGTACTGCAAAGACCAACAATCCATCTACAATTGCCAAAACATTACTGAACAACGTTTGCTTTACGACATTGGGTAATTTATAGCAAAGAAGGGAGCTTGATATCATTTTCCCTTGACGCCTTAGGTCAACATATTCAGGAATTGGATAACAAGATGGATGACCATCTCCTAGAACAAATAAAGCTAGCAAAGTATTTTTCATGGCAATTTGAAAAAATGTACAAATATTGCTAACATAGCTATTCTTTTAGTATATGCAATTTGAACACAATGATATGAAGGAATTCTGTATCTTTTAGCTTAATTGTCACAAACACAACTAGCTCTGAATGTATAAAACTATGAAGGTTATATTATCAAAATGTGGTTTGGGGTTAAGTTTTATGTAAGAGTATGTTCTGATGGCTGCAGTTGCAATGACAGGAAAATGTCATCCAGGTTAAGAAGTCTTGGGCTAGATTTTAAATTAATGCACTGCTTCCTTCATTGAGAGAGTTTTACTATGAAAAAAAAGCAGCTTAACTGAACGTTGTGCTGACCAACATGGACAGAATTGTGAATTTTATAAGGTGAATATATTAAATTTGAAATCATTCTCTTTATTATGTGGTAATATGGAAACAGATCATAAACAGCTACTGTTGCATGCCAAATTTAAAGTTTTGTTGAGCATGTTTCATCTATAGGAAGAATTCCTAATTAAGACAAGAAGCCAGTTTAGTACAAATGTGAATTGTACCATCAGACTTGTTTATACTGTAGTTCTGAAGTTAATATTTCCATGCAAGGAAGTAAAGCGACATGTTTTTCAATGGCAAGTAAAGTCTAAGTGCAAACATAAAAGTCAGAAGAACCATTTCTATGAATTGTTATGACATGTTCTTAATTTAATAACATTTATCAACAAAATAAGTGATAATATTGATATTGCATATCTTCACAAGTGCTCATGGGAAAACATTAATAATTTGATAGCATGTTTTGAATTTCGTTTTTTTGTCAGAAGAAGATATATGCAGAGGAAATTCATAGATCTAGAATCCATATTTTCCCATCGAAAGATAATTTAAACTATAAGTTTTAGGATAAAGTTTTGGAACTGGCTACTGATAAAGGATTGAAGATGCATTTTGAAATTACAGCATCGCTTGCTTCCTTTTGTAAAAGTTAAATATAAAACTGTTGAGCTTGTCGGAATTGCTTTAAAATTTCTTCTATTTCTGACATTATACCTCCGTGAGACCAGTTTTCTGGGCTTCTACTGTGAGTATTATTTTAAAAAAAATCAACACAATTTCTTTATACATTATCTCCTAAGTGATGTGGTGTCATAAATAGTTCTCAGATTAGGAAAGTTACCAAGTAAGAAAAGTGCTCATTTGTCACATTATAATCCTTAAAAACGGAAAGACAGGGTGTTTGTTTGAAGGGTGCATATTGGCATTTAATATGGAGAACTGCAATTTCCCTTCTAGCTTTGTACTTAGTTTTAACTGAGGAATGACAAAACGTTATGGGTATACCGTTAAGCCACTACATCAATCACCTTTAGGCACACTTTCAAATGAACAATGTATACAGTTTTTATAAATTTTTCCCTATGTGATATTTGTTCTGATTGTATTCATTAAAATGTAATTTTATGTTTGTCAAATTTAATAAATGTTGGGCTTGTACTTTATATATCTTTTTCTTATTTTTCTAGTAATTTTTTTTTACTGTATTTTACAAAAAAAATTACTCATGTGAATTGCAGATTTTTTTTTAGAAGGTCCTCTTCCACAGGAACTGTGGGTAGCTCTGCTCTGAGCAGGAGTTTGGCACACTTTCTGTAAAGGGTCAGGGATGAGCCATGTGGTCTCTGTCACAGCTGCTCAATTTTGCTGTCACAGCATGAAAAGGGCCACAGACAATAGGTAATTGAGTGGGCATGGCTGTGTTCCAAAAAATAACTCCACTTATAGGCACTGAAATTTGAATTTCCTGTATGTCACAAAATATTGTTTTTCTTTTGATTTTTTTTCACTCATTCTTAGTTTTTTTCACTCATTCTTAGTCCCCGATCTGGACTATGAGGGATACCCATAGTATCTTGGTATCTAGACTACCCAGATACCACTGGCTCTACATGGTGGGGGCAGCCAGTGGATGCACCTTTCCTGGGCACCTACTATGTACCAAAGATGCCGGGTGGTCCTGCCCTCCTGTAGCAGGGTCATATAGGCTGACTGGTCAGCATGCTCACCGGGTCTGTTTCAGCATCTCTCAGGAGGCCCAGGCTGCAGGCTTGGGAGTCATGCAGACTGTGAGATGGCTGCTCTTGTGCACATATGAGTTCCCCCTGCACCTGTTCCCAACAGCCTTCCCAGGAGACTGGGGCGTGGGCATGGGTGGCTTCCACGATTGGGAAACCAGGGGTGATGGAGGCACCAAAAGGGGGTGAGGGGCACCCCTCTGAGGACCCTAGGGAAAGAGCTCACCTGGAGATACCACCAGATAGAATCTGACGGACTTAGAGACAGAGTTGTCAGAAGGGCGGTAGATTCTACACCAGTAATGTCCTGAGTCTTCCTCTCTCAGATCAGTCATGGTGACAGTGAAGAAGCCAGCATCAGGGTCGTCCCAGATTGTGAATCGAGAGGTCCAAGCCATCGTCCTGGGCTTGGAGCTGGTGACTAACCTGATGCACACAAGTGCTGAAGCCTCCTTACACCAGCCTTTCTTCTCGTAGAGACTGCCCGTGGGCGGGTACTGGCATCTCACGGTTAGCGTCTGCCCTGCCACACTTTGAAGTACCTGAGCCTTGGATTGTGCCTGAGAGCCTGGAGAATGATGAAGTAACGCATAGGTCAAGGCCACGCGCACAACCTGCCTCACAGCAGGCCTCTGGCCACAGAGCCACCTGCTCCCTGACCCTGCTGTCCTGACAGTCCCCACCACACCCATCTCCTCTGCTCCCTGGGCTCCTCCTCCCCCTCACCTGGGAACAGCAGCAGCAGCAGTAGCAGTGGGTGTAGGGCTCGCCAGGCCATGTGGTCCTTTTCCTGTGCGCTCATGGGAGGGGACACCTGGAGAAGACTGGGGAGAGGGAATTGGGAGCTGGGCCTGATTCTGCTGCTCTTCCAGCACGTCTGATAGAAAAATGAGACAGGCTGAGGCCTGGGTTGGGGAGATGGGAGACTGCAAAGGGCAGATTCTGTGGGCACAGGGAAGTGGGGATCTCCAGCTGTAGGTGAGTCTGGGTCTGGTGGGCTCGGCGCTGTCTGGCACACAGCTTCCCAGGCCTCTGTAGAAGATGCCTGCTCTCCCCTGTGCCCAGCTGCCCCTCCCCACCATGACCTACCCCTGAGGGAGGAGCTGAAAAGGCCAGGAGGAAACTGTGGGCGAGTTATGGACTGCTTCCCCCTTGCTCCCTCTGTGTGCTGCCTCTCTTCTTTGCAGGGCCCTAGCTTTGCCGCCCTTTCCAGGGAAAGGCAGGCTGAGGGTGGATGACAAACTCAGGGGCACTTGGAACCCTGATCACAAGCCCCAAGCCTCACTGGTCACAGGATGGCCAGGGACGTCATGCCCAGGCCTCCATGGTGGGTCAGTGATGTGCTTCCACTCTGGGAGTTTCGTGGGTGCGGGAAAGGAGAGGGGAGAGGAGGTGGAGATTCAAAACCAGCAAGGGAGGCTAGGGAGGGTCCCTGGCAAAGGTCGGGGAGGGGAGGGTGGGAAGAGCACACGGAGCATGGGATGCATCAGTGGGGTGGGGTAGAGGGAGCCCAGGAACCAGGACCTGGCCTCATCTCTGCATCCTGGACCTCTGCCACTTAAGGACCCTGGAGAAATATTGTTTAATTAAAACATAAACAGATGAAAGACTCTAGCATATTTTTCTTTAGTTAATGTCAGCACTTTGAAGATTCAGTTTTAAAATACGATGCAATTTACAAAGAGAACGAGCTAATATATCTTAGGACTGGTAGAGACACTGTGTGTAATTGCAGTTGCACCACTGGGGGCTCTGCTGGACTGGCGATCTGCTGCCGGGAGCTCTGTGAACAGAGGTAATAACTGAGACGGGAATTGGAACTTGTCAAGTGGACTCGATTCCAAGTCCACTGCTTTGCCTGCCCCTGGACTCCTGCTCTCCACTCCATCTCAGTACACTGCCCTTCTCCTTACAGTAGGAGTATGCAGAGACTGAGAATGGGAAAGGCAGAGGGGTATGCAAAAGGAGGACACAGTAGGGCTATCAGATGTTGGCGCCCAAGGGCCCAAGGTGGGAAAGCAGGCTGGAGCTCCAGAGCTAGAAGACAGCTCAGGGAGCGATGCCCGCCACTCACTCACACAAGCATTATTTACAAAGCATTCTCATGCACACTTTCTCAAGACCCTCAGCAGGTTCGCGAGGGAGACATTACTTCTCTTTTTCACAGATGTGAGAACTGAGGCCCAGATATGGTCAGCCACCTGCTCAGAGTCACACAGGACCAGAACAGGCCTCCTGACTTCGGTCTGGAGCCTTCCGGCTGGTCTGGTTGAAATGCGACCCACAGACATGACAGGAAACCAGGGGTGAGAAAGAGGCTCCCACTGAATTGCACACACAGGCGGAGGTGAGCTTTTAGGGGGTTTCCTCGCCGACAGTGGGGCCCAGCTTCTCCCTGAACATAATTACATACCAAATCAGGGTGGGGGCATCCTCCCGAGGGGGAGGAAGGCGGCCCTGTCCTCAGATGGCACCGAGGCACGTCACCGTGTGTGTGTGTGTGTGTGTGTGTGTGTGTGTGTGTGTGTCAGCAACTGTGTTCCCATGCTGACTTTCCCCTTCTCTGACCCCTGCTGACTCTAAGTGACAGCTCCTTCTTGTAGCTTACAAGAGCACCCCTTGCTATGTGCCACTAGCTGTGTGTCTCTTCAGCCTGCAGCCAGCTCTGTATCGTTCTCTGCTGTGTCAGAGTGTGTCGTCTCTCCCCAGGGGACAGGAGCTCTCAAAGCGGGGAATCTGCCCCTCTCTCTGTGTTGTGGCTTCCCCACCTGTGTGAGTGGGGTGGGCACCCTCCACATAGACTTGGGGCCTTGAGCACCCTAGGGGGAGGCCCCTGCTGGAACCATCTGCACGCTCAGCTTCCTCTGGCATCTGGGACCTGGGGGCAGGGAAGCCTGGGCTTAGGCAGCCCCTCATCCAGGCTGGGACTGGCCCTGCTCCCTGGGGACCCACAACAGCCCTTGTCACAAGTTGAATTTCTGCAGGAGGGACTGGGGCAGGTAGCTGTGGTGGGATCTGGGGCCCTTTCAGAAGTCTCTTGAAGAGCTAGGGATAGTGCCTCCCCCTTGGCACGATCAGAGCAGGGCACAGCAAAGTCCTGTCAAAGAGCCTGGGGTTCTGGGGGATTCTGGGTTCCCTGCCCACCCTCTGAGAAGGTCCCTCAGAGAACTTGGGAACCTCAGCAACCTCCTCTCCCAAACTCATTGTCACACACACTCACAGGAACCCAGAGAAGGAGCTGGGAGAGCTGGAGACTTCATGTACTTGCTTTTCTAGCAAGGCCCAGTCTAGCCTGCAACAGTGGCTCCGAGCCTGGGTAGGTCCATGGGAAGGGAGGGCTGGCCTCTGATGCAGAAATGGGGAAAGCAGGGAGCCGTAGAGGTCTGGAGGTGATCCCCAAAACGCAGCACAGGGCTAAGCTAGGCTGGGCAGGGGTGAAGGGGTAGCTGTAAATTTCCCCCATGATAGAACCAGAAGTAGCAGGGACAAAAGGGAATTTCTCTCAGTGCTGATTTCACAACTGAGGGAGATGAGGTCCAGAGAAGGCAAGTAGCCTTTCCACAGTCACTCAGCTATTTCAGGGCCAAACCAGGACTAGCACCCAGGCCTCCTCTCTCCTGACCTGGTGCTCCTCCTGGGCTCAGAGATTCTCCATGGGCACTTCCTTACTCTTCATCCAGGCTTGCCTTTTGCAGATCCAAGGAGTCTTCTCCCTGAACCCCAACAAGTCTGCTTATACCTCTGACCCCAATGGCTCTCTGCCCCAGCTCCAGCAGGATCCTTCAGTCATCAATTGCCCTGACAGGGTTATTCCTGCTCCCATGACAATGGTCCCATAACAATGGCCCTTCCTGGTCCCAGGATGCCAGGTTCAAAGCATCTGGTCTCAGAGCAGCTTTTTCCCTGCCAGAGAGGTCAGAGGGACCTGAGCTACTGCCCACACAAGGCTGCAGTCTGGGCGCACAGCTCCCTCACAGGAAGTTCAGGGTGGGTCAGGCACAGAACCAGGCTTCCACCCTAAGCACCCTGCGGGAGGCCTGGGCTCAGGGAGTGCAGGAAGCAGCCATCTCCCCAGCTGGGTTCTCCCTGCTTCTTCTCCTTCCTTACTCCATGGAACCAACCCCATCCTCCAACCCCCTCACCCCGTTCAGCCGCCCCCAGGGCCCCGGTCTCTGTGCTGCCTGGTGCTGTCAGCCCTTCATGTGCTCCCGAGCTGCAGGCTGGAGCAGGGGGAGTATGGCTGGGTTTGGCCTGGGGCCAGAGAGGAGGAGCGAAATGGAGCACAGTGGGGACAGCTGTGCTGGTAAAGGTGGTCAGCCTCAGAAGATGAGACAAAAATCAGGGGTAGGGTTAGAAAATTATGTTTAACATCGATTTCAATATCCTTTGGCCGTCATCTCTGTTTGCTCATTTGCTTATTACAGGCCAATCAAGATCCTTGCCTTTAAACTCTCAGGCCCTCACCCAAGTGCACCCACACTCACACAGACACTCACTCCCTCCTTCAGCACTCCCTCCTTCAGCAGACCACTCTGCTCCATAGAAACCAGCCCCAAGTTAGGGGGTGACAGAGCTGGAGAAGGGCAGTCCTGGAGAGGAGCAGGGCCAGGCGGTGCACACACTTCACGAACACCCTGGGGGCAGCAGCTATGGAGGTCTCTGAAGGCTTCAGCTCAGCACAGGCCGAGGGGCGATGCTCAGCTCTTGCCACTCTGGGACAGCTGAGATAATGAGTAAGGAAGGGGCCATCCAGTGCCTGCAGAAGACACCTACCAGTACCTAAATCCCTGCTGTGGTGGGACCCTCCCACATTGCTGTCCCCAGCCCCTCTGGAACACTCCCTGTGCATCTGATCCAACGCCCCAAACAGGGGAGACCAAACCCAGTTCAGCCTCTTTGCCCAACCTGAGAATCTTCCTCCTCCATGATCTCCCCTCTTGCTTTAATTTCCCTAAATCACTCAGTCACCACCACGGCCAGCTCCGGCTCCCCTCTGTCCCCGCTCTGTTCTGCCAAGTTCAGGCTGCCCAGCTCAAACACGTATCTGCACATCTGCCCTTAGCTGACTCCTCCCTTCAGCCTCCACCTTCTCAGGGGCTCCTGTGGACAGCTCCTGGGGGAATTCTCCCTGTGCAGCATCTTGACAGGGCCCCAGCCCTTACTCTCTCCGAAGCCTACTGGAGATCACTCTGCAGGGAATGCATTGCAGGTTCCACAAGGCCTGGCCCGGTGTGGTATCCCATCTCTGCCACCTCCATTTCAAATGCACTTCTGCAAGCCAAGAGAAGGCCCTACTGTCTGGAAAAGTAGGCCTTCTTCCTTCTGTGCTTAGATTCTAACGGGGAACATGGAGGGAAGAAAGGGTCGGTGTGGCCCACTGGACCCCCTGGCATTCTCTCTTCCAGCCCCCTATCTTTGTAAATGGAAGAAAATAAATAAATAAAAAAAAGATAAATCCAAGTTAAACAAGAAAAGTGGCCACCGATACGTTTGATTTCCGAGTGTTAAAAACAAAATAAGAAAAATTAGAATGTCAGAAGTAGAAGCCTCAACAGCTCAAAATACCAACATGAGAATATTCCCTCAATTCATCTATGCATTAATACTATTTGACAATCAAGTATCTCATACATTTGAGAAAAATTAATAGCATGAAGGTAAACCATCAATACAAGCACACAGAACACCTGAATTTAGAATTAATGTCAATAATTCATGAAATGGATGAGCAACTTTCAATAATTGAAATAAACATTCTCAGAGATATTTGCAAGAATGTCTTATCTCCTTATTCATCAGATATTTACAGATTAAAACAAATTGCAATATTTATTCATTAATTTGACAAATATTTTAAAAGCTTGTCCTACTCTCTTGGCAAGGGTGTGGAGAAGTGGGTGTTATGTTCAAAGTGGGAATAGAAACTGTTCAGCATTTCTGAATGCAAATAATAAGGATCTAAGATGTTTAATATGTGCATTCCTTGACTTGTCAATTCCATTTCAAGGATTCACCCATCCTTGAGAAATACACACACAGGCACAAAAGGAGATTTACAAAGACGCTCATCACTGATTGTTTATAATAATGATCTCCACAGGGGAATTAATAACATAACTTCTGGTCCACGTCTTCTATACAGCACCATGTAAAGGTTAAAAAAGAATACAGCTTGTGTGCAAATGTAGCTAGATCTCCAAACATCTTGTTAAATTTAATAATTGCTGCAGAATGACATGTATGGTATAATCCCACTTATATACAGTAAACTGAACTCAAAATGGTTTGTCTGTGCACATAAACCTCTTATCTGTACAAACACAGAAATTTTCTGTTTGTGAAAAGCTATACATCAAACTAATAATAGCAGTCTTTTGGGGCAATAACTATGATGAATGTTGGGGAAGAAGTGGTGAAGGGAACTTTATCTGTAGTCTGTTGCAATGTTTGTTCCTTTACCCAGCTTTAGTAAGGTATAACTGACCAATAAAAATTGTATATTTTTAGTGTATTACAAGATGCTTGGATATATGTATACATGGTGGAATGATTAAATCACGCTGATTTAACATATCCATCACCTCACATACTTATCTTTTTTTGTGGTGTAAACATTTAAGATCTACTCTCTTAGTCCTTTTTTTTTTTTTTTGAGACGGAGTCTCGCTCTGTCGCTCAGGCTGGAGTGCAGTGGCGTGATCTCAGCTCACTGCAAGCTCTGCCTCCCGGGTTCACACCATTCTCCCGCCTCAGCCTCCTGAGTAGCTTGGACTACAGGGCCTGCCACCATGCCTGGCTAATTTTGTTTTTGTATTTTTAGCAGTTTTGTTTTTGTATTTTTAGTAGAAACGGGGTTTCACTGTGTTAGCCGGGAGGGTCTCGATCTCCTGACCTCATGATCCGCCCGCCTCAGCCTCCCAAAGTGCTGGGATTACAGGTGTGAGCCACCGTGCCTGGCCCTCTCTTAGTACTTTACAAGTACACAATATATTATTATTAACTGTAGTCACCACGCTGTATAATAGATCTCCAGAACTTATTCATCCTGTCTAACTGAAACTTTGTACACTTCGACCAACATCTGCAATGTTTGTTTTTAATAAAAAGTCTTTATATATATATACATATATATGTTGATTGTGTAATGAATATAATATTTAAAATATTGTATTAAAAAGCGTTTTATTTTTATTTTTTGAGATGGAGTCTCGCTCTGTTGCCCAGGTGGGAGTTCAGTGACACGATCTCGGTTCACCGCAACCTCCGCCTCCTGGGTTCAAATGATTCTCCTGCTTCAGCCTCCTGAGAAGCTGGGATTAGAGGCGCCCGCCACCACACCTGGCTAATTTTTGTATTTTTGGTAGAGACGGGGTTTCACCATGTTGGCCAGACTGGTCTTGAACTCCTGACTTCAAGTGATCTGCCCACTTGGCCTCCCAAAGTGCTGAGATTACAGGCGTGAGCCACTGTGCCTGGCCAAAAAGGGAGGTGGAATGAAAAAAATGGGCAAAGCAGAGGACCCAGTGACTTTGGATCCTGGGGCCAACATTGGTGGGGCATGTGGGTGGTGGCCCCAGGACAGGTCATGAACCATGGCTTTCCTGTGCCTAAGGTAAGGGGCTTCTCCGAAAGACTCTGAGGCAATACACTTGGAAATGAAAGTGTAAGGGAATAAGTGAGAACACAATATACAGGAGATGAGCCTGCAGAGAGGGTAATTAAACAAACTTGCCACTAGGCAATGTGGGCAGGAGAAGAGCTGCTGAAGACTGCTAGGGGAGCTAGTAAAGGAGTGATCAACAGTCTGTTGGGTTCTGGCACAGCCAAGGTCCTGGGGCTGCAGGCAAGTCTGCAGAAAGGGTCCCACAGTGGAGCAGAAGGGTCATTGCCAGGCTCTGTTCAGCCCCTGGGGACATTTCCCCAAGACCCTCTAGGGCCACTGACCTGAGTCTGGGCTTGTCCAGCTGCCTTCAGACGCATCCTGTGCTTTCCAGCGGCCCTTGTCATTGCTGTTTGTGGGATCCAAGGTAGGGGCTGCCTCCAAGCATTTGTCATGGGGACTCCAGGGCAGACCAGTGCCTGTGTGGCAAGGTACATTCATCTTAGGCCAATTCATCCAGCCCATCTACCCAGAGCCATTAGGAGTGCACCTAGGACGCAGGCTGAAGTGAATCTCAATCCCATCATTTGCAATATGGAGACACAGCATCTGTCCCACAGAATCCTTGTGAGCATCACACGAGATATTGTATGTAAAAGCTTGGTGCGTAATAGACATGAGTTACTATTGCTAAAAGTAAAAGAATTCTAGCTTATTTTTATTGTAAAAATATTTGTTTCAGCACTGTATAGATCTATTAAGAGAACTACAATATCTTTAATGTGATTTATCCTTAAAGGGGTCTCGACAATTGAAAAATAAGATCTAGGCAGCAAGTGGGACATGTCAGACTCGTATTTCTTCTGGTTCCTGAAATTGTCCTCACAGCAGAAGAGGACGGTCTGTTCTTTAGTGGAATATCAGCCCCACACGTGCACACCCTGAGTTGTAGATTTCAAGGCATCTAACTCACAAACTAGTGTTGTAAAGACCTTGGACTCTTGAGATACACACACTGTTTGGGTTCCTGCTCTGCCTCTTTGGGGCTCTGACATTTTTAAGCAAACTGCTAAACCTCTAAAAGTCTCAGTTTCCTTCTTTCTTGAATGGGTATTAGTGAACCCCTAATATAATTGTTCTGGGAATAAATGAGTAAACACTTCACAATATTTATAGAAGTGCCTTTTATATGCTATCTCCCCAATTAATGTCTGTCATTAATAATCAACACCCACAAAATCAAGTTTGCTTGACTTTTGATTATACATATGTATACATAAAATAGCAGTACACAGAAGATCTGAAAGAAAAGAAAAGTAAAATTTATCTAATTTTTTGGTGGAATAGAGCTTTCTCTTTATGATCCCAATGCCACAAACTATACAGGGAAAAATAATAGATCATACTACATGCAAACTAAAACTTGGATGTTATAGAATAATACAATAAGTGAAATTTAAAAACAAATCACAACTGTGAATGTTTTCTCCCTATTTGACATATAAAGGGTTATTAAATTTCATATAAAGACAAGCAAGTCCTTTAAACAATAAGAGAAAATGAACATTTCAATTGAAAAAGGGGATGAGTCTAGGAACAGGCACTTTTCTGTAGAAGAAATATTAATGAAAATGTTAAATTGTATTCAAAACGGATATTATTAAAATAAGTGCAAAACCACTCTTCTCATCAGATTGACAAAAGTTGAAATAAATGATGATAACCAGAGTTGGGAGATTTTAGGGAAAAGGTGATTGCTTATTCTGCTGGGTAAAAGCAATTGACACCACCTTTCTGAAAGACAGTGTGGCGAGATGAATCAAAACCCATTTTAGAAAAGAAATCAGCTCTGACTAAGAAATTCTAATCTAGGAATTAAAAAAGTGTATATTGGCCATCGTTGCAGTATTCTTTCAAGTATTAACATCTCATCAAAATAATGCAGATACACATCTTCAAAAATTGTATGCTGTAAGTGCATACTAACAAAAATGCAGCAGTTCTATGCTTCAACACTACATCCCAATTCCCTTTTCTTGGAGGCAATTTAAAGTATTTTTCATTTGTATCCTTATGTTGATACTTGTTTGTTTTACAGCTTTAGCTATTCTCCATTAGACACATAATACGGGAGGTGAGGCTTGTTCCTCTTTCATGCCACTCACACCTGTGCCTTTCCCCCTACCTTTAGCCTCCCAATGCAGTCAGATACATTTACCAGTACAATTAATACTTAGATTTTATATTTCATGACAATGTAAATATTTTTCTTAGCCCTAGTCATGTGGTTTATTATGATTACATTTTCTTTTTGATACTACTTTTTATTTCTGTGAAATTATTAATTGCCTTATTTATAAAATTTGCTTTATATTTTATGTGCCATCATTCATTCCTTTCCAAACTCTACATCAACAATGTAAATTTTGTGTCAACATATTCATACATATCAGTTCTTGACTGGTTTTATTCCTCCAGCACAGCCCCATGTGGTCTAATGTCTTCCCGCCGCAATCTGGACTAATTTTCCTCTATGCTTTCAGCACAGCTGAAATATCCCTTTCTGAGATACCCCTTCGCCATCTCCTTGATAACTCCCATAGCTTTTATCCCGTGTTGAAAGTGCTCTCTCCTGATCCCATATCTAACGCTCTCTTTGTTGATTTCCTCCTTTTACAGCAGGGTTCGGTAAACTATAGCCCTGGAGCCAAATCCAGCCTGACATCTGATTTTGTAAATAAAGTTTTATTGTAGACATGCTTCTTCATTCCGTGTACTCTGTGAAAGGCGCCATGCCACAGTGGCAGAGGCGATGACGTATTCACTGTTTTGCCCTTTACAGAAAAAGTTTGCTGACCCTAGAGAGGTAAGATGATAAAGAATGGAGAGGCAGCCTATATGTAAGGGTGTTTCTGAAGGAGTGGCCGGAAGAATGTAAACACAAGCAACAAATATAGGCTTAATGGAAGGAAGATTTTCTGAAATGAAGGATGACATATGTGAAGCTCTTACTAATTTGAGATGCAAATTGTGTCTTCCAGCACAGGCCATCTGAATAATAAACAATCCCCATTCAGTGAGTTCACATAAAGTTTTTCCCTGAGTCCTGGGAAGCCCACCACATGACTGGATGACTCTCTAGGGTAGAGGTCCTGTCCTCTGTGGGTTGGCTCAGGATTTGAGGTGCATTGCTTTTATGGACTTGCACATCAATGCCTGCTTGCCTGATTGTCACGGAAGGGGAAGAGAGTGCTGGAAATTTGAGCACTGGTCCTTAAATTGTTCCCCTGGAAGTGCGACTGTCACTTCCACTCATATTTTATTAGCCAAGCAGATCATCAAGGAGCTGAAAAGCACAAGTCTTCTGTTTGTCCAGAGATAAAGGGGAAACAGATGTTCTGCGATAGCAATACCCGCCACATTTATCTAGGACAAATCCTACCATGTGCAGGACAGGAGAGAAAAGAAAGTTATTTCCTTTAAGTCTCATTGGCTTCAGAGCTTTCTGCTGCAACACCAAACATCAGAAGACAACAAATCAATTTCTACAGAGAACAAGGAGCAGCATCATCCAAGGCTCTTAAGTCTCACTATTATCCTTCCTCTGTGAAGACAACCAGATGGTGTTACACATGATAGAAACTAATGTCCTTCTTGGAAAGAAATAATTTGAATATTTACTTCAATCCACTGGTAGTTACATTTTTTTAAAGGGCCGACAAATGGTGGTAGTAAGTACTGGGACAAGTCCAAAGTTTAAATAATTATTGCATTCTGGTTTAAAAGGTGACCAAAAGTGGTGTCTTTATCAAATAATATTTTGTAATTGCTTGTTGTTTGTTCATATGTATGCAACTAATTTTTGTGTATGAATCTTATATATATCTAAATTAACAATCTCTCCTATTATTTCTAATAATTTTCATTTATGATATGTATGTATTTAGTTGTAATATAAATTAATAAATTTATATCAATGTAATTAGCATAAATTAAAACATGCATAAAATGTTAAATATTTTACAAGAACATATTTATATTTTAGTATGTGCACGTATAAAATATATAACATGAACAAATACTGAAGAGTAAGAATGTCCATCCAGAAAGGTGAAAAAATGTAAATCAAATGTAATTAATAAATATGCTGCTAGAAAAATATTTGTAAAAGGAATGCATCTATATATTTTTAGGAATGAAAAACTAGTGGAAATTACAAAAATAAAGTATATGAGAAAACCTATGAATTAATATATTTCTATAATTACATAATAATCGAAATATTAATTAGTTGGTGTATTCGTTTTCCAAGTCTACTGTGACAAATGATCACAAACTGGGTGCCTTAGCAGAAGTTTATCCTATCATAGCCTGGAGGCCAGAAGTCTGTGATCAAGGTGTTGGCAGGGCTGCACAGTCCCCATGGTTCTAGAGGAGAATCCATGCCTTGTTTCTTCCAGCTTCCGAAAACTCAAGCATATTAGCTGAAAACCAAGAGAACAAAAGGAGTTTCTTCATTCATTCCTACAATTCATTCAACAAATGCTTATTGAGTCTGCCATTCCAGACACAGGGAATAGATGGAGAGCTCGGGCACGTTTCCTTCACTCTTGGAGCTTATATTCATATTCAGAGAAGGGTGTTTGGTAGGATGGAGAAGGCAGACAGGAGACAGAAAATTAATAAGCAGGTAAAGAAAACCTAATAAACTTATAATAAAAGTAAACCCTATGCAGAAATAGAGTAATGTGATAGTCAATTTTAAGTTAAACATTTCGAATAAACGATAATCCATTATAACAAAAATAACCATTTCAGACATAGAAATATTTGATAGAATTTACCAGTGAAGTCATCTTGGCCTCCAACTTCAAGAGAAATATAGTCTTTAGCAAGACAAAATGCCATAAATATTTAAGAAAAAGCTAATATTGAACTTAAACTCTTTAAGAAAACTAGAAACATATCTCAATTCATTTTATAAGGCTCAAATCAGCCTGATACAAAAGGCAGGAAAAGGAATTAGAAGAAAGGAAAATGATAGACCAATGTCCCTCATGAACATCCTGAACACAGTATTCGTGTACTGAATTTAGCAGTATATAAAAAAGGTAATACACATGGCCAGATGGGGTTTATCCCAGGAACTCCAGGTTGGATTAACATTTGAAAAATCAATCAGTGTAATTCATGATATTAAAAAGAAAACAAAATATAAGGTCATATCAAAAAATGTAGGAAAACATTAGAAAAATTAGAACTATAAGCAAACTAGGAAAATAAAGGAACTTCCTTTTCCTAATAAAGGGTATCTGCAAAATACCTATAGTCAGAGTTACCTTTTATGATGAAAGACCCCATCATTTCCATCTAAGTTAGGAGAAAAGGCAGGGCTATCTCTCTCAGCACTTTTCTTTAATATTGTTCTGGAGATTTAATTACTTGATAAGGCAATAAAGGGAAACAAAGGGCATACATATTGTAAAGAAGAAGGAACATTGTCTTTATTCATAGACAACATGATTGTATACACATTAAATCCTAAGCGATCTACACAAAAAGCTATAACAGCCAATACTGAAATTTAGCAGTGTTTCAGGGTACAAGGTCAATATAGAAAACTCAAATGGACTATCTATATAATTGCAGTGTACCATAGACAAATGAAAACTTTTAAAATGACACCTAAAACAACATCCTAAACCATTAAATGCTTAGGGATGAATTTAACAAAATATGTGCAAGACCTATACATTCAAAACTATAAAATATTGATGAGATAAATTAAATTAAAATCTTTATTTAGTCTAGGGTGTTAAGGGTAAGACTAGAAGAGCTGTTTCTGTCGGTTCACACACATATAAGAAAATTTCTACTTAATTTTGAGCTACAATTTACTTAAATACATATATCCACGTATCAATCATCATTATCAAGATATAGAATGTTTGCATTACACCAGGAAGATAAGATAAATTAAAGAAAATCTAAATAAATGGAGAGAAATACCATGTTCCTGAACTAGGAGACTCAATATTGTTAAGATGTTAATTCTTGTCAAACTGATGTATAAACTCAATACTAGGTTACGTCACAGACACAAACCTAGTAGGCATTTTTGTTGAAATTGACAAGAGGACTCTGAAACTTACATGCACAGGGCACAGAGTAGCCAAAACAATGGGAAAAAGAAGTACAAAGCTGGATAACTCACCTCTGATTTCAGGACTTACTATAAAATTACAGTAATGAAGACAGTGTGCTACTGTAGTAAGGACAGACAGTTAAATAAATAGAACAGATTAGATAGTCCAGAAATAGACCCACACATATACGGGCAACTGATTTTTAACAAAGCCACCAAAGCAATTCAACGGACAAAAGCAAAGTGTTTTCAACAAGTGGTGCTAGGACAACTAGTTATCCATACAGAAAACTTAATTCTAAATGAATTATAGTCATAAATGTGAAAGTTCAAACTAGAAAACTTTTAGATAAAAACACTGGATGGCCGAGCATGGTGGCTCAAGCCTGTAATCCCAGCACTTTGAGAGGCTGAGGCGGGCGGATCATGAGGTCAGAAGTTCAAGACCAGCCTGGCCAACATAGTGAAACCCCATCTCTACTAAAAATACAAAAAATTAGCCCGGTGTGGTGGTGTGCGCCTGTAATCCCAGCTACTCAGGAGGCTGAGGCAAGAGTATCATATGAGCCCGGGAGGCAG
This sequence comes from Homo sapiens, assembly GCF_000001405.40. Lineage (NCBI taxonomy): Eukaryota > Metazoa > Chordata > Mammalia > Primates > Hominidae > Homo > Homo sapiens. Next base: position 41,322,330 of record NC_000006.12, on the reverse strand, counting down.
AGGTTGCAGTGAGCTGCGCCATTGCACTCCAGCCTGGGCGACTGTGCGAGACAGCGTCTCAAAACAAACAAACACACAAACACAAAACAAAACAAAACAAACAAACGAAAACACTGGAGAAGATCTTTGCCTGTAACAAATTTTCATATACATGGAATCATACAGTGCAGATTATTTTATATGTGTCATCTTTTGCTTGGTCTAAGGTTTTGGAGATTAATTCATGTTGTTGGTGTATCATAGACCATTCCTTTTTACTGCTGAGTAATATACCATCGTGTGATGTGCTGCTATCTGTTTATCTGTTCACGTGTTGAAAGACATTTGGGAGAAGTGTATTAATTGTAAAGGCATGTGAAAGAACTTCCTGGTGTAATGCAAACATTCTGTATCTTGATAATGATGATTGATATATGGATATATGTATTTAAGTAAATTGTAGCTCAACACATTGAGTAGAAATTTTCCCATATGTGTGCGAACCGAAACAGCTCTTCTAGTCTTACCCTCAACACCCTAGACCAAATAAAGATTCTCTGAGCTGGAGGAGAAGAAAGAGAGGAGTTGAATGAAGTAAGAAGAGTGGACTTAAGGCCTGGGCTGGTGTGCACCTGTCTCCTGTCCCCAAGATCAGGCCAGGGCCCCAGTGAAATGTCAGGATCTGATAATAGCTGGTATCGTTTCCTTATTTCCTGAAACATGTCCTTGGGAGGTGGGGAATTTTACTCTCCCACCCACACTGGCATGGTAAAAATTATAAAAAATAAATTCATGGGTTTCTTAAGCAAGGGATAGAGATCCCAAAGTCATAACTCCTGAAATGCAAAACCTGGAAGTTTTTTCTTGTGTCTAAGAGTGAAGATGATCAGGTGGTGACAGTCACGGCTGGCCTGGTGGGGTCTGGAGGCTGGGTGAGGGGAGACACCAGCAGGTGAAGCACGGGCTCCGTGACCTGGGCCTAGAGGGGACCGCATACCTTAGCAGATGGCAGCCTGGAGAGGGAAATGAGCATGAGAGAGGAGTGGAGAGCCTCACCTGGTATTAAGCTAAATATGCAAGAATGATGGATCCTTATCCTGTGTGTGTTGGACTTGTTTTCACAACCTCATTGCCAAGGAGCTACAAGTGTAGCACACTTGCAGAGTCAAAGTAAAGGGCAAGTTCAGCTCAAAAAATGATTACCTGGGGCTGGGCGCAGTGGCTCACACCTGTAATCCCAGCACTTTGGGAGGCCGAGGCGGGTGGATCACCAGAGGTCAGAGGTTCGAGACCAGCCTGATCAACATGGTGAAACCCCGTCTCTACTAAAAATACAAAAATTAGCTGGGCATGGTGGTGCATGCCTGTAATCCCAGCTACTTGGGAGGCTGAGGCGGGAGAATCACTTGAACCCACAAGGCAGAGGTTGCAGTGAGCTGAGATTGTACCACTGCACTCTAGCCTGGGTGACAGAGTGAGATTTTGTCTAAAAAAAAAAAAAAAGATTGCCTGGGTTTCCCCAAACAATGCTTTAAACCCTTATGATGATTGTAAGGAACATGGCTGAGCTGCAGCCACATAGGCATAGGCTGAGGTAAACATCCCGCATGACTCAGCGGGACTGTAGCACAGGCACACAGTCTGGTGTATAATGTAAACACAGCTATGTAGCCATAACATGGAGAGGCTCATCGCCTGGCTTGGAGCCACTATTGTTTGTGAGGTGCATAAATGCAGCACCGACAGTGTGAGTGAGCTGCTGAATAAAGCCATGTCTCATCTACCTGCTGTCTCTTGAGTATTCTTCCAGCTCCCTGCCCTCCTGTCCACCTGCTCCCTTGGACCTCGGCTGGGGCTCAAACCTAACAATGATCAAAATGGAAAAAAAATATAAAGAAAAATTCTAAACTTAAAGATGCAAGGTAATTTTATTTGCTTCTTGTAGAATATTGTAAAATTTTGACAGCTATGAAATCTGAGACAATGGTGCTAGAATCATATGATGTCTGTCCCAAATTTGTGTAGAACTTGAAAGTGACAAAGAACTTTCAAATCCATTGTCACAGACCCTCCAGATCTTTTCCTTTGTCACCAAACCCTCCAGATCTTTTTCGGCCTCCTCTGCCTGATCTTCATCTCCTTCCACCTAGATGACAGCAAGAGCCCCCACCAGGCTCCTTCACTCACAGGTTTCACCTGCAATGTGGGTTGCACCTGCTGCACCTGGCCCTGACCCCGGAGGACACAGAATTAGTGCTACACTGTAGAGGACATGTGGAGGAGTGCAAAGAGCTCTGACTCAATCAAGGCCCCACTCTGATTAGCTTGATTGCACACACATGTGTGCATGTATGTGCTAGTGTGTATGTCCAGGGAGTGGTAGGAGGTATTGGGAAAGGAACTCAGGCCTATTGAGCTCTGAGACACTCACCCTTGAGTGTTTTCCTGAGCTGGTGGGAACCTCTGCAGGAGACCCAGGGCAGAGGGCCCCAGGCAGGAAGACCCAAGGGGAAAAAAAACCCACAAAAAACAAAAACAAAAAACATCTAAAAGAAGGCCACTGAAGTTTATCCAGAGCTATTCACCTCAGAGATTTCATAGGAGAGAATCTGCATTTTACAGACAGGGAACCTGAGTTCCCTCGAGGGTGTAGCATGCTGAGACGGTCAGTGGGCAGGTAGAATGCCCTCCTGGGACCCTTGTGGGCTCAGCTTCTTCCAGATTCTTCTCATGTGCTAAATCTTGGTTCCAAGGAAAGAAGTTACAGGTATTCCCTAGAAGAGTAAACAGAATAGATTCTAGAAGCAATTGGGGACCCCCCAGGGCTGTTTCCTCTAACAGGGCCACAGACTACTCCGTTCCCTGACGGCGACTTCCGGTCTCACATTTCCTGGACACCTCCCAGAGCCCTGTTCCCGCATAGCGATGAGACCCAGGCTCCTCCCAGAAAAGGCAACCCTTCTCAGGATTGGGGACCACGGACTGATTGGGGACCTTCCTCTGGAGCTTCTATTCCTGGGGATTCAACCTGGGCTCCCCACAGGACTGAAGGCCCACTTACACAGCACTGTCTGCAGCCTTGCGGGGTCTGAGACTCGCTATGCGTGGAGGCCGAGAAACGTGGACTCCACCTTCACTGTCTGCTGGTTAGGGAGGACTCCCCTGTCACACGGCAAAGAGAAAGTCAGAAGGGCCACAAAGAATAGAGTGTGCGAAGGTGTTCTGGCGACACTGCAGAGAGGAGACCAGGGAAGAATCAGAGAAACTGCAGGTGGCTGAAGATGCGCGCACGCGTGTGCACGCTGGCTGCAATAGCAGCCTCTGGCCAGCAGGGGGCAGGGGCAGCCTGTCCATCACCCCGGAGCGTAATCAGACGGCTCAACTCGGCTGTGCGCCCTTGGAGGCACACTGAAGAGCCCTCTGAAGAGCCACGTACGCAGCACCCTGGCTCTGCTTCCTGTCCTCCAGGACAGCGGCACGTGCAGTGGAAGGAGTGCTGGGCTGGGCTCCTGATGCCACAAATTCACTGGGGGGAACCTTAAGGGAATCACAGGGGATAGTGGCGACCGCTTCACAAGCATATTGTGGAAATGAAATTAGACTAGTCATTCTCAGACTCCTCTGCATGCTGGGATCATCTAGGGAGCTTCAGAAATGCAGATGCCGGATTCCACCCCAGTGCGCCTAATTTAATTGGTCCGGGTGTGGCCTGGGCTTTGGCATTTTAAAAATATTCCTCAGGTAATTCTAAGGTGCGGAGAAGTTTGGGAATTCCAGGGTCAGATACTCCTGTGACCAGCCACTGTAAACTCTAAGTTGCAAACTTGCTTTTACTCGTTTGCCTGAGGTCCCTTCTTTTCTACCTTGTTTCCGTATAATTGAAATTCGATCCCATCTGCTAGCTCATGTGTAACCTCTTCAGAATGGAAAATGCAGATCTGTCTCACGGTCTGAACTCAAACCATTCAAACATTTACTCCCACGAACTGTAGAAAGTTTGCCCAAAATTCACGATCTGATTAAAAAAATCCACTATGACAAACGTCTGCAAGCACCAAGGAAGACAGTCAAGGTGCAATGAGTGCAGGAGAGAGTGGAGGGTCCGTGGCTGTGGTGCCTCTGACGTTCCCCATTGGAAAGGGTTCTGGGGTTCTCACTGTTTAGTTCTGTCAGGCACCTGGGGGCACGACAAACTCAGGTCTAATTTAGATAAAATTCTAGCTTTAACTCAGTATTCCATGGTTATTTACATCACACTCCATGTTCATTACAGTGTAGAAGGGAAATATAATTTGTGTACAATACCACGTGTGCTGCACACGAACTCATGCACTAACAAGACTGTTCAACGTGAAATAATGTGGTATTTGGCATTTGGGGGATTACTGTTGTGCGTACTTTTTGGAGCATGTTATAGAAGATGTAAGAGGTTGCAGTAATAAGTGGGGACATTGGTTGGGGGTAGATGGCCTGGGAACACTTTACTCTGGCTCCTATGTGTGGTAATTAATTCAGACTCATGCTAGCTGAACATCGCCATATGCCACACACTGGCATGGACACAACCTTACCCCTAGAACTGGCCATGCCATATAGGTCTTTTTGACCTCAAACCAACTTTGGGAGTGTCCAAAAGGGTCCCTGGAATATCTCAAAAGAATTTATCTTCTCTTCTTGTAAAAACAGACATGTTAAACTAGTGAGGCTTATTTGATATGTTAAATTGCATGAGAAGCAATGTCAAATAATGGGTGATGCTAAACCTTCTTTAAGTTATGTTTGTTATTGATGAGTGTTCCAGAAATTATGTCAAATTCCTAGAAATCTGATATGTACTAGTATAATGTTATCATCCATAATTTTAATTATTATGTTAAAATGTCGTATGTTACCAAAGCAACCAAACTCCCTTGTCAGTTGCATGACACAGAATTGTAAGAGATTCATGATAAAGGCTGATGAGTACAGGTTTCTGATAATTTTAAGCTCATACTATAAGGCTAGGTAAGAATTTCCAGACCTCTAATGGAAAAGTAATGTATTTATAAATCTGCTAACCCAAGATCAAGCAAAACAAAAATTAATTATGTGAGACTAAATTAACTGATGAGAATAATTATAATTTTTATAACTTTTCGTTTGAAACATTGCTGGTTCTTTAATGTCTTGCTTTCTAGATTTAGGAAAACTTTTTTCTATAACTTAAAACAATTTGATAAAATATACTTTTGTAAACAAAAAGAAAACGTTTTTTTCCTCCCTACCTGATCACCCCATAATTTGGAAGCACTTATTGAATATTCTTATTTTCATGGCAATATAGGTATTTGCATAGGTTCAATAAGAATCTGTTCTTATAACAAGACATAATTGGGTAAGTCCTTAACTTGGCCTCCTAGCCTAGAGAGGTTTTTAAAGGTCTAATCTGAGATTCCTTGTTAACAAATAGTAAAACAAACAATAAAATGAACAAATAACTAAGATTGACTTATACAAAGTCAATAAAGCCCCTTGGATATTATCAAAACTTTGACAAAATGATGTATTTTAAAAATATGCATACATAGAATCACTTTTCTTGTTGCACTTATGTAAATAATCAGATCAAGTTTAATGAGACTACTGATTTTGCACAAAAAGAAGAGTTAACCATGATTATTTTTGGAAAAATTTGGAATGACCATAAAAAAGATTGTATTTCAATAGAAAACTATAGCACCCATCATCAAATTCTGGTCTTTGTTATGTCCTTGTAAATTGGATTGAATCCTAACATTTTCTAGTTTCACTAGAAACTAAAACTGCTTTTTTCCGAAGCCCTGCCAGCTGAAATTGGATGACTTTAAATTCAGAAAAATTACTACAACAGACCATGTATGGAAAATTTTCATGCTGCTGCTGTGTGGGTCACTTGGAGAATTCACTGGAACACCTGATGATATTTCCAGAGACATTCAAACTGCAAGCCAGGAAAATCCATCAGGTTGCAATTGCCATCCTCATTCCATCATCTAAAAATGCTTCAAACTCAAATTTAGAAATCTTGACAGGCTGCTCTCTGGACTTAAAGACTAAGATCATAATTTGTTCCTAATGTTAACCTTTTTTTTTTCTTTTGTTTTTATAGAATGCTACCTTGAATTCCCTTCAAGCAATACTATCTGAAATAAACAATTTAACCTCAATAGTACTCCAAAATAGAAGTCCTTGATACCTTAGCAACTTAACAAGGAGGCTCTTATTTGTAAAAAAAAATATTGTTTCTATATTAATAAATTAGAAATTGTTGAGCCCAATTTAAAGGATCTTAAGGAACAAATATGTCTTTTATCAGACAGGTGTTGCCTCCTCCACTGATTTATTTTATTGGTGAAATATTGGCTCCTGGGAATCTGTGCTCCAGGGAATTTAAAAATCCTTGGCTATTATTCTCTCTGTAGTCATTTTGTTTACCATCCTACTATATCTTATCCTCTCAAGGATTTCAAAGCTTTCCAGAAGGCACTCACACATCAAATGATTGCCATCATCATTAATTGACTTGAAGAACTCAACAACCCTACCACTGAAGCCCATGATGCAGGTAATGATGCCATGTAATCTTATATCCCAATACAACTGTTGAGGATAAGATTACATGACTCTTTGTTCCAGTGACTATTTCACTAGTGGTAACTGAGAGGAATGCTACCACCTTCTTCTTAGCTTGCTGAGAGGGTGACCCAACGCGGTGGGATTGTTAAAGTAAATTAAAATGGAGACCAGACCTGAAGAATCCCAGAGGGGACAAAAGAAGTTATGATTTGTAAGTGACCTAAACCTTGCTTGATTTGCAAACATAACCAAACTTAACTTGAGCTATTTCTTGTGAATGCCTATATATATCTATATCTATATATATATTTTTAAAAGCAGAACTTAAGCTCAACCAATCAGAAGTTACTATTTATACAAACTTAGATAACGAGGGGCTTTCCAAGTTGAGAGACCAAAAAAAGCAATTGTATAACAGTAACCAATTAAATACTTTGCTTTACTTCTGTGTCTGTCTTATAAAAGTCTCCTCTTTGTGTTCCTCAGTGGAGCTCCCAAACTATTTCTGGTTCGGAGCTGCTCAGTTCATAAATTGTTCATGCTAAAAAAAACTCACCAAAACTCTTTAAAATTTTACTGTGCCTCAGTTTATCTTTTTAACAGTTCAAAAAAGATTAAAATAAATGATAATTATATTCTGTCCTGGAGAAGTAGGGAAAAAGTCATTCTTATGCATTGTTGGAAGGGAATAATTGATAGCCTTTTCTTGGAGAGCAGTGGTGTAATGAATTAAAAGTCAGAACAAGAAAAAACAAACAAACAAAAGCACATGTTTTGGAACCAGCATTTCTAAGTTTTGTTTTTTTTTTTCTCAGCAAGTATTTTGTTGAGCATCTTCCTAAAAAGTCATGCCTGCAGCCTTTTTTTGCCCTGTATGGATGCACTGCCTCCACCAGTTGGTACACAGCTGTCTCTTCCTCATGTTTCTGGGGCTTCTCTTTGTCTCCTCTACAACGTTTTCTTGATTCTTGGATCTTTGTTTACTCCTTTGTACTGGTGGAACCCATCCTTGAGTAACTACGGGAGAAAGGGGGAATGGAAAATACATTTTGACAACTTTTATATTTAAAAATGCCTGTTTTACCATGACAGTTTGACTGATATAAAAAATTCTGAGTTGGAAACAATTTGTCCTCAGGATTTTGAAGGCATTGCTATGTTACCTTCTTGCTCCTATTGTTGTTGAAAAGTCAGGAGCAATTATGATAACTATGGCAATATGTGATCTGTTGTCTTCACTTTATCAGCGTTTTCTTTTTGTTCTCGGTGTCCTGGAATGTCACAGGGATGAGCCTTGGAGTGTGTCTATTTCCATCCCTTTGCTCCGCACAGTGAGTGGCCTTTTCGATCTAGAAATTCACAGGAAAATTTCTTGAATTAGTTCATGCATGATTTTCCCCTCTCTGTTTTCTATGTTCTGTCTTTCTAGAACTCCTTTTATTCAAGCATTCACCTCCTGGATCAGTTGTCTTTTTCTTTTTTTTTCTCTCCCATTTCTCTGTTGTTCTCATTCTCTCTCTGCCTCCCTCTGTTTTGGAAACAGCCCTTGGAGAAAAAGTTTTCTGTTTTTATTTATGGTTCCTTAGGTGGTCTCTGTTTCTTCCCAGTTGCCTTCACTATTCTCTGTTTAGTTTCTTTCTTCTCTTTCACTTGAGAGCTTTTTCTCAGGCCTGGGTAACAAAATTCTAAAGATAATTGGATGCTGTGAGCCCACAGTGGGGCTGGTGCCCTGGGAGTTTCACAGGAGGGTGACTCCTTGGCCATTTGCTTGAGGAAGTGCCTTGTCAATATCATTCAGCCTTCTCTCTTGGGCTGCTCAGGATCCCCAGGGAAGACTCACCCCATCTCTTGTCTGGAGGAAGAAGATCTGGCTGCCAACTTTCTGGAATCCAAATAGGAGAAGAGGGCTGGAGTGTTTCTCAGCTTCTGGTACATGTTCTTCACATAATCCCATGGTTTTCAGGACATTGTCACCATCCTCACCTATACCTATTGCCCACCCCTTCCCTACCACACACAGAAACCCAGCCTTCTTTGCAACCTCTCTAAGGCATTCATTCCCAGTTGTCTGCCAAGGTGGGTCAAGGTCGCTCATCTACAGAAAGTGGCAAGGGGATCTGGGTTCCTCATTGCTTCTTAAACAACTTTCTACCATTTCTTCTTAATCGGACTCCCCTAAACCACCTCCACTTTCTCAGCCATCTTGGCAATACTGTTGTGTAAATAAGACTTGACTTCTGCCTTCCTCAACTCTGATGAAAGGTTCTGTTTTCTCACTTCTAAGTCATTTCCCACTTACTTATATATTTTTTTCAGCTCCCCAAATTTTCTTGCTATTTTACCTTCTAGTTTCCCTCGTTCCTATGTTTCCTGCATTTCTTTATGTTCATTTTTGTGGGTTTTAGGAGCGAACAGAAATAAAGGTGTATGTTCCATCTGCCATCTTTCCCTGAGAATCTGAACGATGATCTTAGATTACAGAATCTATGATCATAAATAAAAATGGGCTGATAACCCATTATTCTTATTTGGTCCTTGTGTGGTTTTGGTATTAATATTGTTCTAGCCACAGAAATTATATGAGCAGCTTCTCCCCTCTTTTCTATTTCCTGGAATAAATTGTATGAATTAAGAAATATCTATACCTTGAAAATTCTTCTGTGCCTGAAGTTGCCCTCCCCTCACCTCTCTAGCAGCTGAGATGGTTATATGACTGGATGTTGATTTTTGAATTGTTGTTGCTCTAGTCAAGCTTTTAATCTCAACACCAATTTTAATATTTTATATCTTCCAGAAATGTATCCATTTTATTTAAGTTATTCAATTTATTAGTGTATGATTATTCATAGTATTGTTATTGTGAAAGTCTCTTTTGGGTGTTCAGGTATTTCTCATTTGTTCTCTTTTCTTTTCTTTTTTTCTTTTGAGACAGAGTCTCACTCTGTTGCCTAGGCTGGAGTGCAGTGGCGCAATCTTGGCTCACTGTAACCTCCCCTGTCTCTTGGGTTCAAGCAATTCTCCCACCTCAGCCTCCTGAGTAGCTGGGATTGCAGGCGTGCATCACCAGGCCTGGCTGATTTTTTGTGTTTTTAGTAGCGACAGGGTTTCACCATGTTGGCCAGGCTGGTCTCAAATTCCTGACCTCAAGTGATCCACCCACCTCGGCCTCCCAAAGTGCTGGGATTACAGGCGTGAGCCAATGTGCCTGGCCTGTTCTCTTTATTTTCTCTTTGCACTTTTAAACTTGTCTCTTGATTAGTCTTTCTACAGATTTGTATATCTTGTTCTTTTTTTTTTTTTCAAGGGCAGTATTTTATTTTGTTTCTTCTTCACTCCCTCTTCTCTCTTTCACACATATATTTCTCTATTTATTTGATTTCTGCCTATCTTAACTAAGATAATCTTAGCTCCTTTAACAGTATAGTTCCAAATCTCAGAGAGTAAAAGTTGATTTCTTACTCGTCTAATGGATGGTGACTCCGCAGGACCATTCAGGGGCCCAGGCTTTCTGTCCTGTGGCTCTGCTGACCTCCAGGTCTTCAGAGTTCTTTGCCTCCAGGAGTGGATGAGAAAAGAGAAAGTATGGCACATGGGTGTGTTTATAGGCCAGGTCTGGAACAGTGCCCATCACTTCTGCCCTCACTGCATGGGCTAAGATGGGTCTACCTGAGCATCTAGGAAGAGAAGAAAATAGGTATTTGTGAGCACCTTGTAGCTCTGCCTCTCTGCCTTCATTTCTGTCTTTTCTGCTGCTTGGCTGCAAAGCTGCACATGTGCTGGGCAGGACTCAGGGAGGCTGAGTAGGAGGAGCTACAGGCAGGTGCTGCCCATGTCAACAAGGTGAGTTGAGCAACAATGCACCTGAGAGACCCTAGCACCTACACTAACCTTCAGAACATCGCACCTGCCACTTCACCTCTGCCTTCCAAATCTCATGAAAGTTTCTCTTGCAAACCCAACACAGAGCCATAGAGGTAAGTGGATCCTCAGAAATGCAGTTCCAGCTTATCTGAGTTGCTGTAGCACAAACCCTGTGCACCTTCTCTCTCTCCACCACCCTTTCCCTCTGTAGCAGTTGTCCCCATGTGACGTATGGCTCACTTTTTTGTCTCCATCCTTCCATGAGAATGGAAGCTCTATGAGGACAGGGTCTTCGTTTACCTTGTATTCCCATATCCCCAGTCCTAGAACAGTGCTTGATGTATAGCAGTAGGTAATAAGTATTTCCTAAATTGGAATTAGTTGAGTATTTATTTAGTGTGTACCAGGCTCTGCTGTAAGTGCTTTGAAAGGGTTAGTTCATTTAATCTTCAAAACACCCAATGAGGGAGCCACTAAACACTTAGAACTGAGAAATGGAGACTTAGAGAAGCTTTGTAAATCACTCAACTCAGGCAGCTCATAAGAGGCCGAGTTGGATTATAAATGCAAGCAAGGGACTCCACAGCAATGGCACTGTGATTTAGGTGTCATGAAAACTACGGTAGAAGTGTAAATGAATCTATATATTTCTTTCCTCATTTTATTCATTTATTTTTAATACAGCCATGTCATACAGAAAATAATATATATTTTTTGAGACAGGGTCTTGCTTTGTTGCCCAGGCTGGAGTGCAGTGGCACAATCACAGTTCACTGCAGCCTTGACTTTCTGGGTTCAGCTGATCCTCCCACCTCAGCCTCCTGAGTAGCTGGGACTACAGGCATGTGTCACCTTGCTTGACTAATTTTTAATTTTTTTTTTTGTAAAGATGGAGTCTCCCTATGTTGCCCAGGCTGGCCTCAAATTCCTGAGCTCAAGTGATCCTCCTGCCTCGGCCTCCCAAAGTGCTGGGATACAGGTATGACTCACTGTACCTGGCCCAGAAAATAATTTTTTTAACCCCAAAAAAGGCTAGACCACTCAACAAGGGTTAATGAAGTCTGATAACTTGCATATGTTATACTAAAAGTTGGATAAGTACTTAGTGTAAGTAGAAAAATAAGTAAAAACTAGTTCAAAATGTATTTGTGGGCACTCCTTAAAATTATATCCAATAGAAAAAGATACCTAAGGGATTGAAAAAATCTTTAGAAGAGCTATACCCGTAGTATTTTGTATGAAACCATTCCACTTGGTAAATAGGTTTCCCAGAAACATTTCTCAATAGGCAAACTGATCCTGAAGGGAATGGGAAGTTGACTTTTGCTAAACTACTCTGCTCTGGTGAGCTCTCTAGAGGCTATGTGACTCCCAGGCCAGAATACTGGGGTCTGCTGCTTCCCCCCACCACTCCTGGGACTGGAGGTACCTGAGAAAAGGAGAGCCCAAGGGTCTTGGAAATTGGCTTGGAGAGCTCATATTCTATCCCGTGAGGGTGGCTTGACCTTATGGGACACTCACCAAGGTGGAGCTGAGCCTAGAGGATGGCTGTGACCTTCTCAAGGGTCCATCTTCCCAGTGACCAGAGAGCATGGCCTGCCAGAGGCACTGCCTGCAGGCCCTGGAGACCACTGACAGATCCTTTATTGGCTTCCCTGGTCCGTTGTTGTCAAGAACCCTGGAGGTTACCATCCTGCTGCCCTAGGACCACCAGCGTGTTCTTGGGGAGCTCACAAACATCCCTCTCTCGTTGAAAATGGATTTTTCCTTCTGTTTTACAGAGGACCCCACAAACTCAGCTCACTCACTGTGGACTTTAATCAATGTTATGTTTGGAGCATTGGGGGTAAGAATACTCAGACACACTCACATATACACATGCATGCTAACCCACATACACGCACACACATAGGTACACAAATGCACATGCATACCTGTGAGCTATACGTGAAGGCACATTCCTGCACACACACACATAAACTCAGCTTCATTTAGGAACATATAATACTGCTATGTCCTTTGGTTTTCTCATGTCATATTCTCTTCCATTTCCATTTCTACATGTAGGGTTAAATCACACAACAGAACAAACACGTGTGGCTGACTTTTGCATGTTTGAGGCTGCAAGGCTGGAATGGATAGAGCATTCTTCAAAATCTTGACAGTTTTTTACTCTTTTGTAGGTCCCATGCTATTTTCTTAGAAAAGCATAAGAAGTGATAAGGTTGAGTGGTGGGTGGGTCAGTCCGTGGAGAAAGAATGCCATGCTGAGATAGAAACTTATTTTGGAGTCAGTGAGGTGTTATGGTAACTTGATTAAAGTTAAATGCATGTAAAAAACAATAGGATTTCCAGCTCCCAGTCTGGCAAGTAAGGAGCTTGAAAATTGTCACTCCATCCTAACAAGTAAAAGTTGATCAAGCTGAAAAATCAATAACTCTAGAGCCCCCCAAGCCTGCCCCTTCCCATCAAGCCTGCAATTTTCCTCTGACTCTGTTCCTGCTTCCTGATCTTCCTCTTTCCTGCTCTGTCTCTGTTCCTTTCTTTCAGCCCAGGGGTCCATGAACAAGGACAATAAGAGGAAATCCGTCTTCCTATGACCAGTGATCAATACTCTGGTCACTCTCTCCTGTGTCCTCAGGGTGCCTGGTGACAGTCCAGAGATCTCTCTGAGAAGACCAATCACAACAATGGCTCAGAGTATTCCTAACCCTTAACTCAGAATGGACTTGGTGGTGGGGGCTCTGGAAAGCCCTGGGCAGTCAGTCCTCAGTCCCGGGAGCAGTAGAAGCTCCTGAAATCAAATGGTCTCTGAGCATGACTTGCTTGGGCAGCTGTGAAATATGGAGCAAAACAATTAGGAGCATATAGAGGGGAATTCTTAGTGCACACTTTGGAATGATAGAAGTAACTGATGGTGACTGAAGCAGTGTCTCCAAGCCTGGGAAGACTAGTAGACAACTGCTTTGATATTCTTTCAGATGTCCTACAGTCTAAAGGAAAAAGAGAGAAGAGGCCCTGGTCCCACTCCCACCACCACTGGATGTAAATTTAAGCCTTGGTCATTCTAGACTTGAGGCATGGCTTCCAGACACGTGGATTCTTCAGATGAATAGCATTTCATGAAACATGTCACATTGCTGACATAGGCCAAATTTTTATTTTACCAGAAAAAAATTACTTTCATCTTCTAGGACCACTGTTTTTCCTAAAAGAAAAGACGTATTTAAATTGTGAACATTGCCTTGGTGGTAGAAGAACCACATCTTGCCCCTCTCTCTTCCTCGGTGCTGCCTATGGAGGTGGCAGCCATCTCTTCCTCGGCATCACGGCTGCCCTCAGGCCCCTTGTGAAGCCCAAGATCATCAAAAAGCGAACCAAGAAGTTCATATGGCACCAGTCTGACCCATACGTCAAATTAAGCCTAACTGGCGGAAACCCGGAGGTACTGACAACAGGGTTCGTAGAAGGTTCAAGGGCCAGATCTTGATGCCCAACGTTGGTTATGGGGCAACAAAAAAACAAAGCACATGCTGCCAAGTGGCTTCTGGAATTTCCTGGTCCACAACGTCAAGGAGCTGGAAGTACTGCTGATGCGCAGCAAATCTTACTGTGCTGAGATCGCTCACAATGTTTCCTCCAAGGACCACAAAGCCATTGTGGAAAGAGCTGCTCAGCTGGCCATCAGAGTCACCAACCCCAATGCCAAGCTGTGCAGCGAAGACAATGAGTACACAGTTCATGTTTTGTGTTTAAATAAAACTGGAAAAGCTGGAAAAAAAAAAAAAAAGAACCACATCTTGAGCTGGAGGAAACCTGAGGCCCTGAGAACTTCATGGAGCATGGACCCCATTCGTTCTTAGACAACACACCTCTGGATTTTTACTTGAAGCAGTTTTAAGCCCTGTTATTTGGAGTTTTTCTGTTCTTTATAGATGAACCTAACCCTAATACAACTCTCACTATTCAGAGTTTTGTCAGGTACACAATTTTAGTTTAACAGTGATTTTTCCTAAGCATTTTGGTGATATGATTTCACCACCTTCTGGCTTGTGTTGTTTCAGTTGACAAGTCTGCTATTTAAATTTCTTCATAAATGATTGGCTGCTTCCTCTTTGCTTTGTATTCTACAATTTCTCTACAATATGCCACGATGAGGATTTTTGTTTTTTGCTTATATTGCTTGGTTTATGATGATCTGTATTTGTGGTTTAATGACTTTTCAAACCTCCGGAAAATTCTCAGCCACTACATCATCACATACGGCCTCTGAAGTTCAGTTTATGTACCAGATGTAGGAAGCTCAAATGAGTGCAGCTCCCATTCGCACAAGAAGACAAAGCCAGGTAAACTGCAAAGCCATAACTTTTCCTGACCCTATTAGAGAGCTGCAGTTGCAAGGCACCCAAATCATCTAGAATCCAAGGCCACTCCAAAGAGAGTTGGGATATGAGCACCAGCTCACCTGTCTCACAGAAAGGAGGAAGAGCTATGGAATACCAAACAAGTGTCAAGAACAATTCAGCTAAGACTTTAACAAATTGTTAAAGGTCAGGTGCAGGCCAGCATGACCGTATAGTACTTCTGGGATCCCAGGACACAAAAGGAATGATCACAGTCACTTTTAATCTCTTTCCCGGGGACCTCCACCAGGTGCTTATGAGAAAGACTGAAGGTGGATTGAGCAATGAGAGATGGTCCCTCAGTGGTGAAAACATGGAGAAAGAGAGTGGAAAAATAGACTCTTATCCTCTATTAAACAAAAGCATCAAACCACTAAGGTAGGGATAACAAGCCCTGTCACCCCCAGAGAGGAGGTGAAGACCCATTGAAGCTAAGGATGTGGTGAGGAGAAAACTTTCTTGCTGCTGGAAAGCAAATGTGATGACTGGAGCTCCAGCAGTCATTTTGGAAGTCATGAACTGAGACGGTGGGACAGACAGAAGGAGCCAAAGTCCCTGATGCTTCAATGCCAGCCCTGAGGAGCCTATCACTGAACTTTTAAGTGAGAGGTAACAAACTACTCTTTTGCTTAAACCACTTTTACTGCAGTTTTCTGTTATACCAGCCTGCTAATTCTAACGGAATCAGAACAAGTCCTATGACCCATTTACAGAGGAATCTCACATCCTTGGGGCTTCCCTAGATCATAAACCCTGTATGTCCACCAAGATTCGGGTAGGCAGGAAGGCAACCTTGGGTTTCTGTGGGAAGAGCTCTTTGCAAACTCCAGCTGCTATTTAAGAAAGAAAAAAAGGAAATTATTTTAGGCACAAATTATTTTAGTGTGGAAGGTATTCCAAGGATAAAATTTTTGAATATTGAGATCTGAGCATAAGGTGTCTAAAAACTACTGTCCCCGCAGATCTCCTCCCAGGTAATCAGGCCTTAGGAAATTACAGGAGCGAAATCAGAGATAAACCAGGTGAGTTGCTCCCTCTGGTGGTGACTTTGGATTTATAAACGGTTGCGACCTGAGCGTTTTGCTGGTTGGTTTTGTTTTAGGACAAAAAAAAAAAAAAAAAAAAATCTGACTTTGGAAATTTTAAAACTAATTTTTTGTTTACCTTTGTCTTTAAAAAGTAACCTTGTGTAGGCCGGGCGTGGTGACTCACACCTGTAATCCCAGCACTTTGGAATGCCGAGGTGGGCGGAATGCTTGAGGTCAGGAGTTCAAGACCAGCCTGGCCAACGTGGTGAAACCCCGTCTCTACTAAAAACACACAAAAAATTAGCCGGGTGTGGTGGGGAGCGCCTGTAATCCCAGCTACTCACAGGAGGCTGAGGCACGAGAATCGCTTGAGCCAAAAAGGCGGAGGTTGCAGCGAGCCGAGACCTTGCCACCTCACTCCAGCCTGGGTGACGGAGTGAGACTCTGTCTCGAAAAAAAAAAGCAACTTTGCTTTCTTTTTTTTTTTTTTTTGTAATAGTGCACTTACTGTTGAATGAATGGCATTTTCCCCCTACAAAACTTAAATGGCTAAGGGTTTATGATAGAATTCTTTCATAATTTAAAAGTACCATGATTGAACTGATTATTGTGTAAGTAGCTGATGTCTGTATAATTGGGTCTTGTTGGCTGGGTGTGGTGGCTCAGGCCTGTAATCAGCACTTTGGGAGGCCGAGGTGGGCGGATCACATGAGGTCAGGAGTTGGAGAACATCCTGGCCAACATGGCGAAACCCCGTCTCTACTAAAAATACAAAAATTAGCTGGGCGTGGTGGTACATGGCTGTAATCCCAGCTATACTGGCTGTAATCTTGTCTATACTCTCCCTTTCATTTATCACATGGAATTCTCTCTAAAGTTATTAGGTACCCTCCCTAATCTCTCCCTGAGGCTAGAACAGAATTTTTTTTTTTCAGTTTACTGGTATGTTGTTAGGTAATACTAACAGGGAGAATACTCTGGATAAATACAATGTAAAATAAATGCCAAGATATTTGGGCTAAGAATGAAAAAGAATATGCATAGTTCTCATATCATTCCTGTGAGTTTCATACCTATGAATTTATTCATACCTATGAAACAAATCTATTGTGGGCATTATCTTATCAAACATTTGAACAAGATTTAATTATTGTACTTGTTAGACGGGGCTAGATTGTGCTGCAAGAATAACCTTCCCCCTCACTCTTCACCCTATCTCAATGGCTAGGCCAACGAAAATTTACTTCTCACTTATACCTCAATTCTGATGCAAATGGGCCACTAAAGCTCTGCGCATCAAAGACACTTTGGGATCCCACTGATAGAAACTTCGAAAACCACCATAGAGAGAAAGGAAACACAGGGCATTCTGTGATGTTTCTTAAAGCCTCGCACTAAGCGATATGTATTTCTGCTCAGAATTCACTGGCCAAAGCAAATCCCAAGGCCATACCTACCTGCAAAGGGTGCAAGGCAGTGCAAAGAAATGGGCAGGAATGAGAAGTGGCTGAAGATTTGTGAACAGCCCTAAAGTTACCATATTTTCAACAGAAGTATAATCAAAATATAGGATGGCAAGGTAATATATGATATACTGTTTGAAAATTTTTTAAAATGCTTTTGACAAGCAAGAAAAAAGCTCATGAAAGGGAGAAATCTAACTAATATGCTTTCATATCAAGATACAATAGAAAATGACAGAGTAAAGTTAAAGTTGAATTGGATACAACTGAAAGTGCACTTGAAGATTGTATATGCTATTTTTTGTTTTGTTTGGTTTGGTCTTTGCCATTAACTTGAATACCAATTTGCAGTTGTGTCAAAGTTAATAACCAACAATTTTGAAAGTCCACTTATAAATTTATGTTATATTCCACTTACATTACGAGAATTTCTATTGCTGTGAATAGTGAATGCAAAATGAGTTTGTTCAGTGGCGATTCCTGCTTATTAACATGCATTAAGTCATCACTTCAGGTGGACCTGAAGTGACATGAAAGACCTGAAGTGACATGAAAGGCTTACAAAGTACACTGCTCACTCTTCCCCACTCAGTTCATAATCTGGACTTGCAGAGCCAACTTCACTATCTTTCAGTGGCAAAATGCTACTATGAAGTAAGGACTAGTCACAAAAAACAAGTAAGATTAGTTAGCTAATAGAGCATGAATGCTCCTGAATTAAAAATCAACAAACATGGGCATCAGGAAGAGTTTATATAACCAAAATGAAATTTAAAATTATTATAAGAAGTGAAGTGCTGGAGCCAGCTTGCACTGGCTCACAAAAATTGTTTGCAAGCCTCTCTTTCCAACTCCACATCCAGTGATGCCATGTTGCTAGCTTGAAATCAACCATGTGAGAGTATTTACACCACAGAAATTGGCAGTCACTACAAATCAGGAAATCTTTTAAAGAGCTGGTTATTAAACATTTACCTTAAACATTCATTGAATAGGAATGACTCAAGAACGATGGTTATTGGTCACTTGTATACTTCTTTGGGAAACCCATTTTCAAATGAGGTTATTTGTCTTTTTATTGTTGGTTTGTTAGAGTTTTTTCATATTTTGGATACCAGACCTTTATCAGATATACGACTTATAAATATTTTCTTTTATTCTCTGCGTTGTCCTTTTACTCTCATGATGGTAAAATTTTGCAGCACAAAAGTTTTTAATTTTGATTAAGTCCAATTTATCTTTTTCTTTCTTTGGTTGCTTTAGGTGTCATATCTAAGAAACTGTTGCTTAATGCAAGGTTACAAAGATTTACTCCTGTATTTTTTGTCCTAGAGTTTTATAGTTTTAGCTTTTACATTTAGATCTTTGATCTACTTTGAGTTAATTTTATATATGTTGTGAAGTAGGTGTCTAAGTTTACTCTTTTGCATGTTCACATGTAGTTGTCCTAAACCAACTGTTGAAAGACTATCCTTTCCCCATTGAATTAACTTGTTACCCCTATCAAAAATTAGTTGACCATAAATGTATAGGTTTATTTCTAGACCATAAATTCTATTCCATTGATTTATATTTTTATATTAATGCCAGTGCATGTTGTCAATCTCTACACTAAGTGAATTTTGATAGGAAATGCATTTACTCTGTAGATCAAGTTAGGGAATATTGCCATTTAAGCAATATTAAGTCTTATAATCCATGAACAAGGAGTGTTTTTCCATTTATTCAGTTATTTAAAAAATTTCTTTTAACAATCTTTTTAAAATTTATAAAGGTAAGAAATTTATTTGGCTGATAGTTTTGGGGGTGAAAAGTCCAAGACTAAGGGGGCACATCTGATCATGGCCTTCTTTCTGAATCATCCCATGGCAGAAAGAGGAAGGATTGAGAGGAACCATCCTATCCAGAGGAAGAGATAACCAAATCCATCTGTATTAGTTCATTGTCACATTGCTATAAAGACATACTGGAGACTGGGTAATTTATGGAAAAAAGAGGTGTAATTGGCTCTGGTTCTGCAGGCTGAACAGGAGGCATGGCTGGGGAGCCCTCCGGAAACTTAAAATCGTAGCAGAAGGGTGAAGAAGAAACAAGCACGTCTTCGCATGGCAACAGGAGACAGAGTGAGTGAAAGGGGAAGTGCCACACACTTTTAAACCATCGTATTTCATGAGAACTCACTCACCAACATGAGAACAGCAAAGGGGAAATCCTCTGCCATGATCCAACCACCTCCCACCAGGTCTCTCCCACAACATTGGGTATTACAATTCAACATGAGATTTGAGTGGGGACACAGAGCCAAACCATATCACCATCCTTTTGTCAGGAACACACTCCTGCAATAACTAATCCAGTTCCCCAATACCAGCATTAATCCATTCATAAGGGAAGATCCCCATGACCTAATAACCTCAACTTAATAGTCCTGTGCATACTTTGGCAGCACATATACTAAAATTGGAATGATACAGAGAGGATTAGCATTGCCCCTTTGCAAAGATGACATGCAAATTCGTGAAGCATTTTATATATGTATTTTTAAACTGTAAGGATTTAATTTTATTACCATATTTCTTTTTTAAAAAGTAACTTTTATTTAGGTTCAGAAATACATGTTCAGGTTTGTTACATAGGTAAATTGCATGCCACAGGAATTTGGTGTACAGATTATTTCATCACCCAGGTAATAAGCACAGTACCCAGGTATCTGTTATTCCCTTCTTTGTGTCCATATGTACTCAATGTTTAGTTCCCACTTAAAAGTGAGAGCATGAGGTATTTGGTTTTCTGTTTTTCCATTAGTTTGTTTAGGATGATGGGCTCCATCTCCATCCATGTTGCTACAAAGGACATCAACTTGTTCTTTTTATGGCTGCATAGTATTCCATGATGTATATACATGACATTTTCTTTATCTAGCCTATCATTGATGGACATTTGCATTGATTCCATGTCTTTGCTATTGTGAATAGTGCTCCAGTGAACATATGTGTGCATGCATCTTTGTGGTAGAGTGATTTATATTTTTAGGGGCATATACCGAATAATGGGATTGCTGAGTTGAATGGTAATTCTATTTTAAGTTCTTTGAGAAATCCCCAAACCATTTCCACGATGGCTGAACTAATTTACATTCCCACCAGCAGTGCATAAGCATTCTCTTTTCTCTGCAACCTCTCCAGCATCTTTTATTTTTTGAGTTTTTAATAATAGCCATTCTGACTAGTGTGAGATGGTGTCTCACTGTGGTTTTGATTTGCATTGCTCTAATGATTAGTAATGTTGAGTGTTTTTTCATATGCCTGTTGGTCATGTGTATGTCTTCTTTTGAAAAGTAATCACTTTCATATCTTTTGCCCACTTTTTTATGGGGCTCTTTGTTTTTTGCTTGTAAATTTGTTTAAATTCCTTATAGATTCTGGATATTGAATCTTTGTCAGGTACGTGGTTTGCACATATTTTCTCACATTCTGTAGGTTGTCTCTTTATTCTGCTGATAGTTTCTTTTGCTGGGCAGAAGCTCTTTAGTTTAATGAGATCCCATTTGTCAACTTTTGTTTTTGTTGCAATTGCTTCTGGCATTTTTGTCATGAAAATGCTGGGTCTTTGCTGGGTCCTATATTGAGAATGATATTTCCAAGGTTATCTTCAGGGTTTTTGTAGTTTTAGGTTTTGCATTTAAGTCTTTAATCCATCTTGAGTTGATTTTTTGTATAGGGTGTAAGGGAGGCAGCTCAGTTTCAGTCTTCTGCATATGGCTAGCCAATTAAGCCGGTATAACTTATTGAATAAATAAATGGTGCAATAAATGATGCTAGGGTAATTGGCTAGCCAAATGGATTTTTCCCATTGCTTGTTTTTGTCGACTTTGTCAAAGATCTGTTGGTTGTAGGTATGTGGCCTTATTTCTGGACTCTGTATTTTCCATTTGTCTATGTGTCTGTTTTTGTACCAACACCATGCTGTTTTGGTTACTGTAGCCTTGTAGTATAGTTCAAAGTTGGGGCGTAATGTGATGCCTCCAGCTTTAATCTTTTTGCTTAGGATTGTCTTGGCTATTCAAGCTTTTGGTTCTATGTGGATTTTAAAATAGTTTTTTCTAATTCTGTGAAAAATGTTATTGGTAGTTTGTTGGGAATAACATTGAATCTGTAAGTTGTTTTGGGTAGTGTGGCCATTTTAACAATATTGATTCTTCCTATTAATAAGCATGGAATGTTTTTCCATTTATTTGTGTCATCTCTGATTTCTTTGAGCAGTGTTTTGTAATTCTTTTGTAGAGATCTTTCACCTCCCAGGATAGCTGTATTCATAGGTATTTCATTCTTTTTGTGGCTATTGTCAATGGGATTATGTCCTTGATTTGGCTCTCAGCTTGGAAATTGTTGGTGTATAGAAATGATACTGATTTTTGCACATTGATTTTTTGTCCTGAAACTTTGCTAAAGTTGTTTATCAGATCAAAGTGCTTTGGGGCAGAGACTATGGGTTTTTCTAGGCATAGAATCATATAATCTGTGAAGAGAAACAGTTTGACTTCCTTTATTCCTGTTTGGATGACTTTTATTTCTTTCTCTTGCCTGATTGTTTTGGCTAGGACTTCCAGTACTATGTTGAATAGAAGTGGTGAGAGAGGGCATCCTTATCTTGTTCTGGTTCTCCAGGGGAATGCTTCAAGCTTTTGCCCATTCAGTATGATGTTAACTGTGGGTTTGTCATAGATGGTCCCTATTATTTTGAGGTATTCCTTCAATGCTGAGTTTGTTGAGGGTTTTTAACATAAAGTGATGCTGAATTTTATCAAAATTCTGCGTCTACTGAGAGGATCATGCGGTTTTTGTTTTTAGTTCTATTTATGTGATAAATCACATTTATTGATTTGCATATATTGAACCAACATTACATCCCAGGTATGAAGCCTACTTGATCATGGTGGATTAGCTTTTTGATGTGCTGCTGGATTTGGTTTACCAGTATGTTGTTGAGGATTTTTGCATCTATGTTTGTCAAGGATGTTGGCCTGAAGTTTCCCTTTATTGTTGTGCCTTTGCCAGCTTTTGGTATCAGGATGATGCTGGCCTCATAGTATGAGTTAGGGAGAAGTCCCTACTCAACATTTTGGAATAGTTTCAGTAGGAATGGTACCAAGTCTTCTTTATATTAATACATCTCTTAGAATTTGTCTGTGAATCCATCTGGTTCTGGGCTTTTTCTGGTTGGTAGGCCTTTTGCTACTGATTCAATTTAGGAACATATTGTTCTGTTCAAGGATTCGATTTCTTCCAGGTTCAATGTTGGGAGGTTGTATGTTTCCAGGAATGTATTAATTTCTTCTACGTCTTCTAGCTTGTGTGCATAGAGGTGTTTATAGTAGTCCCTGAGGGTTTTTTGTATTTCTGTGGGGTTGCTGGTAATGTCCCCTTTTTCATTTCTGATTGTGTTTTTTGGATCTTCTCTTTTTTCTTTATTAATCTAGCTAAGAATGTATATATATATATATATATATATATATATATATATATATATATGATTTATTCTTTCAAATAACCAACTTCTGGATTCATTGGTCTTTTATATCTTTTTTGTGACTCACTTTCCTTCAGTTCAGCTCTGATTTTGGTTACTTCCTGTCTTCTGCTAGCTTTGGGGTTGGTTTACTCGTGTTTCTCTATTTCCTCTAAGTGTGATGTCAGGTTGCTAATTTGAGATCTTTCTAACTTTTTGATGTGGGTGTTTAGTACTATTAGCTTCCCTCTTAACATTGCTTTAGCTATGTCTCAGAGATTCTGGTATGTTGTATCATTGTTCTCATTGATTCAAAGAACTTCTTGATTTCTACCTTAATTTTGTTGCTTATCCAAAAGTTATCTGGGGACAGGTTATTTAATTTCCATGCAAATGTATGGTTTTGAGCAATTTTCTTAGTATTGATTTCTATTTTTTTTGTGCTGTGGTCCAAGAGTGTGGTTGGTGTGATTTTGGTTTCTTTGAATTTGTTGAGGATTGTTTTTTGGTCGATTGTGTGGTTGACTTCAAATATGTGCCATGTACAGGTAGGAAGAATGTACACACTGTTGTTTTGGGGTGGAGAGTTCTGTCAATGTCTATTAGGTTCATTTGGTCAAGTGTCGAGTTCAGTTTCTTTGTAAGTCTCTAAGAATTTGCTTTTTGAATCTGAGTGCTCCTGTGCTGGATGCATATATATTTAGGATAGTTAGGTCTTCTTGTTGAATTGAACTTTTTACCATTATGTAATGTTCTTTGTCTTTTTTGATCTTTGTTGGCTTAAGTTCTGTTTTGTCTGAAATTAGATAGCAACCTCTGCTTTTTCTGTTTTCTGTTTGCTTGGTACCTTTTCTCCATCTTTTTACTTTGAGCTGATAGGTCTCATTGTGTGTGAGATAAGTCTCTTGAAGATAGCATACCATTGAGTGTTGCTTCTTTATCCAATTTGCCACTCTGTGACTTTTAATTGGGATATTTAGCCCTTTTACATTCAAAGTTAATATTGATATGTGTGGATTTGATCTTGTTATCACATTGTTAGCTGGTTATTATGCAGATTTGTTTGTGTGGCTGCTCAATAGTGTCAATGGTCTATGTACTTAAGTGCATTTTTGTAGTGGCCAATGTATTAGGTCATTCTTGCATTGCTATAAAGAAATACCTGAGACTGGATAATTTATAAAGAAAAGAGGTTTAATTGGCTAATGTTTCTGCAGGCTACACAGGAAGCATGGGGCTAACATCTGATTCTGGGGAGGTCTCAGGAAGCTTACAATCATGGCAGAAGGTAAAGGGGGTACAGGGATGTCACATGGTGAAAGCAGAAGCAAGAGAGAATGGTGGGGTGTTATGGGAAGTCGGGGACCCTGAACAGAGGGACCAGCTAGAGCCGAGGCAGAAGAACATAAAATGTGAAGATTTAATGGACATTTATCAGTTCCCAAAATTAATACTTTTATAATTTCTTATGCCTGTCTTTACTGCAATCTCTGAACATAAATTGTGAAGATTTCATGGACATTTATCACTTCCCTAATAATACTCTTATAATTTCTTATGCCTGTCTTTACTTTAATCTCTTAATCCTGTTATCTTTGTAAGCTGAGAATGTACGTCACCTCAGGACCACTATTGTACAAATTGATTGTAGAACATGTGTGTTTGAACAATATGAAATCAGTGCACCCTGAAAAAGAACAGAATAATGGTGATTTTCAGGGAACAAGGGAAGATAACCATAAGGTCTGACTGCCTGTGGGGTTGGGCAGAATAGAGCCATATTTTTCTTCTTGAAGGGAGCCTATAAACAGACATGCGAGTAGGGGAAATATCGCTGAATTCTTTTCCCAGCAAGGAATATTAATAATTGATACCCTGAGGAAGGAATGCATTCTTGGGGGGAGGTCTATAGATGGCCGCTGTGAGAGTGTCTGTCTTATGTGGTTAAGATAAGGACTGAAATACACCCTGGTCTCCTGCAGTACCCTCAGGCTTACTAGGATTGGGAAATTCCAGCCTGGTAAATTCTAGTCAGACTGGTTCTCTGCTCTCAAACCCTGTTTCCTGTTAAGATGTTTATCAAGACAATGCGTGCACAGCGGGACATAGACCCGCATCAGTAATTCTAATTTTGCCTTCGCCTTGTGATCTTTATAGCCCTTTGAACCATGTGATCCTTGTGACCTACTCCCTGTTCATATACCCCCTCCCCTTTTAAAATCCCTAATAAAAACTTGCTGGTTTTGTGGCTTGGGGTCATCATCATGGTCCTAACAATATGTGATGACACCCCTGGAGGCCCAGCTCTAAAATTTCTCTCTTTGCACTCTTTCTCTTTATTTCTCAGACTGGCCAACACTTAGGGAAAATAGAAATGAATCTACGTTGAAATATTGGGGGCTGGTTCCCCTGATACTGGGGGAGGTGCTACACACTTTTAAATGACCAGATCTTGTGTGAACTCAGAGTGAGAGCTCACTTGTCACCAAGTCATGGCCCAAGCCATTCATTTGGGATCCACCCACTTGATCCAAACACCTCCCTCCAGGCCCTACCACCAAGATTGGAGATTACATTTCAACATGACATTTGGGTGGGGACAAATATCCAGATTATATCAGCTGGTAATGGTCTTTCTTTAACAAATTTAATACTTCCTTCAGGACCTCTTGTAAGACAAGTCTAGTAGTAATGAATTGCCTTAGCAATTGTTTGTCTGACATGGATCTTATTTCTCCTTCACTTATGAAGCTTAGTTCGGCTGGATATGAAACTCTTGGTTGGCATCTCTTTTCTTTAAGAATGCTAAATGTATGCAGCATAATTCACAATTGCAATTATATGGAATCATCCTAACTGCCAACTAACTGATAAGTGGATACAAATATATGGTATCTATCTATCTATCTATCTATCTATCTATCTATCTATCCATCCACACACCACAGAATACTATGCATTCATGAAAAAGAATGAAATACTGTCTTTTGCAGTAACTTTGAAGGAACTAGAGTCTATTATCCTAAGTGAAGTAAAAACTTGAACAGAAAACCAAATACAGAATGTTCTCATTTGTAAGTGGGAGCTAAGCTATGGGTACACAAAGGCATACAGAATGGTATAATGAACGTTGTGGACTCAGAATGGAAAAGAGTGGAAAAGGGGTTCAGGATGAACAATTACCTACTGGTACAATACACACTATTTAGGTGATGAATACACTAAAAGCCCAGGCTTCACCGCTATACAATTCATCCACTGTACAATTCATTCATTCATCATGTAGCCAAAAACCACTTGTACCCCTAAGCTATTGAGATTAAAAACAAACAAAACAAAACAAAACAAAAAAGAAAGCTAAATATAGGCCCCCAGTCTCTTCTGGCTTGTAGGATTTCTGCTGAAAGTCTGCTGCTAGCTGGTTCTCTTTGTAGGTGACCTGCCCCTTCTCTCTAGCTGCCTTTAATACTTTTTTCTTTCATTTCAACCTTAGAGAATCTGATGACTATGTTTCTTGGTGATGGCCATCTTATCTAGTATCTTGCAGGGGTCTCTGAATTTCCTGAATGTGGTCCTCTCTAGTGAGGTTGGGGAAATTTTCATGGATGATAGCTTGAAATATGTTTCCAAGTTGCTTGCTTTCTCTCCTTCTCTTTCAGGGATTCTAGTGAGTCATAGATTTTGTCTCTTTACATAATCTCATATTTCTTAGGGGTTTTGTTCATTCTTCTTTAGTTTTTTTCTTTATTTTTGTCTGAGTTATTTTGGATAACCAGTCTTTGAGCTCTGAGATTCTTTCTTCAGCTTCATCAATTCTGCTGTTAATACTTCTGATTGTATTATAAAATTCTTGAAGTGAGTTTTTTGGCTCTATCAAATCAGTATGGTTCTTTCTGAAAACGGCCATTTTGTCTTTCAGCTCCTATATTGTTTTATTGTATTCCCTAGAATCCTTGGATTGGGTTTTGGCTTTCTCCTGAATCTCAATGATCTTTGTTCCTATACACATTCTAAATTCTGTTTTTGTCATTCAACCATTTCACTTGGTTAAGAACCATTGCTGGGTAACTAGTGTTGTCATTTGGAGGTAAAAAGACCTCTGACTTTTTGAGTGGCCAGAGTTCTTGTGCTGATTCCTTCTCATATGTGTGGGCTGATGTTTCTTCAATCTTTGAAGCTGCTGTCCTTTGGACGGGTTTATTTGCTTTTATCTTCATTGATGGCCTTGGGGGTTTGATTGTGGTATAAGATGGGTCCTGTTGACTGGCTTTGTTTCTGGAAGATGTTAGGGGGCCAAGGCTCAACTCAGCACTCCTAAGCTGCAGGCTCTAACTCTGGGGGCGCTGGAATGAGGCCCCCAGCTTTGTTCTCTGGCCCCTTGAGGTTAGGAACCAGCCATGCTAGAGGGACAGAGGTATTCTGGGGCCTCTGGTCATGACACTCTGATGGGTGGTACCAGCCAAAGCACTTTGTCAGGGTGATGGCAGCAGGATCCATGTGTGTTTGTGTGTGTCAGCAGCAGCAGCAGCAGCAGCAGCAGCAGCATAGCAGGGTGCACGCTTGTTGGCTGGGGTAGGGTCCTGGTGGCTGTGAGGCTGAGGGCCACTACGTGTGTGTGTTTGTGCTAGTGGTGGTGGCAGTGTGGGGTGGGAGGTGGGGCCTGTGTGCCTGTGTTCACACTGGCAATGGCAGCATGGCTGGGGCAGGGGTAGGCTCATGCCTGCAGTAGTAGCACAGTGAGGTTCACATGCACACATGCAGCAGCGGGGGAGGGGAGGTGAGATCCGCCCACACACACATGTGCTGGGAAAGCGGTGGGGGGTTGGCTGTGAGCAAATGTGTGCTGGTAAAGTGGCATGGGGAAGGCTGCCACAGAGGGAGGGTGTGGTGGGCTGATATTCATCAGCAGGGGCCACTCTGCTTGAGTGCTCTGATGGTCAGGTGCAGTCTGCTGGTGAAGGAACTATGATGCAGGTCCCCAGGAGGCATGCCAGTTTGGTATCCAAGGCTGCACTGAAAGCAGGCATGGGCAGGCTGGGGCCCCAGGAGAGGCCAGCAGACAGGAGGGCACTCAGATCAGACTGGCTTGTCTCACTGGCAAGACCATCCTGCTCTGTTGAAATTGGACAGTTCCCCTAAGGCTAAAATCTCCTAGGAGATCATGGTGAGCCTTGTGGTATGGGCATCCCCAGCTGTGCTCCACCACAGACATTCCCACACTAAACCCTCTGGGCTCTACACAGGCTGGAGTCCTGCCCTTACTACCTCTCTAAGCAGCTCCCCCTGCCAGCTCAAGTGTCTTTGGGGTTGTGGGGTCTCCTGCTGCCAGGATTCTAGAGGTCTGTGGCAAAAGTGGGTCACGCCTTGCCTGCTCAACTCACCTGTTCCCCAGAGTTGTTGGGGGCCAGGAATGAGTCCCAAGGTATGATGGCCCGTGCAAGATTCCCAGCTTTCTCTCCCCTTCAGCCCAGCATCTGTGTCCTCCCTCCATCCACTCTCAGTGCCTTCCCTCAGTGCACCAGTCTTCTCTATGTCACCATCCTTAGGTGGCAGATGTTCCTC
Source organism: Homo sapiens (assembly GCF_000001405.40). NCBI lineage: Eukaryota > Metazoa > Chordata > Mammalia > Primates > Hominidae > Homo > Homo sapiens. Next base: position 41,293,932 of record NC_000006.12, on the reverse strand, counting down.
CTGGCTGCATCTAGTTAGCCGTCTTACTGAGATCCTGCAGGTCACAGGATGATAGAGGCTGCAGCAGAGTCACCTAGGGCCTCCTGGAGCAGAAAACATAAAGTAGTGGAGATAGGACCCAAGCTGGGTGAGTGGGTACAAAAAGGCAAAGACTCTGCCAGATAACAATGTTTTGTAGTTTTTAGTGTGCAAATCTTGCATTCTTTTGTTCAATTTGTTCTTAAATATTCATTGCTTTGGATGCCATTATAAAGGAAATTGCTTTCTTAATTTCATTTCATTTTCAGATTGTTTATTGCTAGTAAGTAGAAATACAACTGATTTTTATATATTGATCTTATATCCTGTAACTTTGCTGAACTTGTTAATTAGCTCTAATAGTTTTCTTAAAAATTCCATAGAATTTCCTACGTACAAATTTAACTTCTTTGTTTCTAACCTGGATGCCTTTTATTTTCTTGCCTAATTGCCCTGGCTAGAACCTCCAGTACAATGTTGAACAGAGTTGGCTGAGAAGACATTCTTGTCTTATTCCTGATCTTAGAGAGAAAGCTTGCAGTCTCTCGTCATTAAATATGTTAGTTGTAGGGTCTTTTTTAATAGATGCCCTTTATTGCATAGAGGAAATTCCCTTCTTATCCTAGTTTATTGAGTATTTTATCATAAAAGAGAGTTGAATTTTGTCAAATGCTTTTTCTGCATCTGTTGATATGACTGTGACATTTTCCTCCTTTACAATGTAATATGGAGTATTAAACTGAAATATTTTCATATGTTGAATGAATGCCAGGTAGGACAAATCCTACTTGGTCATGGTGTGTAATCCTTTTTATATATTGCTGTATTCAGTTTGTTAGTGTTTTTGCTGAAGATTTTTGTGTCTATTTTCATAAGGGATTTGGTCCGTAGGTTTTTTTCTTGTGATGTCTTTGGTTTGTTATCAGGATAATAATGTTGTTCACATTTAATTGTTATGTATGCCTTCAGAGTAGGTGAAAGGCTGGTGCAGTTGTCAGAGGCGTGTGAACCAGAGCAACTCCATCTTGAATAGGAGCTGGGTAAAATGAGGCTGAGACCTACTGGGCTGCATTCTCAGATGGTTAAGGCATTCTAAGTCACAGGATGAGATAGGAGATCAGCACAAGACACAGGTTATAAAGATCTTGCTGATGAAACAGGTTGCAGTAAAGAAGCCCGCTAAAACCTACCAAAACCAAGATGGCGACGAGAGTGACCTCTGGTCGTCCTCACTGCTACTCTCCCACCAGCACCATGACAGTTTACAGCCATGGCAACATCAGGAAGTTACCCTATATGGTCTAAAAAGGAGAGGCAGGAATAATCCACTCCTTGTTTAACATATAATCAAGAAATAACCATAAAAATGGCCAACCAGCAGCCTTTGGGGCTGCTCTGTCTATGGAGTAGCCATTCTTTTATTCCTTTACTTTCTTAATAAACTTGCTTTCAATTTACTATATGGACTTGCCTTGAATTCTTTCTTGCACAAGACCCAAGAACCCTCTCTTGGGGTCTGGATCCAGACCCATTTCCTGTAACATCTTTCTGGCAACCACAGAAGGGACTATAGCACAGAAACCCCTGACTCAAAGGCTAACTTTGGGTAAGTGGTGGGGTCCTGTAACATCTTTCTGCTGATCATGGAAGTGACTATAGTGTGGAAACCCCCAACCCAATGGCTACCTTTGGGTAAGTGGTGGGCCACAGACCTCCCTGGCCTGCCTAGAGGATTTCTCAGTCAATGCTTGTTAACACTCCAGCTTTGCTGGGCCAAAGGCTCTGTCATTCTTTTCTCTTCCCAAACATCTGAGCAGATCCACTCCAGCTTTCTGGTGTTACAGGCAAGGCATCTTGGTTAGTATGTAGACTCAGATCCCATTTCCATCCTTCTCCCAGGAAGATTCTTAGATCCTCTTCAATCCAGCAGTCACTGGAAAACTCTATTCCCAGAGGTGTGATCAACAGGTTGCTGAGGAACGATGGTTGCCTTTCCTGTTAATCACAGCCACCTTCCTGTTCTCTTGTAACTGGATCTGGCTTTCCCTGGAGGCTGTCATGGTGGGAAGGTGATGTTAGAGGGGCCTGCTGTGCTTAGTCTGTCTCTGGGTCAGGGTCAGGGCCCCTCTGCCTCTGGATGCCTTAATCTTCCCTCTGCTAAGACCAGAGTGATTTCAGGCAAGGGAAGCAACTGGGACCCTGAAAACCGTCCCTCTTTAGTCCACTCCCCCATCTGTGCCCCAGTCCTTTCGCTTCCAAGTGGATGCCGTTTTGATTGCTGTTTGTATATTATTAAAATGTTTTTATATTAAAAATGTTTGGTTGGTCTGAAAATTAAAAGAACTTCATTTAGGAAAAAATCATTAAAAAACATCTGAGGATGTTTTTTTAACATCTTTCTTGTGAACCACGGAAGGGACGATACTGAGCAGACCCTCCAATGCAAAGGAAATAGACTGCAGCACTGACTGGCGGACTTTGGGTAAGTGGGGTGCATATACCGGGTAAAGAATGGGATTGGGTTAGAGGCCCAATTTAAAGGAGTTAGAGTCTCTCCTAAGACATAGTGGGTTACAGCCCCCTCTTAATAAAAGGCAAGAACGCCTGACCAACTGGGTTAGAGGCCCAACTTATGAGGGTTAGAGTCCCTTCTAAGATTTAGGGGGTTAGAGGCCCCTGTCGGTAAAGTCCCTCTTGGTAAAGTCCCTTTTGGCTAAGAACGAATTTAGCACTATGGGAATTAATTGCTGTTCTCTTGGAAATAATCTGCTTTGCACTCTTTGCTGATGGCTGTGGGTGACAGGGTTAGGCATGTACAGGATCAGGGGGCATGGGGAGCATTTTCCTTCCTAAAAAGGGGAAACTTGAGAGCTGATGGCACTGCTGGAAAAAATTCCTTCATGATCAGCAAGCGGCTGCCCGAACTTTTCAGTGTCGCTGCAATGGGTGTGTCTTTCTCTGGCCTCCCTGAGTGCCTTCCTCACCCTGCCTTAGGCAATCCTTTCTCCTCTCTCTCTCTGTGCAAACTGGTTGAATGAATGGTAAAAATCACTGTTTATCTCCTCTGTAAAGTTTTGATTAATGGAAGAATTAATTCATGAAGCTAGTCTTAAGCTGTAGTGAATTTGGTATGTTTTGTGTGTCTTTCTGTGTTCTATAATGCAGAGGAGTACTTTAGGATAGAACACAAGCCTAAGACACCTACCTGTAAGCCTGCTTTTCAAGACAGCCCAGTAAACCAGTCAGTTACAAACTTTGCTGCAGGTTCCTGAAAAAACTGGATGAGATTTCCTTCCTGTCTTGTATGTCCTTGGGAGCTTGACCTTGTAACCATGTGGCCATGTTCTCTTTTCACAATGGCAGGCTGGGTTCAGGGTTTGATTCCTGGCTTGGGTATAAGTCCTCTATCTTCTGTCTATGTATTTATATGAATTATGTGTGTGTAATATAAAATAGCTAGATTAATTGGTTTAAAAATAAGTGCTTAAATCAAATATTTTGTCAAAAAAGTTAAAAAGTGTAATGTCTTTTGGTTCATATGACTTAAGTAATCTTTGGGAAATAAAAACAGTTTTAAAGATTATTGGTAAAATAAAAATATTTTCAAAAATGTAAATATTTGGTCTAAATTATGCAGGTCAGATATTAAGTTTCCTAAATGCTTTAAGGTCATAAACTGCTTCTTTGACTTTTAAAAGTTGTTCAATTTATTTTGGAGCATTGATTCTAGATAAGGCCTGGGGACATGTGAAATTAGCCATGCCCCCTAGCTATGCTAAGAAAGTTCTTCATAAAATGCCACTGTGATTCTTAACTATTCAACTTGTCTGCTTTACTGCTAGGTGAGGCCTCAGACACGTGGAGTGCTCTTGTTTGACTGTGTGAGTGAGCTGGTTATTCAGTCATCGTCTCTCTGATTAACACTTCTTTACCTTGGTTTGAGTGGAGATTCTGAAACTCGCTTTGTCTTTGCTGGCTGGTTCCCTGCTGGACTCTCGATAGGGGCATTAGAGGGAGATTGGGAGGCTGGAGGAGGAAGACAGGACATGCTCACTGATTCCTATTTCATTCTCTTTCATTGTGAGTAGCCTCAGTGATGCTTTTCACGGGCAACAGTGACTGGTTCCAGTTTGCAGTTTTCCCCACTCTCAGAAGTAGTCTCATTGGGCCTCCTCAGAGATATCAGCACCAGGGTCACACTATCCTCAGAGATCTGTGTTCCAGTTCCATGTGGGCCCCTCCTCTGAGCCAGAAAAGAAGATATTTTATATGCAATCTCATTGTTAAAAAATGTTACACATATATTCTAGCTAGGTTAGATTAACCAATCTTTATTAAGGAAGAAACTGCTAATTTACCCCATAGTGAAGATCGAGACCTACTGACTTGGGGCAGTGACTTATTGAAGACAAAACAAAACAGAATAATATTGGTATTATTTCATTAATTGTATCAATGTTGAAACTGTATTGATTTCATAATAGCTCTGAAGATGAAGTTTGGCAAATATGGAAAGGTTCATGGTACCCAAAGACTAAATCTTCCTAGTGCTAGAGGCCACCCTATGAGCAAGCATGGAAATGGGACATGTGACCCAGCCTTAGTAAAATTAACAGGAACCATAGGTCACAAATGACAGTGCTCTTCTATGAGAAGCCTTAAGAAATAATATCTTGTTGGGAGCAGTAGCTTGAGAATTTAAAGAGACCCTAATAGTTAGGCAGGAATATCGTCCTGCCTATTCAGCCTGAAGAAGTTACTGATCGGGTCATTAAACTCCTCAGAAAAATAAAGTGGTAAGGATTAGAGAATGCTGCCATGTGCTGCACAAGGAAGTTTTGGTCCATGACAGACTGCATATATGGTGGAGGTCCCATAAGATTATAATGTCATAATACCGTATTGTTACTATGCCTCTTCTATGTTTAGATACACAAATACTTACTATTGTGTTACAAATGCCTACAGTATTGAGGACTGTAACATACTGTGCAGGCTTGCAGCCTAGGAATATGCTTTACTTTGATTTATGTTCAAGTATCATTCTCCCTTAGATTTTGTGAGGTTGAAAGGTATTTGTCTAAACTGGATGTGAATGGAGAGGGGGCCTCCGGAGAGCAAAGGGCCCTCTGTTCCCCTTCCTAATATTAATAGGCTATACCATACAGCCTAGGTGTACAGTAGGCTGTGCCATGTTAAGTTCGTGTAAGTGCACTCCATGATGTTCCTGCAACACAAAATCACCTAGCAACACATTTCTCAGAATGTATCTGTCATTAAGTGACACGTGACTATTTGCACTGTTGACCTCAAGTACACAAATAGATCAGACAAGTGGAGAAAGACCTCATTCTACTTCATTCTAATTTAAATGCAGGTGCTGTCCGTAGTTAGGAAAATGTGAAGGAGCAATCAGCCTCCAGTGATATTCAAGTCTAATTAAAAATTCTTCTTGGACTGTTTAGTTCAAAGCTCCCTCTTAATCTTCCAGGAGCTTAATCCTCCACACAAAGTATATGAAGACACAAAAATGTAGAAAGTATGTGAAATAGCTATTATTTAAGTGTGGAATATTAATTTTGTTGTAAGGAGGGGATTTATTCACTGAAATAAACTTTATTAATTTGACTCATCGCCACAGAAGTCACGTAGGCTCCTCTCTGAGTCAGAAAATGTCAAGAGCTTTCTGTCTATTTTTCCTCTTTAGGGACTGCTTGAGTACAGCAAAAGGAGGGGCCAGCAGATTTCAGTTCAAGCATGTTTGAAGCCTGTTTTCCGACATTATTTGTAGAACAAAAAATAAACATAGTAAAATCTCCACTACAAATGATCTCTATAAAGTGTAATAACATGATTTAAGTTTATGTATTATTTTCTATATTTTATAAATTGCTGCATTGAACAGCTTTAATAAAAAAAATTAAAGTTAGCCTTGAAAATTTTTTTGGTTGTTGTTTGTTTTAATTTACAGACATGATAGTACCTTTTAGCTGTTCCTATACTTGAGTAGCAATCAATTTGGGTGTAAAATATTAGGGTCATAATGTTCTTTATACCTCATCCCACTCTCTCATGGTATTTGTTACTCAGAGAAGAAATCTGAGTCCTGATTATTTCAATTCCTTTGAAGAAACCAAGTTATTTTTTTGTTTATTTAGCAGTAGGAATCTTTTTATTTAAATTTAAAAATTTTCACCTGGAAACTTCCTATTCTAGGTCTCACTTTGTGAATTTTTTCCTTGCCCATGTTGAACTCTCAACCTCCAATTTTAGATTTCTTCTCAGACCTGGAAAGCATATTTTTTAAGATAAAATTTTTAATCTTGCTTGTGATCCACCATTCCATTTTATGCTTTAAGGACATCTCTGATTTGTAGATTGGAATTCTGTGATTTGTCCTCCCTTAAATTTCTGAGCTCTTCTAAATGTCTTTATTCATTTCACATTTGGGAATATTTCTGAAGTGAATCCTCTCCATTATTGATTTGATTTTCACACTGTCAAATCTGTCTTTTCTTGCTTCTAGTACAAAACCTGCTGGATTTTTTCTTCTTGCTTCAGCGTCTTGAACCAAGTTTCCTTTTTAAATCTAAGTCTGTTCTTGTTGGGTGGTGGCAGTGTCCTCTCAAATTGTTTCTGGGGTCCCTACACCCCCGTGAGCTCCCAGGCCATGTCTGTGGCAATGCTGAAGGACAAATGCAGGGTGTGGCCCTCCTGGTGATGAAGAGGAGGTGCACCCCAGGTCACCAGAAGCCAAGAGAACCCACGGGGCTGAGCAGGGCAGGATGAAGCAACATGTTCTCACAAAAACCCTGAAGATGAGATACGATTGTCGCAGCCTCTCCCTATGTGGGCCTGACTCTCTTCACTACACTAAACTGGATGTGAATGGAGAGGGGGCCTCTGGAGAGCAAAGGGCCCTCTGTTCCCCTTCCTAATATGAATGCCTTACTTTGATTTACATTCAAGTATCATTCTCCCTTAGATTTTGTAAGGTTGAAAGGTAATTGTCATTATTACCACAGAAAGGAAAACTGGAGTTCAAAGAAACTTAACTGAGAAGTGAGTCTTGGTCTCTGTATTATTGTGTTGATGTCAGGAGTCAGAGCAACTGGTGATGAAACAGAACCCAAACTCAGTGACTCCCAGGAATGGCCTCATATCCTGTTGTGCAACTTTCCGAAGCCTCTAGGTCATTGTGGTGCCTTGTAGCTGTCCCGGGAGCCCTCAGCAGCAGTTGGAGCTGGTGCACAGGAAGGATGAGGAAGACCAGGCTCTGGGGGCTGCTGTGGATGCTCTTTGTCTCAGGTAAGACAAGGAAGAGGACTGAGCAGGGGAGGCGTTTGGTCCAGGATCTCGGGGAGCCCTTTTCTGTTGAAGCTTCAGAGCACAGGGCCATCCAAGATAGAGCCAACCAGTAGTTATGGCAGACCGTGCTGCTCTACCCAGAATTGGGAGAACATGCAGTGTCTGCACACAAAAGTAAAAGAAGGAGAGAGTCAGGGAAAAAAGATGTCTGTGCATGTCGATGTTGTTAGAGACATGCAAAGCCTAGTATGGGAATAATGATAGAGTAGATCTCATCATGGCATGATCTACAATAAGTTTATTTGATGTTGAAATTTTTTTCTTATATTCCATCATGATGTGTTTGATGTTGACAATCTGTTAAACCCAAAAGACAGAATTGATTTAACAAATATTTCCCAGGGGTCTACTATGGGACAGCAAATATACTACTGCTGAGGACACAGACGTGACCAGAAGAGGCTGGTGCTCATTTTGGTGGAGGTGATCATCCCAGCTCTCCATGGCACGCTGGGGTTGGAGGGCACAGTTGCTGAGGCTCAGCAGAGCCGGCGCATGCCCCAGCTCTTTCTTGTGTCTCCTCTTACGATCCGCACAGCTCACATCTGCACCCAAACCAGAAGCATGCGGGCTTTATTCACTCCTCCTCCTAATCCTTATGAATAACAGGAGGAAAGTGTCAATATGAGTTAAAAGCGAGGCTTGCCTTGGGAAGGCATGAAAAATCAGGGAGAGGTATCCTCCTGGGCTCTCTACTTTGAGCAAAGTCATGGACAACTGCCTTGAAGAGCCTGTGCTCAGACATTGCTCTGGGTCTTCTTGGAGCTGGGGTGATAATCTAGATGGGCAGAAGGGAGTTAGCTCCTCATGGACAAGTGCATTTCCTTGTGTTTGATTCATGTTTTTCTGAAGGAGAACTGGGAGATGGCAGAGGGCTGAAGGTTATGTACCTGTGTGAGAGAAAACCAGTGGTATATATTTCATTGTGCCCTGTGGGGATAGGTTAGGGGTTAACCTCAATGCTCCTTGCAACTGGATACTTATTCACACTTGGGCCAGGACTTCTCTAATCCCTATCAGACTGTGTTGGACCATGTAGCTCAGTGCTTTAGGTGGAACCAGAGTCCTTGGGTTTGAATCCTGGCTCTAGTACTTAACTATGGTGAGACTTTGGGCAAATCACTTAATCTGTCTGTGCCTCAGTTTCCTTATCTATAAAATGGGGAGAATAATGGTGTCAACTTTTTACTTTATAAAGATTAAATAAGATAGTCTTTAAAAACCCTTAGCACATAATACTTAATAGGTAGTATTTGCTACCCTTTTAATTAACATATTCAAAGGAATTCCCTTCTTGCAATTGTGCACAGACAGCTCAGCAGCCTTCATTTCTTATTGTCTCCTTCCTTCTGTGAGAGACAGGCAAGTTTGCAAACTCAGTCACCTGTAACTCCCACCTTCCCTGGGGAGCTGGCAAATAAAAGAGATTTATCTGTAACATTAACTTCAGAGGTTAGGGCTTCAGTGGTGGCAACTTGAGGATGGAGTCTGTGTGTCTTCCAAAGAGCCCAGCACAGTGCCTATGATAGAGAAGTCTCCCAGCCAGTCTGATGAGTGAGTGAACAAATGAGGGAACCAGGCTTGGTTTCAGACAACACTCAGCCTCTGGTCAACAGTCTCTTGGAGGCACATTCCTGACTGGAGTGTGTGGGAGTTGCCCAAGAGGTCTGTTTCCGAGGTTTCCCTAGAAACTGGAGTCTGCTCCCAGAAGAACTGGCTTTCAAGACTGATTTCACCTTTAAACTCCTTGTGAGTCCCTGAGTTGAGTCTTCCTAAGGTCAGGCAGATCTGTTGGCCTATCCTGGGGTGGGCATGCCAGGGGGCTCCATGAAAGGGTAAGCACTTGTCATTTTTCACCAGGCCTGCAAGGACCTAAGTGTGTGGTATTAATAACAGCAGTACTAGTGTTACCGTGACCCACACAGTAGACCCAGCAGCACTGTCTAGCCTGTTATTTGGTGCTCCATGGGGGAAGGTACCCCAGGCCTGAGTGGGTAAGCTACAGTCTCTCAGCAAACTTAGAGAGCCCTGTGTGTCCAGCTGAAAACACGGACCTTGGTCTTCTCACTTCCGCTCTGCTTGGCCTCCCATCAGCAAGGCTCCCTTGGACAAGGCCAGATGAGCATCCCCAATTCTAGATGGTTAACCCAGTTCGGACTCCAAGAATGTGATGGAAACTATTGTCACTGTAACCCAGGGGTTCTCAAACATGGCACTATTGACATTTGGGGTGGGATGATTCTTTGTTGTGGGGGCTGTCCTGTGCACTGTAGATTGCTTAGCCTGGTATCCATTAGATGTTAGTAGCATCCACCCCTCTCCCTGGTTATAACAACCAAAAATGTCTAGATATTGTCCAGTGTTTCAGGGAGAGTTGTGGCGGGGAGCAAAAATTGCTCCCCAGTGGAGAACCACTGCTGTGACTCCGTGACATCAAAAATAGGAGGGGGCATTTCTTGGCTCAGGTAACTGGGAAGTACAAGGGGTGCTCCTTTGGAGCACAGCTGAGTCCATGACTCAGATAACGTGGGTTTTTTTCTCTCTTTCTTTCTCTCCCCTCCACTATCCCCCTCTTCCTTCCTCCCACTCACTTTCTGCCTGTTTAGCCATTCTCGGGCAGCCTATTCCTACGTGGTAGAAAGTTTCACATAATAAAGTTTCACATCTCATTGACCTGTGAATCCCAGCAAGAAGCATTTCCATTAATGGCTACAGCAGTCTCAGGGAGGACTCTGATTGGTCCAGCTCAGCCATGTGCTCCTTCCTAAACCAATCAGCCTGGCAGGGAGATGGGGTACTTTGTGTATGTGTGTGTGTGTGTGTGTGTTTTTTTTTTTAACAGAGTCTTGCCCTGTGGCCCAGGCTGGAGTGCAGTGTTGTGATCTTGGCTCACTGTAACCTCCACCTCCCGGGTTCAAGTGATTCTCCCACCTCAGCCTCCCATGTATCTGGGACTACAGGTGTGCACCACCATGCCTGGCTAATTTTTTTGTATTTTTAGTAGAGGCAAGGTTTCACCATGTTGGCCAGGCTGGTCTCGAACTCCCGACCTCAGGTGATCTGACCTCCTCATCCTCCCAAAGTGTGGGATTACATGCGTGAGCCACTGTGCCTGGCCCCGAGATGGGGTACTTGGATTGGCAAATCCTGTGTCCTGTGCCCATCCTTGAGAATGTGGGCTGCCCCAACAGTAGAGCCACACAGGATCGTTCCCTTGGAAAGGGGTGCTCTGCTACCCAAGGAAGGGAAAAAGGAGTGCCAGGCAGTCAGATATCCATGCCCATCATGCCCTCCAGACGGCTTCCTCACTGTTTGTCCAAAGGTCTTTTGAGCTGATCTCCTTGCCCTGACTTAGATGAAGTTCCTCAAGGTGTCCTTGGAGCCACTCTCTGCTAGCACCGTGTCTTTGCGTTCACTTTTTATGTCATACGCCCTTGTAATCGATCCCTCCCACCATGCTGCAGCCACTCGTGGTCTTAGTACAATATCCCATGTTCTGTCTCCAGGCAGGCAGTTTCTTCCTCTCAAAGTCAGTCTTCCTCTTCTGATCATTTATGAAATTTGATCCTCATGCACCATATGCAGTCTCTTATAGTAAAAAACCTACTCACAGTGGAAAGATCTGAGGTCTAGTGCTGGCTTGCAGGGCAAGTTGTATTTTCTCTGGAGGCCTCAAGAACCTCATCTGAAATATGGGTGGTTGGACAAGAAAAACAGGGGGCTCCTCTCCTTTTTCCCCACTCAGAGAGAGAAAAATAATTCCTCACAGAACCCATTCTCTTTCCCTGCTTATAGAACTCCGAGCTGCAACTAAATTAACTGAGGAAAAGTATGAACTGAAAGAGGGGCAGACCCTGGATGTGAAATGTGACTACACGCTAGAGAAGTTTGCCAGCAGCCAGAAAGCTTGGCAGATAATAAGGGACGGAGAGATGCCCAAGACCCTGGCATGCACAGAGAGGCCTTCAAAGAATTCCCATCCAGTCCAAGTGGGGAGGATCATACTAGAAGACTACCATGATCATGGTTTACTGCGCGTCCGAATGGTCAACCTTCAAGTGGAAGATTCTGGACTGTATCAGTGTGTGATCTACCAGCCTCCCAAGGAGCCTCACATGCTGTTCGATCGCATCCGCTTGGTGGTGACCAAGGGTGAGTGGCCTGGGACTTGGGGGGAAAGAAGGGCCAGGTGAGGAAAGGGGCAGTGGTGGTAGCATCAGCAGAGCTGGGGTTCAGGATTCCCAGCAGTCTGTCTTCCTCCCAGGACCTCTTTATCTCTCATCTAAGGTCCAGTAGTAAGTAGAACCTTCCATGCATGAGATTCTCCTTGGATAGCACAGCCTAATTTTGGGTGCTGTGGTAGGAATTGGGGTACAATTAAGGTGAGTGGTAGATTTGGGATAATTTAGTCCCATTCTTTGTTCTCCACTTAGAAGTCATGTCCTGACTCCCCCTCCCAAGGATGCGTTTGGTGGCATGCCTGTGTGCTTCTGAAGCAGCCCCTCTCACATCTTTCTGTGGGCACAGACCACCTGGGGATCTTATTTCAAATGCACACTCCAACTGAATGGGTACAGGGGTCTGCATCTCTATTGATCTCCCAGGTGATGCCAATGCTGATGGTCCATGGCTCCCATTTTGGGGGAGCAAGTCTCCAGAGCTCATTTTGTGTCCCCTTGTACACAACTCTACTCACTGGATAGGAGAGGGGGGTTTACTTATCTGTACCCTATTCATTTCAGAACTGCTTGAGGGAAGCACCTGTGCCTTCCTGGGCTCTGCACCCCTAGCAAATAATGTAGTTTCTGACACAAAGTAGGCCCTCAGGAGATGTTGCATTAAGGAATGAATTATGGAAGACAGAGGAAAGGGAAGCAGGCTCAAGTTCCCAGCACCTGGGGAATTCTAAGCCTGAGGAAGACAAGGTGCACACACAATATATTAATAAAAGATAACTTTTAAAGCAATATGCCATAAGCCAGGTGAACGAAAGGCAGAGTGAATCAAGTAAGCCTGGAATTATTCTTGGAGAAGGTTGGGGCACAAGAATTGGTGAAGAACAGAAGGCAAGTTCATTTCCAACAGTACGAATGACAAAAAATTCCTTTCTTCTTCTCTCTTTCTGCTCTCCCTCACTTCCTGCCCTTTTTTTCTTCTTTCCTTTTTTCGATTTCTGACTCAGGTTGACTCCACAGTATTTCTTTGGCTTTAGCAAAGGAAAACTTTGCATTTGGGCCATGCTCATTTCCCTCCTCAGCTTCATTTACCGTACCACCTACCCGTCCATCAACTCATCCACATTTTCATCCATACATCCATACATCCATTCACCCACCCATCCACCCATTCATCATCCATCTGTCCATCCATCCATCCAATGTGTCTTCTTGCAGGTTTTTCAGGGACCCCTGGCTCCAATGAGAATTCTACCCAGAATGTGTATAAGATTCCTCCTACCACCACTAAGGCCTTGTGCCCACTCTATACCAGCCCCAGAACTGTGACCCAAGCTCCACCCAAGTCAACTGCCGATGTCTCCACTCCTGACTCTGAAATCAACCTTACAAATGTGACAGATATCATCAGGTATAGTTTCCAGGTCCCTGGGCCCCTGGTTTGGACACTGAGCCCTTTGTTTCCCAGTCTGTGTGCTGAGAGGATGTGAAAGTGAGGGAAAGGGGAGGGTGGGGCAGGAGAAGACTTGAGTCACATTAGTCTGGGTAGAAATGTCCAGGGGAAGAAGGAAGTGGTGATGGAGAATAGGGGAGGCTCTCAGCCAGGCTGTCCTTCTCCCCAGTTCACCTTCTTTGTTTCCTTGCAACCTGAGTATTAAAGAGAGGGAAATGGCATCTTCCCCAAGTTCCAGTGGAGCTCATCCAACCCCAGGGGCCTGATGGGCAGTGGGAAAGCACTCTGAGTGAGGGGCCCTGGATCTAGTGTTGGCCTGACTAACTGAATGTGACTTTGGGTGAGTCAGGAACCCTCTCTGGCTTTAGCTTCTTTGACAATTCAGTAGGCATGGTAGAAACCCAAAGCTGGAAGACATTGTCCACCTAATAACTCTCAGCAGGAGCTGGAGCTGGGGCTAAATGCAGTATTGGTTTTTGCCTTATTGTTTTTTAAATAACATTGTTGCATGTGCCCAATTATAGATAAATAGAATCAGAATTTTTGCAGATGAGGTCCCTCTCAGTATTTTTAATAAGATGTTTAGGAGATTTCTAATGTGTAGGCAAACTTAAGAACCACTAACTTAGCAATTTCACACCTCTTTACAGTTATTAAATGTTGATTTATATTAGAATGTGTTTATCATTAAATACTGAATTATCAGGATGGAAATACTTTTCCACATCACCACTAGTCTAACATGTCTTTTTTCTCATATTCTCTTCTAGTCTTTATTCATGTTTATACATATTTTAATATGGCAGTAAGTCTAATTATACATGTTTTTATTCTTTTCCTTGCTGAAATTATTCTTTGATGCTGCTACCTAAATTTCATAAATATAATTTCAATGAGTGCATATTTTTCTATCAATTGGGAAAGCCATAACTTACATAACCATTGGCCTGTTCTTAGACATTGATATAGTGTTGATAACTCTGAGATAAACATATTCTTGCAGATATATTTTTCTTCTTTTAAATAATTAACTCGAAATTTCCATGAGATAATTTAAACACTGATATCATTTTGTATACAAATAGCATCTACCAATGGTCTTCCAAAAGATTGGAAACAATTTGCAGTGTGATCCATTAAGCATAAATAAAGCAGTGTCATGGCAGGCTTACAGACACGGATTTAGTCTTTTAAATCATTAAATAGTGTGAGTTAAATCACATTCCTGCTAAAACAAATGTGAACTGGTGCCTGCTCTAATTTCTCTATGAGTGTAGACTCCACCTCCATATGGGTAGTGGCAGTGCCTTTTTCCCCATTATGTTGTTTGGGGAACAAAGTGCTCATTAAACTTCTGTGGAATAAATCAAACGAATGATCTACTAAGAGTCAATTTTTTTTTTTCCTCTACTTTCATTTTGCAATACATAAGTTAAGAGAACATAATCTTTGCCCATATTCTTACTTTTACCGGAAGGAGGGCCTTAAGTGTAAGCTGTCCAGGTTCTGGGCCTTTTAATCAAAGTATTGGAGAAGACGCACAAAGTAACAAAGGAATGAAGCAGTGAAAGCAGGAATTTATTTAAGCGAGAAAGCGCTCCCCAGGGTAGAAGTGGCCCCACGCAAGTGGCTCAAGGGCCAAGTTACAAAGTTTTCTGGGTTTTAAGTACTCCACGTGAAGTTCCTCCCAGTTACCCCTTATCTGGATGAAGCATTTGGTTTGTGGCTAACTAAAGGCTAAGGTGAATTGGCGCCCTCTGTGGGTAAAGGGATGGTCGTCTCTGCTTGGCTCAGGGCCAATCTAAGACACTCTCCCTTTCCAGCTGAGACGTGGTGGAAGGGGGAGGGCTGTAGGGAGAGTAGCCTTTGATTCTTTGCTGCTGGGGCATGGGGAGATGGGGTTTTTCCTTTTGTTTTAGCTTTAGAAAGTTTATGTTAATTGGCCTTAGGTTCCCTGACCCCAGCCCCAGGAGTTTTCCTTTTGATCCAGCTATGGGAAGTCAGCACGAATCCATCCTAGATTTCTTGCCCCTAGACCTTGGTGTTGCTCCATGATTCAGCATGAATTGGTCTTACGTTCCTGCCTCCAGACCCTATTCTCCTGCCTTGCTGCTAGAGACTGCATCTCTCTTTTATCTGTTAACTTTATCTATCATCTAATATGAACTATCCTTTCAGCCAAAATCCAGTCTGGAAAGTGGAATCCACACTAGCTGTTTGAAAAGAAGAAGCTTTTTTTCTTTTTCTTTTCTTTTTTTTTTTGAGACACGGTCTCACTCTGTCAATCAGGCTGGAGTGGAGTGGCACGATCATGGCTCACTGTAGCCTCAACCTCCTCCCACCTTTGCCTCCCAAGTAGCTGGGACCACAGGTGCATACCACCAGGACAGCTAATACTTTTTATTATTTTTGTAGAGATGGGGGTCTCCCTGTGTTGCCCAGGCTGATCTCGAATTCTTGGGATCAAGTGATCCTCCCACCTCGGCCTCCCAAAGTGCTGGGATTACAAGTGTGAGCCACCACATCCAGCCATGAAACGAAGGAATTTAATGCAGGGAATTGTTTGCCCAGGTGATGGAAGAGCTGAGACGCTATCCTGGGGATGGAGAGGCACTGCAGAGGTAGCCACTATCACCCTATCTCTAGGTAGTTTCCCCAGAAGCAAGCTGTAAAGTCTTGTTAAAATGTTTTAGGACTAGGTGTTGTGGCTCACACATATAATCCCAGCACTTTGGCAGGCTGAGGTGGGAGAATCACTTGAGCCCAGGAATTTGAGATTAGCTTGGGCAACATAGCAAGACTCCGTCTTTACAAAAAAATAATAAAAAAATTAGCAGGGCATGGTGGCATGCACCCATGGTCCCAGCTACTCGGGAGGCTGAGGCAGGAGGATCACTTGAGCCTGGGAGATCAAGGCTTCAGTGAGCTGTGATCAAGCCACTGTACTCCAGCCTGGGCAACAGAGCAAGATCCTGCTCTCTTTCTCTCTAAAAAAAAAAAAAAAAAAAAAAGACAAAAAGAAAAATGTTTTAGGAAGTGATTTCTGGCAAAGCCATTGAGGAAGTGGGACCAGGAAGGGAAGGAAGCCAAGCAAGCGTGTCATAACCAAGGGGTATCTCACAGGATAACTCTGGCTCAGTCTTGTTAAGGAGCTCTGGGGACTCCTGGGTCACATTTGGAGTTGTCCCTATAAGGGGCAGTAACTGAGCAAGGGCAGCTCTAACCAAGGCCAAGCACATGAATTCCTGGCCCTTCAGGGGGTTGGTAGCTTGTGTGCAGCCTCGAAAAAAATGCAGATGGTGGCCTGTTGGGAGTGGACATGCCCCAGGAGTTCAGCATAGGAAAATGGTAAAGCACTCAGAGTGGATAATGCAGAGCACTGGCAGGAGAGACTTGGGGAGGAGGTGCAGTGAGCAGAGCCCGGAAGCCAGGACATTCAGGTTGCAGCACTGGAATCGGGGCAGATGCTGAGGATGCTGAGTGCGCCACCATGTGAGGGGTGAGAGAGATGCTGGCTCCCTGCCCCTTGCTGCCTGTCTCTCTGCCCCATCCCTGCCCCCGTCTCTGCCCCCTGTCCCCCACCAGTTGCTGAACTCGACCAGTCAGGCTTGGGAATGTAGTCCCCTGTGCTACAAGTCAGGGCCCTTGAATGGGGGTGGATTTCAGGCAAATAGGCAGTTTTCTGCTTTCTAGCTCCTTTACGCCGTTTCCCTCTTTGCTAGTTTGTGCATGTGGTTTTAAGTTTTGTATAGGTGGGTGTGTTGATTTTAAATCAATTGCTTTGCTTTATTCCTTAATGTGTTTGATTCTATTTCCTGGTGACTTTTCTTGGATTGTTTTTTTTTTATTTTATTTAAATGTTTAGTCCGGGGGAAGATTTATTCTGCTACATGCTATAAACTGTAGAAAAGCCTACACCGTTACCATGTTGCTGTCCAGATACTGCAAGACTATTTACTAAATGATCCTCCTGCCTCTCCAAGTAGCTGGGACCATGGGTGCATGCTACCACGTCCGGCTTATCCACTGGACCTCTGATTTCCTTAGACATTATGTTCCTGCATAGCACTGGCTCTGCATCTGGCCTTTGTGTTCCATTGCCATCTGTCTGTCCCTGTGTCTTACCATGCCACATCCTTGTGCTCTCATCTGCTTGCATGTCTGCTGATGGAACTGGCCAAGTGCCCTCACTCCTTTGCATCTTTTTATTATGATACCTATTGATGTTTACCCAGAAACCTTAGAATCATTTCGCCAAAATCTATAAAATTCATGATGAGATTTTCACTACGGGTGGATTCTTCTCGGTTTATAGGTGAGGAAACCGAGCTAAAGAGGTGAGATGACCATCCCAGTAGGCAGGGTACGGTACTGAGAATAGAGAGCGGGTTTCCTGGCCAGAGTCCTCTCTCCCTACCACATCACAGGGAGGAGGATGGGCTGATCAGCCCGACTGTCTCCCTCCAGTGCCTCTCCTGGACAGGGACCTATACTCTCCACTGAATTGTTTCTAATCAGTAGTTTTTGGCAATGAGACAGACTGAAAAGCACAGGGTCAGGCAGTGCGGGAAAGGTGGAGCAAGGATCTAAGCAGAGGAGAGTGGGACATGAAGGCATTTTCTAGAGGGAACATGTGCGTGTGGGAGAGACTTTGCCAGCAGTAGCGTTCAGCCTCTTGTCTCCCGCAGGGTTCCGGTGTTCAACATTGTCATTCTCCTGGCTGGTGGATTCCTGAGTAAGAGCCTGGTCTTCTCTGTCCTGTTTGCTGTCACGCTGAGGTCATTTGTACCCTAGGCCCACGAACCCACGAGAATGTCCTCTGACTTCCAGCCACATCCATCTGGCAGTTGTGCCAAGGGAGGAGGGAGGAGGTAAAAGGCAGGGAGTTAATAACATGAATTAAATCTGTAATCACCGGCTATTTCTAAAGTCAGCGTCTCACCTTCCTGCCCACTGCCCTCGTTCCTCTAATAATCTTGGGTGGGCATTTGTGCCTCAGAAAAGAAGTTACAGCCCCAAACATGCTTGGTCCTTCATTCCACCAGCCACTTGGGGTTGGCATGAAATACAGACAGCTCAATGCTTTTCACCGTAATTCTCTTGTGGGGGCTGTGACATGCAGAAGGCACACCTGATACTTCTCCTGCTCAGTTTTGCCCTGGACCATACAATTTTGGCCTGACCTGGACAGAGCTCCCACTACAGAAGCATCCTGCTCGCCCCATGCTGGGACTTCCTCTTTCTAGCATCAGACACTTGGGTTTCATGCTTATGTGTGGTTCTTTCCAACACTCCCAGAAAAGGGTGTTGAAGATTGTGGAACCTGGAGAAATAAGACATCGTGGTGAGAAAGTGCATCCTTCTCAGAGAAAAGAGTTAAACTGAGTATCTTCTTCTGGGGAAATACTGGCAGGCCGAGATGGGATCCATAGGAGAGCAACAACAGACCATGTCAGACATCCTGTGTGCATTTATCGCTGGATCCTGAAAATAGCCCCGTGAAGGCAGAAATGTATGTGACTAGAACGAGGCCACATGAATAAGCCACTGCCCACTGGCAGGAGTGAAAACTGAAGCGCTCCTTACCTGAAGGACCCCAAAACCATATAGAATAGAATAACCAGGAGTTCCGCCTGTGTCTAAATGCCTCTTTTCCTGTATCACACAAGGGTCAGGGATGGTGGAGTAAAAGCTCTCCCCCTGGGAGGCTTCTGGAGGCTGTCCCCATGTGCTTGCCTAGTTCCCCACTCTGCCCTCCTCCTCTTCTCTCAGTCTGCTCCTGGAACACCTGCCTCAGTTTCCATGCTCTCTCCAGTGCCCTCCCCGGTGAAGCAGGTAGGTGTTCAGGCCACCACAGAGACAATCTCTGTGGGAGATTGTCTTGCAATCTCCCACAGATTTCAATCAGGATTTTGTTATTTCCTACTTTGAGCTTTAAAGGGAAATGGGCCTCATGGGTGGGGAAAGGATGGTGGGTCCTTCCAGCCCAATTTAGTGATGCCCAGGGCAGATATTATCCTCAGTTCCCAAGAGCAATCATACTTTTCCACACATACCGTGTGTCTCATGTTAGGTAAATGTATTTTTACAATGAGCACCACTTCTGTGGAAAAAGTTCCCTGCACGGGGAGGTCCAGCTTCCAGACTGCTCCATCGCATAAGGACTTCCCCATTCCCCTAAATGCTGCTCTGTCAGAACCTGCCCAGGTAATGGTAATGACCCTAGAGAGATGATTTCTGAACCGCAATTTTGAGCCCATTAGAAGGTGTGTGGTGGGCATTTATTTCATCCTGATGCTCTGGTGAGAATCTTTGCAGACGCACTAGATCCAGAAGCTGTTAATCTTGGTGCATTTATTTTCCTACCTAAAAGAACCAAGCAGCTCAGAGGCAGTGACTGTACAGGATGCAGTGTTTATAATAATGCTGAGCTTGCTGGTCTGGAACCCCACACTTTAGCAATCCCAGCATTGTTCCTGTTTATGAAGTTGACAAAGTGACCAGGGCAAGGGGGTATTATCATTAAATACACTCTAGGAGAGGCAGAACACATGAGGGCAATGTTTTTCAGAGGTCTTTAGGCCACCGCATCAGATTCTCCTGGAGCATAAAGCAAATGCTTTATGAGTCCAGGGCCCCTGCAGACCTACTGTATACTAGTATACAGCTCCCTCTTAGTGGATCTCAAGCTTGTTTCCAAAAAGTCATTACACTCCTTACCAAAGCCCATGACACATTCATACAGATTCATCCAGACATAACCCACTGCATGGTCCAGTGCATGCTTGTGTGCTTAACTTATTATAGATCAAGTGTTATTTAAGTCCAACATATTAAACGTGACTGAAATATTATATGCACTAAATCGGAAGACAAATGGCCGTGCTGGATACTCTCCCATTTGCACTTACAGGCCACGCCATGCTCCATCCTCCCCATCCTGCCTGGGAACCTGACCAATGTGGCTAAACCAGCAGGCTCCCTGGCTGCCAGCTTCTGGCTGGTTGAGCCAATGGGAAGCATGAGAGGAGAGCCGAGGGTGGGGAGACAGTCAGATCAGGGTTTCTGTCCTCAGGGCTCCCTCCCTGGCAGGTGGTGGCAGGAGTGGCTGCATTCCCCTCTGAAGGCTCCTTCAAGCCTCTCAGCAAACAGCTCCCATCTCCAAGTCCAGCCACCTGTTCCATCCTCTCCTCTGTAGGCCCAGCAGTGGGAATGACCCACCACTATTGCCAGCCTCAGCATACTGAAGCACCCCTTACTGGATTCCCTAAATTCTATGCACATGTTTATTAAATGCTCCTCAATTACCCAGTTTCAATGAGCCAGCGGTGTCTTGCTGTTATCTTGACTGATACAATAGTGTTGTGTGGCTAACGACACAGGTCTTGGAGGAAAACCATGTATGGGTTTGAATCTAGCTCTGCATCCTTGCAGGGTGTCTGATCCTGGGTGACTCAGTTAACCTTCTGGGCTTCAATATTCCTCCTTGCCTTAATGGGCATGATAGTGCCTAACCATGCCAGTGATGATTTTGGATGCTAACAACAGAATCCAACTCTGGCTATCTAAAACAGCAAGGGAATTCTAGGGGGATATCAGTAACTCAGAGTTGATGAGAGGCTGGGGGATTGGGTTTAGAAAATGGGCAGAAGCCAAGAGAGAATGGACAGCAGAGGCCACATGAGACAGTCTGGACATGTTGCCATCAATGCCACTGCCCTGGATACTGGAGGCCACCATGCTATTCCTAGACTCTGAATCCTTAAATTGCCTCTGAGTAAGTAATCTGCAACTGGCCCTGCATTTGAGCCTCATCCGCAGATCTGGGGTCCTGGGCAGAATCATGCATGTGGCCAGGCTTAGGTCAAGTCACGTGCCTGCAGCACAGCTGCCGGGAGAAGGGTGGGAGGAATAGCTGCTTCCATCCTCAATAGAAGGGGAAGCAGAACTCTGCATCTGGTGAAACTCACACATTGGGGCCTGTGCCCCCAAAAGAAAAAGGTGTTTGGTACTGGAGAGTCAAAAGATGACACACCTCCATTATACCATCTCCCAATGTTGACAGGATCCAAGGAGACGCCTGAGTAAAGCACCTGACACACAGTAGGACTTCAATCCATGGTGGTTACTGCTATTACTGTTATAACTGGGGTCTCCATGCCTGTGCCTGGACAGGTTAGCTCAGGGAAGCCCATACCTGGTACTCAGGCAAAGCCCCTGAGTCACCGAGACATGCTGCAGGGTCCATCTTACCTATATGCAGCTCTTGCAGACATGGTCAACTTGGACTCCTTGCCTCAGAACCACCTAAGCTGTTGCTAAAATACAGATTCCTGGGTCCCTTCCCAGATCTGCCAAGTCAGAATATCTGGTGGTGGAGCCTGGGTGTGTATGTCTGCCACACTTCCTGAGTGAAGCCACGTGCCTGTCCTTGGGAACCATGGTGCGGGGTGATATTAAAGAGGGAGGATGTAGCAGAAAGGCTTGAACCCGGCCTTGGGGGATGAACAATGTTTGTTTGCGCAGCACCATTTCACAGGGAGACTGGGGTGCAGGCTTGCGGGTTGTAGGGGTCAGTGGTCAGTGATGAGGAGGTTGGTGGCCTGAAGGGGTGAGTGACGCAGTGGGGACATCAGGTGGGTGGGTCTAGACTCACCATGGTGCAGAAAGGGAAGCAACTGAGTGTTCCCATCAGGACTGTGACATCATGATGGCAGGAAAGAAGCTGTCACAAGGGTGGCCAGCCTGCCTCTCTTTTTCTGCATCTTCCTGAGCTGTTCCCCGAGTCACACTTCCC